>NC_000006.12:43090303-43393333 GCF_000001405.40 Homo sapiens | reverse complement strand
CATACAATGTCTGGAATCTATAGATAACATAACCAGTTAGGTCAGGGGTCGATTTTTAACTACCAGGCCCAGGGCGCAGCGCTGGGCTATCTGTCTGTGGATTTCATTTTTGCCTTTTAGTTTTTACTTCTTCTTTCTTCGGAGGCAGAAATTGGGCATAAGACAATATGAGGGGTGGTCTCCCTTATCTCCCTTTCTTCTTACAAAAACCTTCTGAGCTTCCCTCAGTCATTCCTTAATCGGTTTTTCATTCCATCCATCAATCTTTTGCAGTTTCTTAGGAATATCAGGCCAGCTTTTAGTCACAAAATTAACCTTTAAAAGGCCTTGCCCTACTGGATCCTCTGGATCTAATCTTGAATATTTTCTCATATGATCCCTGAGCCTCTGCAGAAACGCAGAGGGAGTCTCCTCTTTTTCTTGTTGGATCTTGAATGCTTTCAAGACATTTTGTGTTCTATGAGTGGGCTTTTTAATCCCTCTAATTATTCATTCCCTTAGGTCCTGCATTTGGGCCCAATCTCTGGGGTTATTGCTATCCTCTCTAGGATTTGCTTTTGGGAATTTCTGCTCAGCTAGCAGGACTCCTTGCCCGGGAGGATGCTGTCTCTCCCAAATGGTCACGGCTGCCCTTCTAATCATTCCCCTCTCTTCCCCAGTAAACAAAATATATTCATGATTGACATCATCTCAGCCGAAGTATAAAAATTGGGTCCTAAAAATTGATCTAGCTGCTCTGCTAAACTGAGGGGATCTTCCAAGAGTGGCCTCATTTCCTTTTTAAAATTCGTAACCTCAGTACTTGTTAGAAGCACACTCACAAATCCAACTTCTCCCTGTCCCACAAGGAATTCTTTAAGACGGTACGTATTAGACATCTACTGTTTAGAAGAAATGGGGAAATTCTCAATGTCCTTCTTACATTGTTCTAATTCTTTCCTTAAGTTTGGATAAGGATTGAAGGGAGCACTGGGTTTAGCTCCTTCATGGCCCCCAGATTCCTCTTCCTCCAGCCTTCCTGTTGCCCCTGATCTCCCTGTCCTCTACTTTGTGAGATGTATGGGGGTGAGGGCAAGCGTGTTAGGGGACCCCAGGGCTTTTCATTGGGTGAGGGCTCTTTACTATGCTCTTTTTTTTCTCTTTAAGGTGGAACATGGGGTTATTCACTAATCCAACAAAGAGCATAACCCATCTCCTCTTGTGAGGATGGGGTTTCATCATTTACATATAGAATTAAAGCTTGGCACACCCAATCCGCATCTGAGCCAAACTTAGGCCAAAAGACCCAAGGCTGATGAATGGGCTCTTTGGGCCAGATAAAACAGCAATACTTTATCATCTTTGCTTTTCCTTGTCCCTGGTTTGAGGATTAGCCTTTCAAACCTGCAACATTCTCCCCAAAGGACTATCTAGGAGAATGTCAGAGGGGGTGTTTCTAGTTCCCTCTTTCCTTTGTTCCCGAGGCCTAGAATTCCTGTTTCCCATTTTCAGTTAGTCTCTGTGTCTGAGCTTTTCCCTGTGTACTCAGCCCCCCTTACTGGAGGTTTCTTGCACACCCCGAGACCTCTGAAAATGCCCCACCACCAAGACAGTACTTACAGTCCCATTTTCCCACCGTGGTTCGTGCACGAGGTTGTCTGGTTGCCGCGGTGCCTGCTTTTCTTCCTGTGTCACTTTTGTTATCTCCTGAATCATGGTCTCCGGTTTGTCTGTGGCTTCTGTGGGGAGCCGGGACATCCAGACAGAGCGGGCCACATAAATCAAGTGGGGCACGTCTCCCCTCTCCATGCAGGCACAGAGATCCCCGTATGGCCACCAGATTGTGAAAAACAAACTCACCCTTCCAAACCCAAAGAATGGATTCAGAGACTCGGAGAACAGCAAAAGTGAGACTTTTAATGGTGGTCTTGCAAGATTGGGTGTCTGATAGGCAGGCACGCCCAGTATAGTTTTGTTTGTTTGTTTGTTTGCTTTTGGAGACAGAGTCTTGCTCTGTCACCCAGGCTTGAGTGCAGTGGCACGATCTCAGCTCACTGCAACTTCCGCCTCCTGGGTTCAAGTGATTCTCCTGCCTCAGCCTCCCACCAGTACAGTTTTAACAAGCAATTTATCCCCTAGTGCGCAGCTCCCTCCCCCGGTTCCTCAGAGGCTGAGTACTATGGGGTCACTATCTTCCCGGACTTTGCTTATGCTTGTTGAGTAGGGGCTTTAGGTGATTTTTTTTTTTTTAGGGTTGTCTTGCTGCATTTTATTGCAGCCCACAATGCATTGCAATCCTAGTTAGCTCAAGGGCTCTTTAAGTGTTTGACTTAATGACCTAAGTAGCTGGACAGGCTGATAAGAACAGATAAAGTGAGCTAGTAAACTTTTATCTTAGAATAAAACTTCTTTGGTTTAGGTGAAGGGGTGGGGGACGGAGGCCGACAAGCAGGCGTTGCTATCCAAGCAGGGGCCTAGTATATCCTAGTTCTTCTGTAGTTTGCTGACCTAAGCTGATTCAAGGCACTTTGTCTTGGAAATGGACCACCGTATACATTATTTCCTTCAAGAGGAAAGCAGGAAGGAAGGAAAGGAGGGAGGGAGGGAGGAAGGAAGGAAGGAGTGGTTAGTTGCTGGGACAAATTTAAGAGGCGGTAAAGTTTGCTATTCTCTTAAACACGTTTAAGTCTAATTCTTCAAAATTACAAAAGAAAAATGCACTTATCACAATGAGGATGTAGCTGCCATTTTAAGTTTTAACAGCTGTATAAGATTCCTAGAACAATGTCCAACAATTTATTTTTATACTGATATGTGAAGGGTTGTTTCCTCCCTAACACCAAATACATGGTCATTTTCAACACCAATTTTCCAACCCTCTGGTTCTCTCACACGGTTGGGCACCCAACGATTCAATTCAATTCTGACACTAACTCCTGGAGTTAGTGCAGAATCCACAGGTTAAGAGCTCAGTCCCGCAATACTGCCCCCACTTCAGATGCCAGTCACAAATACTGGATCCACAGGATACCCACAGTTCGGATCGACTTGGCTACAAAAGTCAGGCGTACCCACGACCCCTGGCCCTTAGGTTTGATAATTCGCTAGAAGACTCACAGAACTCAGGAAAGCACTTTACTTCCTATTGATGGTTTAGTATAAGTGATACTCAGGAACAGCCAAATGGAAGAGATGCATAGAGCAAGATGGTGGGGGAGGGGTGAGTAATGCTTTTATGTCCTCTCTGGGGACATCAGCCTCCCAGAATCTAAATGTGTTCACCAACCCAGAAGCTCATATCAAATGTCATTGTTCAAGATTTTTTATAGAGCTCAATCTCCGGTCCCTCTGCCCACCTCCCCCATGTCAGTGTGTGGGGCTGAAAGTTCCAACTGTCTAATCACATGTTTGGTCTCTCTGGTAGTAACTCTGTATTTAACATTTAACCTGTAACTGCCAAACTATTTACTAAAGTGGCTGCACCATTTTACGCTCCCACCAGCAATGTATGAAGGCTCTCATTTTGCTACATCCTGACCAACACTTGTTTGTGTCTTTTTAATTTTAGCCATCCTAGTGGGGTGAAGAGCTTATGGCTTTTATTTGCATCCCTTAATGACTAACGATGTTGAGCATCTTTCATGTGTTTATTGGCCATTCGTAGGTCTTCTTTGGAGAAAAGACTCTTCAAATCGTTAGGATAGGTTTGTTTCTAATTAACATGTATACAATGGGTGTAGTCCTTTAGGGTCTTAGCTTTATTAGGGGTGTCTTATTTTAGAATCCCTACTTTGGGAAGACCCTGACTTTGATCCAGGGGTCTCAAAATCCAGTGCTCCAGTTCACCTGGTCTGGCAATCCTCTAGAAGTGAAAGCTGCTTCAGTGGTCTGTCTCTCTGGTTTTCTGCCTTTATGCAGCTTCTTGTCTGAACATTCTTCACTTTCTTCCTAACTCATACATGCATTCAAGGAGATATTTTCCTCTATTATATCCAGCATTTTAGTTGTTTTGAGTGGGAAGGTTCAAACCTGAAACCTACTTCACCATGTTACCAGAAATAGAAGTTGAATTTCTTAGAATTTTAAAAATCTCTTCTATTCCTTTTAGTTTTAAATAAATTTATTGAGGTATAATTTACATATAAAAATTCACCAATTAAATATATAGTTCAATGTATAGACCCATGTAACTAACCACCACAAGCAATCTATAAAACTTTTCTATCATCCCCAAAGGTCTCCTTATGCCCCTTTGTAGTCAATCCCCTACTTCACCTCCAGTTCCAGGAAACTATTATCTACTATTATTATATATGACTTCTGCCTTTTCTGAAATGTCTTCCTTTCTTTTGGTCTCACTCTGTCGTCCAGGTTGGAGTGCAGTGGCATGATCTCAGCTCACTGCAACCTCTGCCTCCCAGGCTCAGGTGATCCTCCCACCTCAGCCTCCCAAATAGCTGGGACCACAGGCATGCACCACCACACTCGGCTAATTTTTTTGTCTTTTTTTGTAGAGATGGAGATTCACCACGTTGCCCAGGCTGGTCTTGAACTCCTGGACTCAAGTGATCTGTCCACCTTGGCTTCTCAAAGTGCTGGGATTGCAGGTGTGAGCCACTGCGCCAGGTCTGGAATTTCTTATTTATTTTTATTTTATTATTTATTTATTTATTTGAGACGGAGTTTTGCTCTTGTTGCCCAGGCTGGAGTGCAATGGCATGATCTTGGCTCACCGCAATCTCCACCTCCTGGGTTCAAGTGATTCTCCTGCCTCAGCCTCCCGAGTAGCTGGGATTACAGGCATGCGCCACCACGCCCAGCTAATTTTGTATTTTTAGTAGAGTTTCTCTACTAAAAATACAAAATTTGTATATTTTGGGGTTTCTCCATGTTCGTCAGGCTGGTCTTGAACTCTCGACCTCAGGTGATCTGCCCACCTCAGCCTCCCAAAGTGCTGGGATTACAGGCATGAGCCACTGCGCCTGGCCTATTTTATTTTATTGTAGAGAAGGTATCTCACTATGTTGCCCAGGCTGATCTCAAACTCCTGGCCTCAAGCAGTTCTCCAGGTTGGCCTCCCCAAATGCTGGGATTACAGGCAGGAGCCACTGCACGCAGCCTGGAGTTTCATATAAATGGAATCATACAGGATAGATCTTTGTGCCTAACATCTTTCCCTCAGCACAGTGTTTTAGAAATTCATCTGCACTGTTGCATGTTTCAGTGGTTCATTCCTTTTCGTTGCTGAGCAGTAGTCCATGGCATAGATATATCACACTCAGGTAATTTTTGAGATAAGATTTCTGCATATCTCAAGGAAATCAATAAAAAGATGAAGAAGAGATTTACTAGTGTGGAAGATTAATATGGAAGATTCCTGCTATATGTTCTTTTTTTTTTTTTTGAGACAGGGTATCTCTATGTCACCCAGGTTGGAGTGCCTGGGTGCAATCATAGCTCACTGGCTCACTGCAGCCTCTACCTCCTGGGCTCAAGTGATCCCCACTGCCTCAGCCTCTCAAGTATCTGGGACCATAGGCATGTGCCACCATGCCAGGCTAATTTTTAAATTTTTCTGTAAAGATAGAATCTTGCCATGTTGCCCAGGCTGGTCCTGAACTTTTGGGCTCAAGCAATCCTCCTACCTCAGCCTCCAAAAGTGCTAGAATTACAGGCATGAGCCATCATGCCTGGCCATGTTCTCTATTTAATAAAAGCCTTCCATTTCTTTCTTCATTTCAGCCAGTTAAATTGAGATCTAAAGGCTTGAATTTACTATTTAATGCTACCTAATGACATTTCAGAGACTGGCTATAAAAAAGCAAGTGTCAAAAATTAACAAAAACGTGTCTACAAAGGAAATGAAAATGTTCCCTCTTCCTTGAAGCAACAGAGAGAGAAATATCCTTTCACTTTATAAAATGAATTCCAAGACTCTGATATGATGCAGCGTTAAATTGAAAACATTTAGGAAAATATCAATCTTGTTTTCTCCATTTCCATTTGTGCAAAATGGAGACTTGCTGACGATTCATAATTATCAACTTACTCTGTACTGTTTTCTATTAATGTGAATTCATTGGAAGTATACTTTGAAAAGGAGGTCATGTAAAACTCTTGTCCTGGGAAAATTACTTTCAAAATAAACCTACTGTGTTTTTTTGTTTGTTTGTTTCTTTGTTTGTTTGTTGTGAGACGGGGTCTCACTCTGTCGCCCAGGCTGGAGTGCAGTGGCGCAATCTCAGCTCACTGCAACCTCTGCCTCTCAGGTTCAAGTGATTCTCGGGCCTCAGCCACCTGAGTAGCTGGGATTACAGGCAGGCACCACCATGCACGGCTAATTTTTGTATTTTTAGTAAAGATAAGGTTTCACCATATTGGTCAAGCTGGTCTCGAACTCCTGACCTCAGGTGATCCACCCACCTTGGCCTCCCAAAGTGCTGGGATTACAAGTGTGAGCCACTGCACCTGGCCCAGTATTTCTATGTTTGTGAATACTTATAGTATTCATACTGTCTCTTCAAATGAGAAGAGAGTGATTGGCATGATGGAAAACCTAAAGACCCCTAACTCTGCTAGGTTTATTTTCAAAAAGAGATTGAGTCTGGCCTCATTTAAACTGCTGCCAAAGAACAAGAATAACTGTGAAAGAAGCTCCCTCTAGAGGTGAGAAAGTATGAGAATTATTTACATTTATAATAGTAATGAGGTTACAAAACTATACGATCACATCTGCTAAGAAAACACAGTTTTCTATGTCAGGATTTGTTGGAGGATTTTTGTGTGCTTGTGAAAGCTGGATCCAGGGGACATGTAAACAACTTTGGCTGGCAGTTTGGCCCTATGATTAATGGATACCAAATACACAAATACAGAATTGAATCTAAGAAAACACAGAACAGTACTACATCTACTAGAAAGGCTTACATTAAAAAGAAAACCTGACAATACCAATATTTGGCAAGAATCTGGAGCAGGTATAGTGCTTATACACTGCCAGTGTATGAAGTTCAAGAATCAGAAAAACTGATCAAGGATATTAGAAGTCAGAAGAATGGTTACATCTATTTTGAGAGAGTGTTAGTGAAAAGAAAGGGATGCCACACATGGTGGCTCACAGTCATAATCCCAGCATTTCGGGAGGCTGAGGTGGGAGGATCACTTGAGCCCAGGAGTTTGAGACCAGCCTGGGCAACACAGAATACCCCATCTCTCTCTCTCTCTCTCTCTCTCTTTTTTCTGAGATAGAGTCTTGCTCTGTCACCCAGGCTGGAGTGCAGTGGTTTGATCTCAGTTCACTGCAACCTCCACCTCTTGGGTTCAAGCAATTTTCCTGCCTCAGCCTCCCAAAATGCTGGGATTACAGGTGCCTGCCACCACACCCAGCTAATTTTTGTATTTTCAGTACAGACGGGGTTTCACCATATTGGCCAGGCTGGTCTTGAACTCCTGACCTCAGGTGATCCACCTGCCTCGGCCTCCCAAAGTGCTGGGATTACAGGTATGAGCAACTGCACCCGGCCCCTATCTCTTAAAAAATGAAAAGAAAGAGAAAGAGAGAGAGAGAGAGAAAAGTACGAAATACAAACAAGACATTGATGAAGGCAAGAAGGTAAAATAAATAAATAAACAAATAAATGCAATTGAAAAGGAAGACATTAATCCAGTGAAGTATTTTTCTTTGGCTTAATAGCAGAAAACAACAGATATAACACACATCAATCTACACTGTCTCATGGTTACATGAACTTTCTGACTCTGCTACAAGTTAGCACATAGGGATCCTGACCCATCTTACCATCTCACAAGATATGCTGGCCCACTGAACTCATGACATCAAACTAATAGGGCATATGGAGTAAAAAATAGCAAGTATCTTACACGCTTTAGGAAATATATGTATACCGGAAGGTAGGGAGGTTCAAGTACAAAGGCTTTTCACTTCACTGATATTTCTTGATGTTTAGTGATCTTGCATACAGGTGCTCCCTTCAAAATGAAGGACAAGTTGCTTTACTTGTGCTACCTACCCCTAAACCAAAAGAGTCACATCACTTAGGTGAATTTAGAGACAACATTGATCATATTTGGGTTACTGCTCTGACCTCCTTATCTGGTCACTTGAAATGAAGCCATACTTGAGTGAGATTCAGAGGAAGAAAAGGTTCTCCAGCTGGTCCAGTCTGCAGTGCAACTTAGTCCTTGCGATCCTTATAATGTTCAAAGTGTTTGTGGCAGACTGAGGTACTTTATCATCTATGGCATGTCCTGATAGAATAATCATAGCAGAGGCCCTCTGAGCATGCCTTTTGGCAGGTAAATATTCTCTCTTTGAGAATCAGCTCTCAGCTTGCTGCTGGGCCACGGACACAGCATGATCATGGAACCCAGCATGATCACAGCATAATCATGAACTGGCTATCATCTGGTCTTCCTAGGTATAAAGCTGGTTCATACCTAGGACATGGATCCATTATCAAGTAGAAATGACATACACAAAATGAGGCCACAGCAGATCCTGAAAACACAAATGGCTCCTAGCACCCACACCACTACTTCTGCTGCATTGCTATTTCATCTACCACTATAACCAATGAAATGGGCCTTGTTACCAGACTGCAGTGGAATAAAGTCATGATTAGTTTGTAGCTGTCTTCACCTAATGTGCTGGCATTAGAAAGAAATGGGCTGCTGTGATACTGTGGCCCCCAATCAAGGGTGACCCTGAAGGACACTGAGGATAGTCAGGACTTCAAGAAATACAACTACCTGACCAGTTTTCCCAGAAGGAGAAACAGGTTAAGAGTCTACACTGATTTGGCCGGGCCCGGTGGCTCATGCCTGTAATCCCAGCACTTTGGGAGGCCGAGGCAGGTGGATCACGAGGTCAGGAGATCGAGATCATCCTGCCTAGCATGGTGAAACCCCGTCTCTACTAAAAAATACAAAAAAAACCCCAAAAAAATTAGCCAGGCATGGCGGCACGCACCTGTAGTTCCAGCTGCGTGAACCTGGGAGGCAGAGCTTGCAGGGAGCTGAGATCGCGCCACTGCACTCCGGCCTGGGTGACAGAGCGAGACTCCATCTCAAAAAAAAAAAAAAAAAAAAAGAGTCTGAGGTTAATGGTTTGGCTAGATGATTAGGGAGTTAGAAGTGATATTAAAATGAAGTTGGAGAAGTATAATGTGGAAGAACTTCTTAAAATGGTTCCCAAATGTGACAGTATCTGTCATGATTCAGTTGCAGACCACAGATACCACTCTACTTAATTTAAGGGAGAAGGGCGTTATTACCAGGGATCACGTGTGGCTTACACAATATTTGTAAGGGGTAGGGGAAGAAGCTTTAGGTGGAGCTTGTAAGAGCACTCCCCACACCCAGAATCTCACTGATTCTGCTATGCTTGGGTAAGCTATGGCTTCCACTGCAGGAAACCAGCAAATCAGCACGTCGGTAACCACAGAACCACACTTCCTCTGTCATGATTCACAGCAGCAAAGTGAATACTTCATATCCTGCCTCTTTCTCCACATCACTCAGTTAACTGGGTTTCACATTCAAGTCTCATGGGAATATACCTGATTGGCAAAAATCTCAATTACACCTGAAACCATAACTGTAATAGGATCTGAGAAATACAGCTTTTATCTTTCTAGACTCTCAGTATAGAAAGGTACGAAGGAGTTTAGAATGTATGTTGAGAAAACCAGTCTAAGGAGTTTAGAACGTATGTTGAGAAAACCAATCTACTATAATGAGAACATTTGTGCCTCGTGAGTAGAAGAGGGTTATCAACAATCAGGTAGAGAAGATGAACTGCTCTATGGATGGTATCCACCCTTTCCCCTAGTTACACCAGAGTGTGCTGTATGAGCTTGTGAACAAAGTGACCATGGGACCACTGATGGAGGCAATGCATGTTGAGTGTAAAGGCTCAATCACGTGGACGTTCTCACACTAAGATTGACCTGCTACTGCCAGTTTGGACCTCTTCCTTCATGGACAGGGCAGTAATTTATCTTCATTGTAGAAGAAACTTACTTTAAATTTCTATATATTTTTCCTACTCACTGTATTTTTGCCAGCACCATCCAGAAACTTACTGAATGACTCATAAGGCATTCAACATGACATCCCACACAATGATGCTTTTGGCCAAGGGAGTACTTTTACGGTGGAAGAAGTAAGACAGCTGGGATACACAATTCAACTCTTCTGGGATTCCTTATTTAGTTTTATTGTATATTCCAGCTAGTCTTATAGAATAGGCTTACTGAGGTCTTAGTTTTTATTTTGCCAACTGGAGACAACATCTCATAAGATCATAGCGGTATCAGCCGGGTACGGTGGCTCACGCCTGTAATCCCAGCACTTTGGGAGGCCAAGGCGGGTGGATCACTTGAGGTCAGGAGTTCGAGACCAGCCTGACCAACATGGTGAAACCCCATCTCTACTAAAAACACAAAATTAGCCAAGCGTGTTTGGCACATGCCCGTAATCCCAGCCACTCGGGAGGCTGAGGCAGAAGAATAGCTTGAACCCAGGAGCTGGAGGTTGCAGTGAGCCGCAATCGCACCATTGTACTCCAGCCTGGGTGACAAGAGCAAAACTCTGTCTCAAAGAAAGAAAGAAAAAAAAAGATTAGAGTGGTATCCTACAGAATGTGACATAAGCTCTGAAATAGTGACCAACGATGTGGAGCATTTCTCTCATAACCAAAAATATACAAGGGTGGGGATGAGATATATAGGTGAGGTGGTACCTATTACAGTTACACTTGTGGCTGGGCGTGGTAGCTCACACCTGTAACCCCGGCACTTTGGGAGGCTGAGGCAAGGGAATCTCTTGGGCCCAGGAGTTCAAGACCAGCCTGGGGAACATGGCAAAATCCAGTCCCAACAAAAAGTACAAAAAATTAGCAGGGTGTGGTGGCATATACCTATAGTCTCAGCTACTTGGGAGGCTGAGGGGTGGGAGGATTGCTTGAGCCCAGGAGGTTGAGGCTGCAGTGAGCCATGATCATGCCAGCCCGGCCAACAGAGTGGGACAGTTTCTCAAAAAAAAAAAAAAATACACTTGTATCCTTAACAAATTACTACAAACTTGGAAAGTAAAAAACAACACATATTTATTATCTTACAGCTCTGGAGTGCAGAAATCCAAAATGGGTCTCACTGGGCTAAAATTAAGGTGTGGACAGGGCTGTGTTACTTTTGGAGGCCCTAGGTGACAAATCTTGCCTGTTCCCTTGGCTTTTTTAACTTCTGGAGGTTACCCACATTTCTTGGCTCATGGCCCCCCTTTCAAAGCCAGCAATGGCTGGTCGAATCTTTCCCATGATGGAGTGCTCTAATACTGACTCTCCTGCCTCCCTCTTGCTTTTAGAAGGTAACCACTGGTGATTACATTGGGCCCACTTAGATAATAGAGGATCATTTTCCCATCTTCAGGCCAGCTAATTAGCAACCTTAATTCCATCTGCAACCTTAATTCCCTCTTATCATGTAACATATTCATAGGTTTTGAGGATTAAGATGTGGATATCTTTGGGAACTATTATTCTCCCCACTACATCAACTCTGAGCTCTGCTGGTGAGAAATATTCCACCAGTAGGAACAACAGTTTAGGGTGAGATGGCCACTGGCCACTTTGGGTTCCTCACTGCAGTAGATCAACGGGGAAAAAAGAAGTTATGGTAAGTTATGGTATTGAGTCATTAATCCTGATTTTTGTGAAGAAATAAGATTGTAGTTACACACTGGGGTCAAGAGGCATATTGATGGTACAGAGGGGATCCCCTGGGGTGCATCCTCATGAAACCATGATCAGAACTAAAAGTTAATGAAAGACATCTTTAACCCCTTGAACAGGCAGGACCACCAAAAGCTTGGATCTCTCAGAAATGAGATTTGGGTCATATACTGACCAGCTGAGGTTCTGCCTAAAGGCAAAGAGACCACAGAACTAGTAGAGAGGACAGAAGTCATAAATACCCACAGCCTTCTGATTAGTTGTGGAAATGAGAATGGTAGCCTCTTTCCATATTTCTTTCCTTGATTTTTCCTAAATATATTCATATATCTTAACTGATTTCTCTTTTTTCTCTCTCTCTCTTTTTTTTTTTAGTAAATGATGTGTTGGCCGGGCACGGTGGCTCATGCCTGTAATCCCAGAACTTTGGGAGGCCGAGGCGGGCAGATCACTTGAGGTCAGGCGCTCGAGACCAGCCCAGCCAACATGGTGAAACCCCGTTTCTACTAAAAAAAAAAAATACAAAAATTAGCCAAGCGTGGTGGTGCGTGCCTGTGGTCCCAGCCACTCATGAGGCTGAGGCATAAGAATTGCTTCCACCTGGGAGGTAGAGGTTGCAGTGAGCTGAGATTGAGCCACTACACTCCAGCCTGGGTGACAGAGCAAAATTCCATCTCAAAAAAAAAAAAAAAAATATGTGTTGGTGATTGATAACATTACAAGCTAATCTACAAAGATATCAAGACAAGACTGGGCAGAACTAGGAATAGGCATCAACAAGACTCCCTGGGCTTGGAACTGGATGTAGTGACTGCTAAAATCTGAGGCTATTTTGAGGGAGGCAGTAAGTGATTTTCATTTGTATAAGGGATGTCCAAAGCGTGCTGGACAGGAAAATTTTTTTTTGGAAGAGTTAAGTATGGGAAGAAGGATATATGTGGATAACAGGCAGTAGGAGGGATTTTCTGAGCCTTGTTCTTTATAGATTTCCCATCAATACTGTGAACTGCACAGTTTAATTTCAACCACTTTATTTTCTGCTTTTGTTAGCAAGAATTCATTTTTCTTTCTTGCAGCTGGAAACCCTGACTGATACAGGGTCCCAGCCCGTCTTACCCTTTCCTCTCTCTCTTAGCACCTGTCATTTTCTTCTTCCTAAAACACAGAAAGGGTAGATCACTTTATTCTGTCATCCTATGCAAAAATCTCCAATGACAGGGTAAAATCTGGACACCTTACTCTGAAATCCATGTTTCTTACCAGATTAATGCCAAGTTACCTTTCCAAATGCATCTTTGCCTATTCCCTTCTAAAAACCAGCATTCAAGCCAAATTGGCTCCTTACTGCCTTGAGAATCACCAAGAACATCAAAATGTAACTTTTACACAAAGGAGGGTAGCCTTTTTTGGCCACCCAGTCCTCAAAGAAGTCTCCATATACAGAACTCCTGTCTATGACATTGTACAGAGGGATGCAATGCCTCATGATATGCTTTTGTTTTTATTGGTATCTTGAAAGCTACGTTTAAAAAAACCTGTGAGTTTCTCAAAGATAAGGACCATGTTTTATTCATCTTTATGGACTAGAACCTAACAGAGTGCCTGACAGCTACAATTATTAGGGTTTTAAACAATTCAGATACATTTCAGTGCCTTTTTTTCTTTTGGCGAGTGATAGTACTGATATAGTACTAAACATGAAATCTGTTCTTCCACCAAGGGAGGGAAGGGGCAGTCATCTGCTTCATGGGCTAGATGAAGAGACTGAAGAATCCAACTGCTCCTCGTACCAACTTTCAACCCAATTCTACATTTCAGCACCACACCCAAACCCACCTTCAAAAGTCTCTGGGGTGTCTAAGAGGGTCAGAGTTCTGTGTATGAACCATTTTGGTTCCTTCTGGGTTACCCACCTGCATGCCTAAGTTTCAGCTTTTTCTGCTTTGTTGTTAGTTACCTAACACCATCTGTTTTCTGGCTTCCAAAATGTTGTCATCATCCCATTTACATTCTCTTCTCATCTTTTCTCCCATTCCTTTATTTATTTATTTTTATTTTTTAGAGACAGAGTTTTGCTCTGTTGGCCAAGCTGAAGTGCAGTGGCACAATCATAGCTAACTGCAGCCTCAAATTCCTGGGCTCAAGCAATCCTCCCCAGTAGCTGGGACTGCAGGACTGAGCAACTATGACTGGCTAATTTTTTTTATTTTTACTTTTGTAGACACAGGGTTTCACTATGTTGCCCAGGCCTCTGGCCTCTAGCAATCCTTTTGCCTTGGCCTCTCATAGCCCTAGGATTATAGGTGTGAGTTACCACACCTGGCCCAAACACCTTAATTCTAAGTAAAGTTATACTCTAGGCCTAAGTTTATTTCAAAGCAAGAGAAACTAATCACTCATAATTTTAGAACCTCCCCAAAGTAATTAATTTGATTTACACACATACAAGCCACCACACCTGGCTAATTTTTGCATTTTTTGTAGAGATGGAGTCTTGCTATGTTGCCCAGACTGGTCTCAAACTCCTGGACTCAAGTGATCCTCACATCTTGGCCTCCCAAAGTGCTGGAATTATAGGCGTGACCCACTTTGCCCATTATCTACAAACAATGGACCACAATTCTAGACGAGAACTCTTGAGTGAGTTGAGCATCACATCTGTCTTTCTGGAGGGCTCACTGTCCCTCTTCTGGCCAAATGTTTCCTACATGAAGCTGGAGTTTGTTTGGATAGGTACCAGCAATCACATCATCTGAGCCAGTTACACCTCATTAATCTTGGACTTAAAGGATAACCAGCCTGGGCCAGGCTCGGTGGCCCACACCTGCAATCCTAGCACTTTGTGAAGCTGAAGCAGGCAGATAGCTGGAGCCCAGGAGTTTGACACCAGCCTGGGCAATATAGGGATACCCTGTCTGTACAAAAAAAATTTTAAATTAGCCAGGCATGGTGGCATATGCCTGTAGTCCCAGCTACTTGGGAGTCTGAGGGTGGGAGGATTGCTTGAACCCAGGAGGTAGAGGCTGCAGTGAGCTGAGATCGCACTACTGCACTCCAGCCTGGGCAACAGAGTGAGATCCTGTCTCAAAAATAGATAAATAAAAATTTAAAAATAACCAGCCTGGACCACAAGGCAAAACTCTGTCTCTACAAAAAATAAAAAAATTAGCTGGGTGTGGTGATGCATGCCTGTAGTCCCAGCTACTCAGGAAGCTGAGGTGGGAGGATTGCTTGAGTCCAGGAGTTCAAGGCTGCAGTGAGCTACAACCTATTAAAACAAAAAAAATTCCAACAGGGCTAAACAGTTTGGTCAAGTATAGTGTGCACACAGGCATGCACGCAGATTAATGTTTATAATGTTTAATATGCTGGACGTGGTCAACCTCTGCATACCTCTTCAGCTTCATTTCTCACTATTCTCCTTTCTTTCTGCCCTCTGGTCACACTGGCCTTCTGTCTGGTCAATCAGATCACCAGGGTTTCTCCTGCCACAGGGCTTTGTGTACAGCTCAGCTTTCTAAACCTTACACCAGTAATGTTTACAGGTATGTCAAGAAGTGATTCCTGTCTACCCTGGGATGAGAACAGGTGGGGACTGGGTAAGTGGCTGGTGTAAACAGAGGACAAGGACAGTGAAAAGGGTAACTGTTAGGAAGTACTAGATTAGGTGTCCCTCTGCCTACCAGGCTTTATGCTCTACTACCTCCTACTTATTTTCAGATCTCAGCTCAAATACCGCTTCTCAGGGAAGTCCTGCCTAATCTCTCTGACCATGGCAGATCTTAATACATGTCTCAGATCACCCAGGACCTTTCCTTCAAAACCTTGAACATTTCCATAATATTGCTGTTAGATTTATTTTTATTTCATTTTATTTATTTTTATTTTGTTATTTTTTTTTTTGAGACAGGGTCTCACTCTTGCCCAGGCTGTAGTGTAGTGGTGCTATCATAGCTTGCTGCAGCCTTGAACTCCTGGGCTCAAGTGATCCTCCTGCCTCAGCCTCCCAAGTAGCTATGACTACAGGCATGCACCACCACACCTGGCTATTTTGTTGTTGTTGTTGTTTAGTACAGATGGAGTTTTGTTATATTGCCCAGGCTGGTCTCGAACTCCTGAGCTGAAGCGATCCCCCTACTTCGGCCTCCCAAAGTGTTGGGATTAAAGGCATGAGCCATTGTGCCTGGCCAGTATTTATTTGTTTTTTAATAAGCTGGTAAGATGTACATTCGTGTTTTGTGTGATTACGGTATTATGATTATAATACCATATTATTATAGTAATATAATACTATATATTAGTATATAGTATGTACTAGTTATAAAATAGAAACCATGGTGATCTGGGGGACCAGACAAAAAGCATTTGGATGTGAAACATCCACATATGAATTAACTGCCTGCATTCAGGGTTTCTCCAAATTCAAGGTTAAAAAGGGTTATTAGTGCCTCATAGAATAAAGGTAGGGGCTATACCAAAAGCAATTTTTATTCTCTAGGGTTGTGTATTAGCTATCTGCATAGCAAATTACTCCCAGGTTGGCAGCCTAAAACAAGCACTTTTATCTCACAGTTTCTGAGGATGAGGACTATGGAAGTGATTTGCTAGATGGTCCTGGCTCAGGGTCTCTCAAGAAGATGCACTCAAGATATTGGCTTGGGCCGCAGTCATCTGAAGGCTTGATATACTTGAGTATCTGCTTGTGAGATGACTCACCCACATGGCTGTTGCCTGGAGGCCTCAATTCCTTGCTTCTGTTGTCAGGAGACCTCAGTTTCTCACTACATGGGGTTTTCCATAGGGTTGCTCAACATGGCAGGTGTTTTCCCCCAAAATCATATGATCCCAGAGAGAGAAAGTGTGCTCAAAATGGAAGCCACAATGGCTTTAATAACCTAATCTTGGACATGATACATATCACCTCTGTCATATTCTATTGGTCACACAGACCAACCTTTGTACAATATGGGAGGAGCCCATACCAGGGAGTGAATACCAAGAGACAGGGATCATTAGGGGCCATTTTGGTGGCTGACTAGCATATCTGAGAAACAAATTGCTTGTTAGCACACAGATAGTGCTATTCAAGCTTCACATTTCTTAGGATACAGGTTTGTCTTCTGTCTCTAGCTCTTTTAATTGTGAAAAATTACATGTATACATAAAAGTATATAAAAATAAATGTACAGAATGGGTGTGGTGGCTCACGCCTGCAATCCTAGCACTTTGGGAGGCCGAGGTGGGCGGATGACCTGAGGTCAGGAGTTCAAGACCAGCCTGGCCAACATGGTGAAACCCTGTCTCTACTAAAACTACAAAAATTAGCCAGGTGTGGTGGCACATGCCTGTAATCCCAGCTACTCAGGAGGGTGAGGCAGGAGAAGCACTTGAACCCAGGAGGCAGAGGCTGCAGTGAGCCGAGATCGTACCATTGCACTCCAGCCTGAGCTACAGAGCAAGACTCCATCTCTAAATAAATAAATAAATAAATAAATAAATAAATAAATAAATGTACAGCTAACTGAATTATTAAAAAGCTAGTATCTGTGGAAAAACAACCACCCAGATTAATATATGGAACGAGCTCAATACCCCAGAAGCTCCTCCCATTGTTCTGTCTAATTACAATGCCCTCTCTTCCATCCTCAGGGTGACCACCATGCTGATTTTTATGGTTTTTAGCTTCATTTTCTTTATAGTGGTTTACCACTAAGAATGCACTCCTATCCACTGTAGTTTAGTTTTGACAATTTAGCCGGGTATGGTGGTAATCCCAGCACTTTGGGAGGCTGAGGCAGGAGGACTGCTTGAGGCCAGGAGTTCAACACCAGTCTAGGCAACATAGTTAACCCTGTCTTGAAAAAAAAAAAGAAAAAAGAAAAAAAATTATCCGAGTACGATAACACATGCCTGTAGTCCTACCTACTTGGAGGTTGAGGCAGGAGGATCCCTTGAGTCAAAGAGTTTGGGACTGCAGTGAACCATGATTGGGACACATCACTCTAGACTGGGTGACAGAGAGAGACCCTGTCTCAAAACAAAACCAAAACAAAACAAAAAAGCTATATAAATGGAATTATGCAATGTATTGTTTTGCATCTATTTTCTTTAACTCAACATTATGTTTTTCAGATTCATTTATGTTGTTGAGTGAAGCAGTCTGTTAATTTTCAATGCTGAATAGTATGCCATTGTATAAACATCCCCAAATTTATTCATTTTACTGTTGTAGAATATGTGGACTTTTTTTAGTATTTGGCAATTACAGAGAAAGCTGCTGTGAACGTTCTTGTACGTAACTGCTGGTATACCTTGTATGCATTTCTGTAGGATATATACTTAGGAACAAAATTGTGTAGTCATTTTCAACTTTAGTAGAAATGCCAACCTGTTTTCCAGAGTGGTGGCACTGATTTACACAGTGTAGAAGAATGTCCCTTGTTCTACACCCTCACCAATATCTGCAATGTTAACTATGTTGGTGTGAAGTGCTATTTTGTTATGGTTTTAATTTACATTTTCACGATTGAGGTTTCATATATTTAGTAATCATTTGAATATCCTCTTTTGAGCACTTTTTTTTTTTTTTTTTTTTGAGATGGAATCTTGTTCTGTCACTGAGGCTGGAGTGCAGTGGCACGATCTCGGCTCACTGCAATCTCCACCTCCCGGGTTCAAGTGATTCTCCTGCCTTAGCCTCCTAAGTAGCTGGGATTACAGGCACCCACCACCACCCCTGGCCAATTTTTTGGTATTTTTTAGTAGAGATGGGGTTTCACCATGTTGGTCAGGCTGGTCTCGAACTCCTGACCTCAAGTGATCCACCTGTCTCAGCCTCTCATAGTGCTGGGATTACAGACGTGAGCCACTGCGCCTGGCCAGAGCTTTTTTTTTTTTGTTTTTTGAGACAGAGGTTATGGATGTAATAGTGATACATGCATGATTGAATCCACCATGTTTAACAGAAAATCATATTTTCTCTCTTCTTCCTTTTCCAGAGACAGGGTCTTGCTTTGTTGTCCAGGCTAACCTCGGGCTCCTGGGCTCAGGTGAAAACTCCTGCCTTAGTCTCCTGAGTAGCTGGGATTATAGGTACCTGCCACTGTGTCCAGCAGAAAAATCATATTTTCTTTTCTTTTTTTGAGGTGGAGTCTCACTGTGTCACCCAGGCTGGAATGCAGTGGCAAGATCTCGACTCACTGCAACCTCCGCCTCCCAGATTCAAGCGATTCTCCTGCCTCAGCCTCCTGAGTAGCTGGGACTACAAGCGTGCTAAGGTAGCCAGACTACCATGCCCAGCTAATTTTTGTATTTTTAGTAGAGACAGAGTTTCACTATGTTGGCCAGGCTAGTCTTGAACTCCTGACCTCAAGTGATCCGCCTGCCTCGGCCTCCCACAGTGTTGGGATTACAGGTGTGAACCACTGCGCCTGGCCAGACTCATATTTTCTTTCTTTCCTTTTTTTTTTGAGATAGAGTCTCCTTTGTCACCCAGGCTGGAGTGTAGTGGTGTGATCTCGGCTCACTGAAAACTCTGCCTCCCGGGTTCAAGCTATTCTCCTGCCTTAGCCTCCTGAGTAGCTGGGATTACAGGCACCCGCCACCATGCCTGGCTAATTTTTTTATTTTTAGTAGAGATGGGGTTTCGCCATGTTGACCAGGCTGGTCTCGAACTCCCGACCTCAGGTGATCTGCCTGCCTCAGCCTCCCAGAGTGCTGGCATTAACAGGCATGAGCCACCACAGCTGGCCTCAGAATCGTATTTTCTAATTAGTTATTACTGGTGTATAGGTAATATTGGTAATATTAGGATATTACCATTCCAGTCACTGAGCAGGGAGTGTCTAGGCTCAGTTCTTGTTTAAAGGCTGTCAATATTTTTATCTTCCCACCCACATGGCACATTCCCATGAAACTTAGCCCCAAGCAGAAGGCTGGCAGTAATTTGTTCAGCTCGCATGTAGGGACAGGCATGTCCTTGGCTTTAAGCTAAAAATCTGTCCCAGGTCCTCCACCTCCTGAGGAGCACTTACATTTCCATTATCTCACAGGAGCCAAATCTCTAACTGCTACCCTTGATTCTAGACTCATTTCAAAGCCCATGAGGTCCATGGGGAGGTGGTTATCTCGTTTCAGAGTGTATTAGCTGTTTTGAGCTGCTGTAACAAAATACCGTAAGGCTGGGTGGCTTCAACAACACGTGCTTATTTCTTACAGTTCTAGAGGCTGGAATGTCCAAGACCAAGGTGCTAGCCAATTTAGTTCCTGGTGAGTGCTCTCTTCCTGGTTTGTAGACACTGCCTTCTCACTGTGTGCTTGCATAGCAGAGAGAGGGCATGGGTGTCTCTTCCTCTCTTTATAAAGACACTATCATCATGGGGGCCCTACCCTCATGACCTCATCTGACCCTAATTACCTCCCAAAGGACTCTTCTCCAAATAGCATCACATTGGGGGTTAGGGCTTTAACAAATGAATTTGGAGTAGTGGTGGGGGAAACACAATTCAGTCCATAGCATACATCCTAGTCTCCTTACTTTTCTCTTTTAAGGTTTTATATGTCATTGCGGTATGTCTACTATGGGGTGGTATGTGTGTATGTGTGAAAGCCTTTACACATTTCACCATCTTCATCAGAAGTCTCATAAAAATTTCTTGAATTGATGACAGACAACAGGGACGGTACGTTAACTGGGTTCTTCCTATTGTCTCTGGAGTTTCAGCAAAGGCCTCAAAAATAGAAGGCAATACAACAGATGCCAGGTACTCCCATTCCCCCATCTTAAAGGGTGATGATAGAATATGAACTAGTCTGCCAGCATTACTAATCATCCACCCTCAGTCTATATAAGAGAATGAAGATTGTGTCGGACAGTTACCTGTGGGCTCTGTATTTCCTCTCCTGCCACTCTGGGGCGGGAGAGGGGAGCCAAGTGAGATAAAGCCTTCTACTAGAACCTCTTAGAATGTTTGGCTTGTGTCTCCTGGAGTTTGGAGATCCACAGGGATAGTGTCTTAACCCCTACCTGGGGGAAGTCCAAAAGCAAGATGCTGGCTAACTGTGCTGGGATGGTGAATAAGGTGGGAGCCATGGGGAGTGAGCTGCACTGCCTTCGCCACTGGGGCAAAGATGCATGAGTTATCCTGTGAGCCAAGTGGACACACAAGCTAACGAACTTGGAGTCATTTAAAAGAGATCCTTCCCAGGCCGCGTGCGGTGGCTCATGCCACCTTCCCAGCACTTTGGGAGGCCGAGGCGGGCGGATCACGAGGTCAGCAGATCGCGACCATCCTGGCTTACACGGTGAAACCTCGTCTCCACTAAAAAAAATACAAAAAAATTAGCTGGGCATGGTGGCGGGTGCCTATAGTCCCAGCTACTCGGGAGGCTGAGGCAGGAGAATGGCGTGAGCCCAGGAAGCGAAGCTTGCAGTGAGCGGAGATCGAGCCACTGCACTCCAGCCTGGGCGACTGAGCGAGACTCTGTCTCAAAAAAAAAAAAAAAAAAAAAAAAAAAAACAAAACAAAATAAAAGGGATCCGTCCCATGAGAGATAACCAGAGAGGAAAGGGACTCCTGCCACGGGAGTGAGTTTTACATGGGGTAAACCTCCTCCAGAAGGCCAAAGACTTGGGGGAGGGGAGTCATAGACAGTGAACCAGAGGAGGACCACTGCCAGCAAGAGAGTTCTAAAAAAGCCCACAAAGGTGCATAAGAGAGAAAAGCCAACATTTGTGATTCCTCCTTGTCCATAGGGAACCGATTTTGGAAGGTAACAGCATCCTGCACTAACCAGGAAAGTCTGTGTTCTTTCCCTTCAATCCCTTCTCCTCCTGGGAGGAGGGGGTCAGAAATAGCAGCTAGCCAGTGGGAGAGGAGGAGCAAACTTTGAGGAGCAAAGGCAGGGATGTGGAGAAACCTACCATACCACTTTTAATATAGCAAGCTTCAAGTCTGAAGCAGGTAAAAGCAGGGGTAGGGGAGAACCTTTAGCCTGAATAAAGTTTAAAGTTTTGTTCTGTACTATATATTTTCTACTGCAATATGACTACTGTCATGACTGAAAAATACTTGAAAAGTGAAAGGATCTGCAAGAGATTTCATGCAGGATACAGAACTATGCATAGAGCAAGTGTGAAGGGGAAGCAGAAGAGTTTTCTGATTATACACCGTGTCTCCCCCTGTCTTGAAACACCCCAGCTCCTTTGATAAAAATATTCAGTATTAGAAATGGGTTGAGGAGTAAAAGTTGATACAGAATATAACAAACATGATTTAAAATTTATTGACTCCAAGTATCTATACACACTGATTTACATTTTTTTCACATTTATTAAGTCCCACCAAAAGTATGGGTAACCAAAATCCATATATACTCTAATAAAGACAGGGCATACACCTCTGGCATATTTTTATTATTTTTTTCATTAAAATGTTATTGGTTTCTTATTTTATATAAATTATATAAAATGTGAAGCTGGGTAAAAGTAGTCAACTAGTAAAAATTTTATACATTTTTACTGAGTATATGCCATTATAAGAACGTATGGAAATGGATATATATATATATGGATGTATTTTTTGAGAGAGGGTCTCACTCTGTCACCCAGGCTGGAGTGCAGTGGCATGATCACAGCTCACCGCAGCCTCAACCTCCCGAGTAGCTGGGGTACAGGAACGTGCCACCACACTCGGCAAATTTTTTTTTTTTTTTTTTAGAAATGGAGGTCCTTCTACGTTGCCCAGGCTGGTCTCGAACTCTCAGGCTCAAGCAATCCTCCTGCCCCGGCCTCCCAAAATGGTGGGATTATAGGCGTGACCCTTTGCGCCTGGCCCACTTTTGTATTTAGGATGCAGGGCCCTGAGATTGGCATCTAGGAAAATTCTGGACTTAGGCCAGGGGAGGGGGCATGCCTGGATCTCTTACAAAAACTTGCCACGCCTCCAGTTGGTCATGATGTGGGCCCCTGGTAATGAAGGACCTCCACCATGACCACAAGTACTTTAGTCAGAAAACAGCTCGAAAACGTGTGAAGAGAGTCCACCAAACAGGCTTCGTGTGAGCAACAAGGCTGTTTATCTTACCTGGGTGCAGGCGGGTTGAGTCCGAAAAAGGAGTCAGCAGAGGGTGGTGGAATTATCATTAGTTCTTATAGGTTTGGGATAGGTGTACAAAGTACATTCTTAAGGGCGGGGGAGAATATTACAAAGCACCTACTTAAGGGCAAGGGGGAGAATATATCCTGTCAGTTAGGGTGGGGCAGGAACAAATCACAATGGTGGAATGTCATCAGTTAAGGCTATTTTCACTTCTTTTGTGGCTCTTCAGTTGCCTCAGGCCATCTGGATGTATACGTGCAGGTCATAGGGGATATGATGGCTTAGCTTGGGCTCAGAGGCCTGACAACGTCTATTTTGGGTTTGATTCTGGCCCACCACCTCCACCTCGTACTTTCCTATCCTCAATTTCAACCTCTAGAAATTAGGCAAACTGGAAAGTAAACTGATGCGGGTCGTGTTGCTTCAGCTGGGGACAGGATTTCGGTGGGCGCTCCTGCCGGGGTCCGTAACCTCCCACACAGCTAACGTTTACAGGCCCGTTTATATTATCACGAATGGTTTTCAACCATTTCGTGTCCATCCCTAAATTAAGAGGCTTGAGGGGCGGCACGAAAGAGCGAAGACACCTCCGCACGGTCTCCAAACCCCTAAGTCCAGAGGCCTGGAGCATCCCCGGAAAACCAGATCCCTCTCCAGAGAAGCCCTTCCTTCCGCTCCGCCCACCCCGCGCGGAGGCCACAGGGGTCACGTGGCGGCCGCGGGAGGGGGAAGTGGGCGGCTCTGCGGCCGCCATCTTGAGGATTCGGAGGCGGGGCGTGCAGAGCTCAGGGCGCGCGCTTCGCTTCCCCTCCCCTCGCCCAGCCTCGCGCCGGCGTCTGTGCTCCTCCCCACTTTTCTTGGTTCCTGCGGCCGCTCCCTGAGTGGAGGAGCGGGGAACCCCGGAGGCGGGGGGGGGTGTGTCGGACGCGTGCTCGCGCCCTCCAACCGCCAGCCGCGGGGGCGCGCTCGGCCGGGCCCCCGGGGCGACGCGGGGCCGAGGGGAGGGGGCTGCTCCCGCGGCTGAGGCGGCGCGCAGCGGCCGAGGTGGCGGCGGCTGCAGCTGCGGCGGCGCGCTCCGAGCCTGCGTCTAGGGCGCCCCCGGGTCAGAGCTGTCGCCGTGGCCGCCGCTGCAAGAACCATGTACCGCAGCAGCGCTCGCTCCTCCGTCTCTTCCCACCGGCCTAAAGACGACGGCGGGGGCGGCCCGCGCAGCGGCCGCAGCTCTGGCTCCTCCTCAGGCCCGGCTCGCCGCAGCTCACCGCCGCCTCCGCCCTCCGGCTCCTCGTCGCGGACCCCGGCTCGCCGACCCCGCTCGCCCTCAGGGCACCGCGGCCGCCGGGCCTCGCCGTCCCCGCCACGGGGTCGTCGCGTCTCCCCGTCCCCGCCTCGGGCCCGTCGCGGCTCCCCGTCGCCACCGCGGGGCCGACGACTCTTCCCGCCGGGCCCGGCCGGCTTCAGAGGCAGCAGCCGGGGGGAGTCCCGCGCCGACTATGCCCGGGACGGCCGCGGAGACCATCCAGGCGACAGCGGCAGCCGGGTAATCCCACCCCTCGTCCAGGACTCCCTCCATCCCCCAGTCCCCTCCCCCGGAATTCCCGTTTCCAGAAACGCCCGGGGCCTCCAGACCAGGGTCCTAAGCGCGAAGCCTCCGGCCAACTCCCTCGGGGATGCCGAGCCTGGAGGCTTCTGTCAGACCCGGGAGCGTTGACACAATAACGGACTCGGGAGCGCACGGGCGTCTCGTCGGGAGTGCGCGCTCCGTTCCTTAGGAATAGGCTGTTTCTCTCATGCCGGGTGAGGTGTGGAAAGTTTGCCAAGGCGAGGGGCATTTCGTCCAAACCGTGTGTCTTGGTACTTTTTGTAGAGTTGATGTGTCCTCGGGGTTCCGTACTTTTCATCCCCTTACACCTGAGCTGCCTTCCTGGATCTTAGGGGAAAAAGCCGAAATGTCCGTTTTTGTGGCGAGTTAGGGACGCTTGAACCCTACCAGGCTTTACGTCTAGAGTGTAAACTGTTAGCTTAAATGAATTGGAGCTGCTGCTTCGGAATGAAGTGTGCAGGACCACAGTCACTGCCATAGCCACTACCTCTTATCGAGTTCTATGTCAGGAATTATGCCTAGCCTTTCACTTTGCACATTATTTTAACCCTCACAAGTCTTTGAAGTGAGGCAGTTAATACTATTCCTTGTTGTACAGCCGAGGAACCAACCCAGAGAGGTTCAAGTAACTCGACTGAGGTGACACGGCTAAGTGGTGGAGCTGTGCTTCAACTCAGATCCGCCTGGTTCCCCAAATCCATGATTTGAACCTCTATGTTTCACTGCTAGAGGAACGGAGCATGAGTTTAAGTTTAGTTTTAGAAATAATGTTGACCTTTAACCATAACCACCACCCCAAGAGATCCTCTAGGTAGAGTCTGGTTTTTGGGAATTTGTTTTATTTTTAGTTCATCAATCTTTTTATTATTATTATTATTTGAGAAAGAGTCTCACTCTGTTCCCCAGGCTGGAGTGCAATGGCATGATCTCAGCTCACTGTAACCTCCGCCTCCGGGGTTCAATCAATCCTCCCGCCTCAGCCTCCCAAGTAGCTGGGATTATAGGCGCCTGCCATCATGCCCGGCCTCTTTTTTTAAACTTAGTAACAAAGTTCTGCTTTTTTGAGTGGCTCTCTAACATGTATGTAAGTACTGTGAGTACTTTGGTCATGGTTAAATTGATTTGTCACTATGTTAAGATTTCCAGTTGAGCAGTGCCAGTGTGGGTGGCAGTCACTACAGAGGAAGGAAGAACAGAATGCTTGTTTACACAACCTCCTTTTCTTCTCCAGTGCGCAATGTATTTGCTCCAGTCTTTTCTGTCTGAGTAAATAGCATCATCCGTTGCTTACATCAGAAACAGCCATTATCTCCCTTCTTCCCACATCTAATTTGTCAGATTACCTCATCTGTCTAACCCGTTAGCTTTACCTCTAGAATACATCCCCAAAACTGCCATCCTCCTGCCATCACTCTGGTCTAAGCCCTATTACCTCTTGCATGGATTGTTGCATTTGGCTCCTTTACACTCCGCCCTTGCTACCCTCCAGTTTGTTCTGGAGGTTACACAGAAATCAAATTGATTTTTAAGCCCTCATTTTATACATTTGACATGTATTTATTGAGCATCTACTTTGCATTAGGACTGTTCTGGACTACCCTGGGGATACAACAAAGTACAAACCAGAAAAAAACTCCTATCCTTATAGAGTTAATATTCTAGCAGGGAGAGTTGGATAATAAGTTGAAGTTAGAAATGCGATGGTATGTTAAATGTAATTAAGTACTAAGAAGGACTAAGAAGTACTAAAATAGGGCCGGGCGCGGTGGCTCACGCCTGTAATCCCAGCACTTTGGGAGGCCGAGGCAGGCGGATCACGAGGTCAGGAGATCGAGACCATGTTGGCTAACACGGTGAAACACCGTCTCTACTAAAAATACAATAATTAGTCGGGCTTGGTGGCGGGCACCTGTAGTCCCAGCTACTTGGGAGGCTGAGGCAGGAGAATGGCATGAACCTGGGAGGCGGAGCTTGCAGTGAGCCGAGATCGTGCCACTGCACTCCAGGCTGGGGACGACAGAGCAAGTCTCAAACAAAACAAAAAAAAAAGGACTAAGAGCAGAGAAGGGAGTTACAGTTTGTGTGCGTGTGTGTGTATGTAATATAGTGTTGCTCTGTCACCCGGGCTTGAGTGTAGTGGTGTGATCATAGCTCACTGCAGTCTCAAACTCCCACGCTCAAGCGATCCTCTCACCTCAGCATCCTGAGTAGCTGGGACTACAGGTGCGTACCAACATCCCAGCTGATTTTATTTTAAAAAAATGTTTTGGTGTGGGGAGGGATTTCACTATGTTGCCCAGGCTGGTCTCAAACTCCTGGCCTCAAGTGATTCTCCTGCCTCAGCCTCCCAAAATGCTGGGCTTACAGGCATAAGCTACCATGCCTGGCCCGGGGAGTTAAAATTTTTGAGAGTAGTCAGGGAAGGCCTCCTGGGAAGGTGATTTTTGAATAAAGATCTGAAGGAGGTGAGGGTGTGCTGTGCAAGCATCTGGAGGAAAAATGTAGTCAGATGATGTCACTATCCTGTGTAAAACCCTCCTATAACTGTTAATTGCACTAAGAATAAAATCCAAATTTCCCAACTGTGCTTTCTGCCTATCTTTTCCTCTTCTGTCACTTTGCTGCAGCCACACCGGCCGCTTTTCTGTTACTTAAAGTATACCAAGCTCTATACTGAGGTGGTTCTTTTCTTTGCCTGAAACATCTTTCTACCTGTTCTTTGCAAAGCTGACACCTCATTCTTCAGGCCTCAGGTTATCACCTGAGAAAAACCTTTTCTAACCATCCTATCTGAAGTAACTCCTTTTATGGTACCATGTTTTAATGACTATAGCACTTACCAGAAGAATTTTTTTTTTCTTTAAACTTGTTTTTGGCTTACCTCCTTCACTAGAAGTATGTACACTAGAAGTAGGGTTCTGAGAGCAGGGACTTTATTCACTTCTCTTTTCCCATGCCCAGTAAGAATGAGAGGTCACCGTTTAGGAGAGTTAGAGGTATGGGCTTATATCTCTAAGAAAATGATAATTTTTAAAAAGTGCTTTATTTTTGGTATAGTGTCTTACCATAACCATTTCTCACCTTGTTGAACCCCAACTTTGCAGGGTTGTCTTTTGTTTTTGAGACAAGGTCCTGCTCATTGCCCAGGCTGAAGTGCTGTGGTGCAGTCATGGCTCACTGCAGCCCTGACCTCCCAAGCTTAAGCTATCCTCCCACCTCAGCCACCTGAGTAGTTGGGACCACACCTGGCTAATTTTAAACTTTTTTTTATAGAGATGGAGTCTG
Organism: Homo sapiens; assembly: GCF_000001405.40. NCBI lineage: Eukaryota > Metazoa > Chordata > Mammalia > Primates > Hominidae > Homo > Homo sapiens. The sequence goes on along the minus strand of NC_000006.12, from coordinate 43,365,618 downwards.
TGTTGCCCAGACTGGTCTCACATTCTTGCCTGGGCCTATACACCTCAGCCTCCCAAAGTGTTGGGTATACAGGCATGAGCCACCATGCCTGGCTAACTTTGTAACTAGGGAGGAGAGTTTTTGGATGTAGGGATGTCTTGACCCTATTGACTAACCATATTATCCTTTACTTTTGTAGAGACGCTCTCCTGGTCTGTGTTCTGACTCTTTGGAAAAGAGCTTAAGGATCACTGTTGGCAATGACCACTTCTGTGTTAGCACACCAGAACGGCGACGGCTTAGTGATCGGCTGGGGTCACCAGTGGATAATCTGGAAGACATGGACAGGTAGGCATCACCTAAGGCAGGGCCTACTATACTAGTACTTGAAGGCAGAAATGTTGCTGTTTTCCGAATGATATATTTGAAAGGATGGTGCCAGCTCTAAAGTTATTTCCTATGCCACATGTCCAGTACAAAATAAAACGCTGGGATAGAATTTCTAAGTGGGAGGAGTATAATGATGTGTAGACTCTGTTGTTGAATAAATTGTATAGAAAAAAAGACTTTAAAAAGGTCATCTGAGTCTGACTAGAAAGAAGAGGCTGAGGGGACATAATCAGAGTCCCCCAAATGAAGAACAGTTGAGATGGTATAGATTCTAAAACAGTGAAACTATGAGCAGTCCCTTCTCCAAAGAAAAGTTCTGGACAAAATGGGAAGTCTTTTTAAAATGGTGTTATTTTTTAGTTTATCCAGGCTGAAACAGATTCAGAAAGGGTTAGGTAAGTTCATGTCTAATATATGTGTGTATGTGAAGTAGATAAAGTATTAATAGAAAGCTAGAGACCTTCAAAAATGTTTAAGTTCAGTTATTATTTTACAACTATTGAGTGCTGAGGAAGGGTAGATACACTCAAGAGAGTTGGATATAGACCTCAGGTACTAGGAACTTAACCATATATAGATTGTAAATAATCACATTAGGTGTTTTTCACCTCACAAAAGTCAAAGTATGGATGGGAGTTCAGGAAAGCACTCTTTCTCAGAGCTGAGACCATGACTGTTATGGTCTCTGCCCAGCACATTGGGAGTTTTGACAAATGATTAGCAGTAGCAATAAATCAATGTAATGTAATTTCAAACTGAGACTGTCGCTTGCCGTGTTGCACAGAGCATAGCTAGGCGGGTGGGGGAGAGCTGGGCAGGAAGTCTGAGGACCAGTTTTGCCGTTGGTAATACCTAAAAGTTCCATTGGCTGTGGATGCAGTGAAGCAAGGCAGAACAGTCTTTTTTTTTTTTTTTTTTCAGGCTTAATTCACTTTATATTTCTTGTATAAAAACCCTATGTTGTAGCCACAGCTGGAGCCTACGTCCTCTGCACAGAGACTCTGGTGTGTGTCTTGATGAGGTGGTCAGTGAATTCCTGATAGGGAGACTTGGTGAATCCTGTCTCCTTCCAGAGGTCGGGGGTCAGGTAGCTGTAGGTCTTAGAGATGGCATCAAAGGTGGCCTTGGCGAAGTTGCCCAGGGTGGCAGTGCAGCCCCTGGCTGAGGTGTAGCAGTCATCAATACCAGCCATCATGAGCAGCTTCTTGGGCACGGGCTGAGACGATGCCAGTGCCCTTGGGCGCAGGGATGAGGTGCACCAGCACAGAGCCGCAGTAGCCTGTCACCTTGCAAGGAACGGTGTGGGGCTTGTGGATCTTGTTCCCCCAGTAGCCTCTGTGCACAGGGAGAATGGAGAGCTTGGCCAGGATGATGGCCCCGCAGGTGGCAGTGGCCACCTCCTTGGAGCACTTAACACCCAGACCGACGTGGCCATTGTAGTCCCCGATGGCAACAAACGCCTTGAACCTTTTCAACTGGCCAGTGTGGGTCTGCTTCTGCACTGGCATAATCTTCAACACCTCATCCTTGAGAGAGGCCCCCAGGAAAAAGTCAGTGATCTCAGATTCCTTGATGGGCAGGAAGAAGAGGTAGTTCTCCAGGGACTTGATCTTTATGTCCTTAACCAAGCAGCCCAGCTTGGTGACAGGCATCCACTCCTTATCCTTGGCCTTGCCTCCACGAGCTCCGTGGCCTCAGCCCTGTCCACAGCTGCAACCCCAGCCCCTCCATGGAAGCCACCACGGTTTCCCATCCCAGGGCCCCCGGGGCCTCTGCCCCCGCCCCACCCCCTCCACCGACATCATCTGCCATTTGGTGTTTTCTCAGAGAAGAAGCAAGGCAAAATAGTCTTATGTCATATAACATTGAAGCTTCTAAAGGGCTTCAAGATATGTGACTGTATCACTTAATTGAGGCAATAGCCCTTGCTCTTCTGGCTGCTTCTGTTTGGGGAAATTATTGAGTAGGTAGTCTGGGTAGGTGGTACATAGTGTGATTGTCTTCATTCTTTGCTGAGGTTTTGAGTTAGCTTCAGCAGTTCTTCTTAGGCCTAGGATGTCACTTCCCCTTTGCATAAACTTTGTTATGCACATGTGCTTCAGATAGAACTAATTATATTTTTAAATTACAAAAATTAAAATTTTTCCTCTTAAGGAGTTTGGGGCAGCAGTCTTCTTTGTAGAATCATGTGTTTCAGAGGCACAGGTCTACTTTAGAGAAAGTGAGATTAAGGTTCTAAACAAAGATACAAGGCCATTTAAAAAATACTGTTGCCCCCTACACATTTCTCTTCTTTCCCTTTTGTTCAGTATGGTTTGTGTGGATAATTACTGTCCACTAAAACCAGGCCACAGGACCATTGGCATACTCAGGTTGTCTCCTGACAGTGAGTCTAGTCTTCAACCAATGATACAGGCCATTTATATCCTTTGTATGTAGATGTTTGGGCCTGGCGCAGTGGCTCATACCTGTAATCCCAGCACTTTGGGAGGCTGAGGTGGGCCAATCACTTGAGGTCAGGAGTTCGAGACCATCCTGGCCAACATGATGAGATCCTGTCTCTACCAAAAATACAAAAATTACCCAGTGGTGGCGCATGCCTGTAGTCTTAGCTACTCCAGAGGCTGAGGCAGGAGAAGCTTGAACCTGGGAGGCAGAGTTTGCAGTGAGCCCAGATTGTGCCACTGCACAGAACAAGACTCTGTCTCAAAAAAAAAAAAAAAAAAAAAAAGACGTGTATGTAGATGTTTATTTTTTAAAAATTCATTTATTTTTTTATTTTTATTTATTTATTTTTTGAGACAGAGTCTTGCACTGTTGCCTGGCTGGAGTGCAATGCTGCAATCTCGGCTCACTGCAACCTCCGCCTCCCAGGTTCTAGCAATTCTCCTGCCTCAGCCTCCTGAGTAGCTGGGATTACAGGTGCGGACTACCATGCCAGGCTAATTTTTTGTATTTTTAGTAGAGATGCGGTTTCTTTGGCCAGGCTGGTCTCGAACTGACCTCGTGATCCGTCCACCTTGGCCTCCCAAAGTGCTGGGATTACAGGTGTGAGCCACCGCGCCTGGCCCCTTTTAAATTTATTTTTAAGAGACAGGGTCTCACTCTTGTCACCCAGGCTGGAGTGCAGTGGCACGATCATAGCTTAGTGTAGCCTCTAACTCCTGGGTTCAAGTGATTCTCCTGCCTCAGCCTCCCAAGTAGCTAGGAATACAGGCACACACCACCCGACGCCCAGCTAATTTTTCAAATTTTTGTAGAGATGGGGTTCTCACTGTGTTGCCTAGGCTGGTTTCAAACTCCTGAGCTCAAGTGACCCTCCTGCCTCAGCCTCCCAAAGTGATGGGATTGCAGGCATGAGCCACCATGCCTGGCCAGATGTTTGTTTATTTTTTTTCTGAGACTCTAGTAGTCTTTCTCTTCCTTTATTGAATCTGTTAAGTTTTATATCAGGTTTGGATGATAGCCAAGTTGGGTTTTAGTGTCTTCACCTTAGCAGCCCTGTATGTAGGACTGTAATTCTACTCAAAAGGGAACATGAAAGGTAATGTGAAAAATTCTAAAACACTTGGCTTCTAAAGACTTGTGGATGTTAGGTTGATTTCTCCTGTTCATCAAAGTAATTTGCACATTTAATGTTCCATTCATGGAGCTATTTATTTAAAAAAAATTATTAACTTTTTAAAAGACAATGTCTTGCTCTGTTGCCCAGCCTGGAGTGCAGTGGCGTGATCATAGTTCACTGTAACCTCAAACTCCTGGGCTCAAGTGGTCCTCCCAGCTCAGTCTAAAGAGTAGCTAGGACTATGGGCTGCACTGCCACACCTGGTGAATTAAAAAATAAATTTTTAGAAATTGGGTTTCTATCTATCTGTGTTGTCCAGGCTAGTCTCCTGACCCCAAGCAATCCTTCTGCCCTGGCCTCTCCAAGTGCTAAGATTACAGGTGTGAGCCATTGTGCCCAGCTTATCGCCTAATTTCTTCTCCTTATTCTGACAGATTGAAGGAGTGGGATTTTTTTCCCTCTGATTTTCTTTAGGGAATAGAAGCAAACAGCTTTCTTGGGGCATTTTTGGGACTCATCAACAGAAAAGAATGGAGAGTTTAGGCTCTGAAGGACCTTTTAAAATATGTATACATTTTTAACAGCTTTATCGAGATGTAATTTGTATACTATATAATTCACCCATTTGAAGTGTACAGTTCAGTGATTTTTCGCATATTCAGAGTTGTGCATCCCTCACTACAATCAATTTTAGAACATTTTTATTACACCAGAAAGAAGCTCTGTTCCTTTAGCCATTACTCCCTCCACCCTACCCCCAGCCATAGGCAATCACTAATCTACTTTCTGTCTCTATAGATTTGCCCGTTCTGGACATTTCATATAAATAGAATCATATAATATGTGGTCTTTTGTGACTGGCTTCTTTCACTTAGCATATTTTTTTTTAAGGTTCATCCGTGTTTGTAGCATTCCTTTTTATTGCTGATAATATTTTATTGTATGGATATACCATGTTTTGTTTATCCATTCATCAGTGGTGAATGAATGGATAACATTTTGATTCTTTTCACTTTTTGGCAATTATGATTAATGCTGCTCTGAACATTGGTATAAAAGTTTTTATATGGACATACATACATTTTTTAAAAACTTGTTTAACAGAGATTTGTAAACACAAAAATGTAGAATAGTACAGTGAAACCCCATGTCCTTATTACCTAACTCCAACAATCAGTTTTTTTAAATAGATAGACTTTATTTTAGAAAACAGTTGAACTTAACCAAGGCTTTCCGGGAGTATCCATCGCTGGACTCTTTCAGGGTATAGGAGATTGTACCCTTTTTAGGGTTCTTACTACAGCCAGTTCTCTTCTCATATCCTTTTGGAGTCCTGGGGAAGGAGGACATGAGCTTCTAATAAGCAACCTGATTTCTGCCTATATGTATGTGATAGCTTTTTTAAGAAAACTGTTTTTATGCCTTTTTTCTGTCTCTACTGGAGATTCCAAGTCTGGACTACAGCTTTTTGAGAGCCATCTCATTTGTAGCTTCTTGATAGTTAGTACTGGTTTAGACCTTGGGCTAGTATGCCGTTTCATGGTGACATGTAATAGTTCTGGTGGGGAGCTGAATGTGGGAGTGTGAATGAACTTGCCACTCCTCATGGAGCCTATGTTTTTTCTCCCTATACTAATATGGTCAGAGACTTTTTGTATGGTAGATGGTGTTTTGGCAATGGAGTGACTCAACTCATGAACATTCCTCTCTGGAAATAGGTGTGTTTATGGCTGACAGACCTATAGAGAAAAATTTTTACCTCAGTTTGATTTCAGAAATCATCCTTGGTTTATTCCCATTTATTCCTATTTCATACTGCATTGAAACCTCAAAATTTCCCAAATTCTTAGGAAGAAGGTGGGTAACAGAAACCTGGATTCCCACAGGTGGCATTCTTGTTAGAGAAGGTAAATAAAGTTTGTCCTTGATAACCTTTCATAAATTTATTCCTAGGTCTACAACTTTGATCAAAGGCAGGCTGGTGAATAAGAAAAGGCAATGTTTTGAGATTCTGCTGGCATAGTCTCAGAGATAGGAAAGCAACTACTAAAAAAACTAAGGAAAAGTCATTTCTAGAAACTCACAACAAAAGTAGCTACTAGAAACTGTAGAAGACACTAATAGTTACCATCCTCTAGATGATAATTCACTCTGGAATGTGAGTGACATGTAAGAACTTTTATTTTTTATTCAGAGTACTTAGAAGTTTTCATACATAAAGTGCTAGAGGATCTTTATTTCTATCTGTGATTTAAATCAGAAACTTTAGTTTTGTGTCATAGCCATAGCCCCTGAGAAGGTTAGCATTATTGGGTGTGGTATAGAATTCTCAGCTAAAAGAATAGCTGTCCCATCCTGGATTTTTACCTCATGCCACAAAGGTCTGAGACCTTTGTATTTAATGAAATAAAAATATATGGTGAACCAAACCATCACTTTCTCTTTTCTAAGCCCAAGATTAGCAGAGTGCTTGTAGATATCCAGAGAAGGCAAAGAGGGTGACAAAACAGGCTGTGAGAGAGCTTTATGGGTTTTAATATGTGAACCATCAAGGCAAAGCATTGGAGAACCTTCTAAATCTTATGAGAAAATCATGCTAATTAGATAAATCAGTAGTTTTTTTAAAAGTTACCATATAGTGATACTTTTTTTTCCCAATTGAATTATTAGAACCTTAATATACAGACTTAAAGTTGGAATTAGTGTGATTTAACTGGGATAGAAGGTCAAGAGCCCTGCTGGTTCTGCTTTTCTAGTACCTCCTTTCTTTTGGTAGCTCCTGAGCACTCTTTACAACCTCTGGAACACAGCTTTAAAACCATTTATCTGAGCCACGTGTGGAGGCTCACGCCTGTAATCCCAGCAGTTTGGGAGGCTGAGGCGGGCAGATCACCTGAGATCAGGAGTTCGAGACCAGCCTGGCCAACATGTGAAACCCCATCTCTACTAAAAAAATGCAAAAAGTCAGCCAGCATGGTGGTGCACACCTGTAATCCCAGCTACTTAAGGAGGTTGAGGCACAAGAATCACTTGAACCAGGGAGGTAGAGGTTGCAGTCAGCCGAGATCATGCCACTGCACTCCAGCCTGGGTGACAGAGCAAGACTCTGTCTTAAACAAAACAGGCTGGGCGCGGTGGCTCATGCCTGTAATCCCAGCACTTTGGGAGGCCAAGGCGGGCTGATCACTAGGTCAGGAGATCAAGACCATCCTGGCTAACATGGTGAAACCCTGTCTCTACTAAAAAATCAGAAAAAAAAAAAAAAAAAAATTAGCCGGGTGTGATGGCTGGTGCCTATAGGCCCAGTTACTCGGGAGACTGAGGCAGGAGAATGGCGTGAACCTGAGAGGCGGAGCTTGCAGTGAGCCGAGATTGCATCACTGCATTCCAGCCTGGGTGACAGAGCGAGACTCCATCTCAAAACAAAACAAAAAAATCCCATTGATCTGGACTGGTGTTTCTCAAACTTTAAAGTACAGACAAATCACCTGGAGATCTTGTTAAAATGCAGATTCTAGTTCAGATCTGCTTGGGGTGGAGCTTTGAGAAGCTATATTTCTAAAAAGTTCCCAGGTAATGCTAATGCTGTTTCGTCCGCACTACACTTTCAGTAGCAAAGAGCTAGAATTTAGCTTGTGTGGAGTTGTGTAACTTCCATGATATTCTGCATGCCCTAAGTCTAGTCGGAGAAATTACCCAAGAGATCTATCTAGATATGTTGGTAATATTACCTCTTGGTTAGAGGCTAAAGCTGCTTGTTCCCCTGGGGAAAGGGAGAGGAAATGTTCTTGGACTTCATGATTATAGTCTTTTGCCCTAAGCATTTTATAGCCCCCTTGACAAACACCAGTCTCTTAGCCTTGTCTGCTCTTATTCTTTCCAAGTCCATTTGTTCAATGATGCTTCTCTTTTTCCTCAGGGATGACCTGACTGATGATTCTGTCTTCACTCGAAGCTCCCAGTGCTCTCGGGGTCTTGAGCGATATATTTCCCAGGAGGAAGGGCCTCTCAGTCCCTTCTTGGGACAACTTGATGAGGACTACCGAACAAAAGAAACTTTCCTGCATCGATCTGATTATAGTCCCCATATCAGTTGTCATGATGAGCTGTTGCGGGGAACAGAACGGAATCGAGAAAAACTCAAAGGCTACTCCATACGATCTGAAGAAAGGAGCCGGGAGGCCAAAAGACCCCGTTATGATGACACAGTGAAGATAAACAGCATGGGAGGGGATCACCCAAGTTTTACATCAGGAACTCGCAACTATCGACAGCGTAGAAGAAGCCCAAGTCCTAGGTTTCTCGACCCTGAGTTTCGAGAACTGGATCTTGCCAGACGAAAGCGAGAGGAAGAGGAGGAGCGAAGTAGGAGCTTGAGTCAGGAGCTGGTTGGAGTTGATGGTGGTGGTACTGGCTGTTCCATCCCTGGATTGTCAGGTGTCCTAACAGCATCGGAGCCAGGATATTCTTTGCATCGGCCTGAGGAAGTATCTGTGATGCCCAAGAAATCCATTTTGAAGAAGCGGATTGAGGTGGACATAATGGAGCCCTCCATGCAGGTCTCTGCTGCATTTCTTGTAGGGCCTCTTGCTAGTCTCCCTAATATCTTAAAGCCTGCTTACTTTCCTGTGGGCTATGTTCCTAATGGTATCTTTGTAATATGTGCTGGACCGACATTGTGAGCTACACCTTCTAGGACTCTCCAAACGAAACTGTAGGCCTTTTAATGCATCAGTAGAGGGTTCTATTGCTGTATATTAGGCTTTATATTAATAAATAGATATTTTGGAGAGTACTGTAAGTTTTTTTACTTAAATTGGATTATCCTTTGGCAATCTTTGAGTATGGGTTTGTTGGAAATGAACCTTGAAGGGCAAGGGGAGGAGGTGATCTCAATTTTCTCATCTCTCTTTAGAGAGAAGACAAGATGTATGAGTTGTAGGACACTGGACTAGAAATCAGATGATTCTGATTTTGGACCCACTTCTGCCACCAACTTACTGTGATTTTTAGACAAGTCACCTCACCATTCTGAGCCTTGATATTTTTCCCTGACCTGTGAAAGGATGGTCAGACCACTAGTGGAAAGACCACTAGTTTTTAGCTGTCCTCTTAGGAGATAAAGGCTTCTGAAGAGGTTCCCAAGCAAAGGAATGCTGATGAGTTAGCGTTCCAGAGTTTCCTCTCCCCACTTCAGCCAAAGCAGCTTTTTTTTTCCTTTTCTTTTGGGGATCCATAGAAAAGAAAACAAGCTAGGGGATCTCTAAAATTCTTTTGAATTCAAATTCCTTTTAACAAATAGATAAAGGTGAGGATTCCATCCAGTTTGCCTCACTTCCTGTTTCTCCTCAACAGTAGAAACATCTGGAGATAAGGGGATTCACATTTTGAATCTGGCTAAGGATACTTTTCCTCCCTTTTATCCATACTTGTATCTCACCTGTTAATTCAGGAAGACCAAAGTATTTAAGTATTTATCTCAATTACTAATGTTCTGAGATTCTGCATAAGACTAAATCAGTTGTGTTTGTCTTTGCAGCTTGAGAGTTTTTCCAGCAGTACCAGCTCCAGCCAGGATCACCCTCTCTACTCTGGGCACCCATCCCTTCCACTAAGTGGTGCTATTGCTGCTTTTGCCTCAGAGATTGAAAACAAGGGGACTATGGTAGAGACTGCCTTGAAGGAACCTCAGGGCAACCTCTACCAATGGGGTCCCCTTCCTGGGATTCCCAAAGACAACAGTCCTCTCAGAGAAAAATTTGGAAGTTTTCTATGCCACAAGGATAATTTGGATTTGAAGGCTGAGGGACCTGAGCGACACACAGACTTCCTGCTGCCCCATGAGAGAGCTAGCCAGGATGGCAGTGGTTTTTCCCGCATTCTGAGCATGTTGGCTGATTCTACCAGTACACAGGAAAAAAGGCGACGTAGCTTTCCCGACATTGAAGATGAGGAGAAATTTCTCTATGGGGATGAAGAAGAGGATTTAAAGGCAGAATCCGTACCAAAGCCCCTTGGGAGCTCTGAGAGTGAAGTTATGAGGCAGAAGGCAAGCTCCCTGCCGTCTTCAGCTCCAGCTGTAAAGCTAGAATCACTAGAAGAGACCAATCCAGAATATGCGAAGATCCATGACTTGCTCAAGACAATAGGGCTGGATATTGGAGTAGCAGAGATTAGTCAATTGGCTGCACGCACCCAGGAACGACTTCATGGCAAGAAGCCATCATTACGCTCCTCAGCTGACCGCCGTTCCTCAGTTGACCGATACTTTTCAGCTGACCACTGTTCCTCAGTTGACCACCGCTTCTCAGCTGACCGCTGTTCCTCAGTTGACCACTGCTTCTCAGCTGATCGACGTTCCTCAGATCCCCACAGACTAGAGAGCAGGGAGGCACATCATAGCAATACCCACTCTCCAGAGGTGTCCCATCCACACCCACCTTCTCCTGTGGATCCTTACCTGCTCACAAAAAACAGCCCTCCATTCCTAAAGTCTGACCATCCAGTGGGTCATATTTCAGGACCAGAGGTGGTTGGTAGTGGGTTTCAGTCATCTGTTGCAGTCAGGTGCATGTTGCCATCAGCCCCATCTGCCCCAATTAGACTTCCACACACTGCTGCTTTATCTCAGTTTCACATGCCAAGGGCCTCTCAGTTTGCTGCAGCTCGGATACCTCCGAACTACCAGGGACCTGCCATTCCCCCTGCCTCTTTTGATGCCTATAGGCACTACATGGCATATGCAGCCTCCAGATGGCCCATGTATCCCACCTCTCAACCGTCAAACCACCCTGTACCTGAACCACACAGGATAATGCCAATAACCAAACAAGCTACTCGTAGCCGTCCCAATCTTCGTGTGATCCCCACTGTGACTCCTGATAAGCCTAAGCAGAAAGAGTCTCTGCGAGGCTCAATTCCTGCGGCCCAAGTGCCTGTCCAGGTGTCCATTCCATCACTCATAAGATATAATCCAGAGAAGATCTCTGATGAGAAGAACCGTGCTTCCCAGAAGCAAAAGGTGAATATTAGCTTTGGGTATCCTGTGCCTGAGTTTTCTGTTTTGCCATAAATTTGTATATGTTTTTTAGAAGGGGCTGAAAATTTGTAAGGCTCTTTCACTTGAAGTCGTCTGGAGGCTGCTGTCATCATCCTAAGAAGTGTATATTGTTCCTCTGTTTTTCACACATGTTTTATCATTAGGACTAAACAAAAGTCTGGCCTTGGGTCCTATTGTGATTGTCAGCCTTTTTTAAGTTTAATTCTATCCAAGTTAATGGTCTTCAAACACTGTAGATAGGAACTGGGAGCCTTGAAGTCTTCAATATGATTTCGTAGTGGAGTAGGGAACCAAAATTGGGTGTGGTGAAGGAGAATCAGTAAACCTGTTTGATCCCAGTGAATTCTGTATTCTTACCCTGTAATGATTATGAGTTAAAGTTAATAACTAGTTGTTGCTTGATAATTGAAGCAAACCAAGAAATAAACTTTGCTTGTTCTGGTTTATCTTAGAGTCCAGGAGTAACAGTAACATTTTTGACATGTTATTTATTTAAAAAATTACGTGTGTGTGTGTGTGTATGTGTGTGTATGTATACGTATATTTTATATAGAGATGGAGTCTTCTCACTGTTGCCCAGGCTGATCTTGAACTCTTGGGCTCAAGTGATCCTCCCCTGCCAGCCTCTCCCAGAGTGCTGGGATCACAGGCATGAGCCACTGTGCCTGGCCTCTAAAGTCATTTTTTATATTATCCAGGTTCATTGGGTCCCCAGCCTGTGGGAAGAAAGCAGTGACTGGGGTAAAGATATAATAATTCTAATAATTCTGATAATTTAGAGCAGTAGGTGAAAACTACATCAAGATAGGGAATACATAATAGAAGAATTTTGAGTGGAAGAGTTAATACATACTATTAATTGTAAAGGTGCTTATACCTAGCAACTCACTTTGTTTAGAAACATAAAAATGTAATGTGTCTAATTTGGTTTGCTCATAAAAGTTAAGACCTGGCTGGGCGTGGTGGCTCATGCCTGTAATCCCAGCACTTTGGGAGGCTGAGGCGGGTGGATCACGAGGTCAGAAGATCAAGACCATCCTGGCTAACACGGTGAAACCCTGTCTCTACTAAAAATACAAAAAATTAGCCGGGTGTGGTGGCACGCGCCTGTAGTCCCAGCTACTCAGGAGGCTGTGGCAGGAGAATTGCTTGAACCTAGGAGATGGAGGTTGCAGTGAGCTGAGATCATGCCACTGCACACCAGCCTGGGCAACAGAGCAAGATTCCATCTCAAAAAAAAAAAAAAAAGTTCTGAAGAAAAAAATTAGAGGGCCAGTCTCATTTTTTTCCGGTTAAAAAGTTTTAGCCAATTATTGGGAAGACAAAAAACACTTCTCTTAAGTTTCTATTGGACTTAAATACCCTGAACTTCAATCTTTAGTTTTACTGAAGTCTTTTGGGAAAGGGAATAGGTTCAATGTAGACAAAACTTTAGAGACAGTGTTTGGAGGTCATACACTTCCTCTTTATTTTCCTTTTATAAATCTAGTCCTTAAGTCAGGGCGCTGATAATACATAGGTCTATTATAGACACATACAGGCCTATTATATGCTGGTATAGTATAGACAAGCCATATTTGCTTTTTTTCATTAGGTAGTAGTATAGTTGAAAGATCATGAGCTTTAGGGCAGATATACCTGGATTGTAAATCTACTCTTAATGTGTGACTTTGAGTATTCTACTTAATCTTGTACAACTTCAGTTTTCTGACTATAAAATAGTGAAAATGTGAGGATTAAACAACATGCTACTCTGGGCATACTGCCTATGGGTTATCCCTGGTTTGCAAGGAGCAGTGAAAATAAACAACATGAAATATGTCCCTTACCTATAACACATATGGTTCCTTTATCTATGGTTCCCTTTGGAACTTAGAACCACTATCTAATAGTTGCTATCAGTGCCCTAGATCCTTCCTGCAAAAAACAAACAAACAACCTTTCTGGACAGTATAGTTTTTGAAAAGATGGACAGTTCTATTCTGGAACTTAGAACGAAATATTACTTTGACAGTAAGGTCAGAGCCTGTGTGCAGGCATTTGGATCCTTACATTCAGATAATGTCTAGGAAGAAGGCTTCTGGAAGAGAGAAATAGAAAAGAGAATGTTGGAGGAGATGGACTCTCTTACCACTTTGTATTTTGCAGGTTATTGAAGAGAGGGAAAAACTAAAGAATGACCGGGAAGCCCGCCAGAAGAAGATGTACTATCTTAGGACCGAGTTAGAGCGGCTTCATAAACAACAAGGTATCAGCTGCTTTGCATGACTGCCTTTTTGTAATAACTTGCGTAGGAGACCCAAATTTGGTACTCTCACACAGGTTCAGTAACCTGAAACTTCATTAAAAATTTTTTTTTGACGTAATTAAACTTACAAAAAAGTTGCAATAATAGTGCAAAGAATTCTCAGGTACTCTTCTCCCAGATGATGGTGGTGGTGATGATGATGATGATGATGATGATGATGATGATGATGATTTGAGACGAAGTTTTGCTCTTTCACCCAGGCTGGAGTGAAGTGGTGTGATTTTGGCTCACTACAACCTCTGTCCCCCGGGTTCAAGTGATTCTCCTGCCTCAGCCTCCCAAGTAGCTGAGATTACAGGCACCTGCCACCATGCCCAGCTAATTTTTTTCGTATTTGTAGTAGAGATGGGGTTTCACCATGTTGACCAGTTTGGTCTCGAACTCCTCACCTCAGGTGATCCACCCGCCTTAGCCTCCCAAAGTGCTAGGATTACAGGCGTGAGCTCCCACACCCTGCCAGATTATTAACATTTTAATACGCTTGCTCTATCTTTTTCTCTCTCTCAATTTGTGTGTATGTGTGTGTGTAATTTTTCCTGAACTTTTTTTTTTTTTTGAGATGGAGCCTCGCTCTGTTGCCCAGGCTGGAGTGCAGTGGTGCAGTCTTGGCTCACTGCAACCTCTGCCTTCTGGATTCAAGTGATTCTCAAGCCTCAGCCTCCCAAGTAGCTGGGATTACAGGTGTGTGCCACCACACCTGGCTAATTTTTGTAATTTTAGTAGCAATGGGGTTTCATCATTTTGTCCAGGCTGGTCTCAAACTCCTGGCCTCAAGCAATCCTCCTTCCTCGGCCTCCCAGAGTGCTGAGATTACAGGCATGAGTCACTGCACTGGCCTTTTCTGAACTTTTTAAAGTAACTTGTAGATGTGATGTTCCTTTACTCCTAAATACTTAAGTATTTCCTAACAACAAAGAAGGTACATAACTTTAATACACTTATCAAAATTAGGATATTAGCAGTGATACAGTACTATTATCCAGTCTACCATTCTTACTCATATTTCACATTGTCCCGTTAATGCCCTTTATAGCAAAACAAAGTGCAAGATTATTTATCACATTCAGTTTTCACGTTCCTGTACTCTTCTTTAATCTGAGTGTTTGTATTTCATAACATTAACATTCTGGAAGATAAGAGGTCACATATTTTGTAGAATATCCCTTAATTTTGATTTGTCTGTTTCCTTATGATTAAATTCAGGTTATTCATTTTTGGCGAGACTATCACAGAAATGATGCTGAGTTTGTATCAGGTGTTGATTTGTCCCATTGCTGGTGATGTTAACTTTAATTATTTGGTTAAGGTGGTGTCTGCCAGATTTCTCCACTATAAAGTTACTGTTTTATCCTTTTTAATTAATATGAATCTTATAGAGGAGATACTTTGAGACTATGTAAATATTCAGTTACTCCTCAGACTTTCACCCACTGGTTTTAGCATCCATTGATGAGTCTTGCCTGAGCCAGTTATTATGATAATAGTTATTTAAAAATTTTTTTTGAGACAGGGTCTCGCTGTGTCACCCAGGCTGAAGTGCAGTGGCAGTGGCATGATCTCAGCTCACTGCAGCCTCGCTTCCTGGCTCAGGTGATCCTCCTGAGTAGCTGAGACCATAGGCATGAGCCACCACGCCTGGCTAATTTTTTTTTTTGGCTAGAGACAAGGTTTTGCCATGTTGCCAAGGCTGGTCTCAAAACTCCTGAGCTCTGCAGCCTCCCAAAGTGCTAGGATTACAGGCATGAGCCACTGTGCCTGGCCTGTGATGGTTATCAAATAGTGATTTTTCAAGGTTCCTCATTCCTTCTAGCTTTATTAGTTGGCTTTCCACTGTAAGAGGGAACTTCCTAACCCTCACTCCCATTTGTTTATTCATTTATATGAGTATGAATTCATGGATTCTTCATTTGATAAGTTATAATCTTTTATTATCATTATTTATTTTCATGCTCAAATTGTTCCAAATTTGGCCAATGGGACCCCCTGTGAGTTAGCTCCTGTGTCCTTTCAATATGTCTCCATCGTTTTTGAGTACTTTCTTTTTTTCTTCTTTTTCTTTCTTTCTTTGAGATGGAGCCTCGCTCTGTTGCCCAGGCTAGAGTGCAGTGATGCAATCTCAGCTCACTGCAACCTCCACCTTCCAGGTGCAAGTAATTCTCCTGCCTCAACCTCCCAAGTAGCTGGGATTACAGGCGTGTGCCACCATGCCCAGCTAATTTTTGTATTTTTAGTAGAGACGGGGTTTCACCCTGTTGGCCAGGTTGGTCTCTAACTCCTGACCTCAGGTGATCCGCCTGCCTCGACCTCCCAAAGTGCTGGGATTATAGGTGTGAGCCACCCCACCCGGCCTTTTTTTCTTTTTTTTTAAGAGACAGGGTCTCATTCTGTTGTTCAGGCTGGAGGGCAGTGGTGCTGTCATAGCTCACTGTAGCTTTGAATTTCTGGACTCAAATGATCCTCCCATCTCAGCCTCCCAAAGCACTGGGATTACAGGCATGAACCACAGTGTCTGGTCTTTCCTTAAATTTGGCACACACACACAAAAATGTTCCCTGATGCCTTCCTTTTTATTCCATTTCTTTATGCTTTTAGGAATTCACATACACAGTGAGGAAAAGAACATAACAAGGCTCCTAAATACTGATAGTATGAAAGAACAGAGAGTGGGAGAAGATATAATTGCTTCTGTCTGGGTTTGGACTGTTTAGGGATGAGAAATTGAGTTATTTATCCTGTGAGGATTAACACCAGAGGATCTGCAGTTTGGAACAGGAGATAACATTAAAAAAGCCAGCTGGGTGTGGTGGCTCACACCTGTATCCCAGCACTTTCAGAGGCTGAAGCAGGCAGATCACTTTGAGCTCAGGAGTTCAAGACCAGCCTGGTGACATGGCAAAACCCCATCTCTACCAAAAAAAAAAAAAAAAAAAGATAAACCAGAGGCAAAACCTAAAACTCATTGAAGAAGTTGTTAAAGTGTCCTTAGATCAGATAAAGTCAAATATATTACCCTCTAAATAATTCTTCAGCCCTCTGAAGAGAGGACAACTGCTAAATTCATAGTTACAACACTTATTAATGTTTTTGAGAGACACACACAAAATTATATATACTGTTATGGGAGTTCATGGAGCCCCTGAAGCCTGTCCATAAATCCTTAGCTAATAACCTTTACACAAAAGATAATGTCATAACCCATTCTTTACCTTCATAGAAGCTTCACTTACACCAACCCATGTGGAAGGAGAGTCTCACTTGCTCTTAGAAAAAAAAATTGTTTTTTGAGACGGAGTCTCTCACTATCACCCAGGCTTGAGTGCAATGGCATGATCTTGGCTCACTGCAAGCTCCGCCCCCTGAGTTCAAGCAATTCTCCTGCCTCAGCCTCCCGGGTAAATAGAATTACAGGCGCCCACCCCCATGCCCGGCTAATTTTTTGTATTTTTAGTAGAGACGGGGTTTCACCATGTTAGTGAGGCTGGTCTCGAGCACCTGAACTCAAGTAGTCACCCGCCTTGGTCTCCCAAAGTGCTGGAATTACAGGCATGAGCCACCACGCCTAGCCACTCTTAGAAACGTTTGTGGGCAAAGACTTTGTAACCATAAAGCCCTGACAAATTATTGCTTGTAAATGAGAAATGACTCGTCTTATTTTCCCTGTGCTTCTTTTTGTTGACATTTGATTGCTCAGGAGAAATGCTGCGCAAGAAACGAAGGGAGAAGGATGGCCACAAAGATCCTCTCTTGGTGGAGGTGAGTCGGCTTCAGGATAACATTATGAAGGACATTGCAGAGCTACGGCAAGAGGCAGAAGAGGCAGAAAAGAAGCAATCTGAACTGGACAAAGTGGCTCAGATCTTGGGAATTAACATCTTCGATAAATCCCAGAAGTCTTTAAGTGACAGTAGAGAGCCTACAGAGAAGCCTGGGAAAGCAGAAAAATCTAAGAGCCCAGAAAAAGTGTCATCGTTCTCAAACTCCTCCTCCAACAAGGTAACAACTCAATTTTTCCATTTCTATCATCTTTTTTTTCCCTTAGACTCCTATGGTTTTCTAACCATTTTCTTAACTTAGGTTTTCAAACTGTTCTTACTCTTGTTAATTATTTTCTTACAGTATAGATCAGAGTGTGGTACTCCTCTTCAGAATTTCAGCATAGTTCCTTGTTGCCCACAAAGAATCCTAAATCCTCAGTATTCAGAACCTTCTATGTTCTTGTTCCAGCATTTACTCCCTAACCCACTCCTATCTGGCTTCTGATCTTCTCAGAACTTGTATATACCCTTTTGGGGGGTTCATATTTAGCAACTATGTTCATGTCTAGGTCACTACTGTGTTGCTAAAGTCAGTAAATACATTTTACTTCTCAAATGAGCAGCATTTGAGGCCAAGAATCACTTTCTCCTACAAATACTCTTTTCCCTTGGCTTCTGTCACACTTCTTTTCCTCGTAGTACATTGGATGCTCCTGCTTAGTATCCTTTGCTGTCTCTCTTGCATAATCTTTAAATTTTTGAGTTTCTCGGGGCTCAGTCCTTGCCAGAATTTGCTCTTTCTTCCTAGGCCATTTCATCCAGTCCTATGCTAAAATGCCATGTGACAATTGCCAGTTTTATGTTCTAGTCAAATGAGTCTTCTGAGTGTCTAACAACGTAACTCACCATTTCCACTTCATTATCTCATAGGCACTTGAAATTGAGCATGTCCTAAACTAAATTAATGGTTGTGCTCAACCTCCTTCCAACTTTTTCTTTCTCCATTGTTATGCATTCTCAATGAATGGCATACTGTCCGACAGTTTTCATGCCAACAACTTAAAAGTCACTCTCAGTGCTCTGCTTTCCCTAACTGCTCCATATGCAATCAATTACAAATTCTGTCAGGTCCCTCTCCAAAGTAAATCTCGATTCCATGCACCTTATCATCTCCATTGACATTCAAGTCCAAGCCACATCAGTTTTTGCTTATGTTGCTGTGTTAATTAACTCTTTTTGCACATATAGCCAGTGATCATGATACTTAATCCCTTGCCTACCTCCTCAACCTCATTTCATGCCTCTTTCCTTCTTGCTGACTGTAGTTTCATTACTAACCTTTTCATTCCTCAAATGTATCATCTCCTCTCGTGACCTCACATTTTCTGTTCCCTTTCTTTACCATGCAAATCGAACTCTTTCCTTATCTACTCTTCTAACTCCAATTCATCCTTTAGATTGGATCTTAAATTACTTCCCTGACATCCTTCTCTGATTCCCTAGACTGTTAAATTTGCCTGATATACACTCCCATAATATCTTGTAATTTTCCTTCTTAACATTTATGACAGATCTGATTTTATAATTAAATGTGTTCCCCTAATTTGATTTTAAGGTTCAAAAGTTACAGGGACTTTATATGTGTCATTGTTCAATATGATTCCCAATATATAGCCCAGGGCCCAGCACATAGTAATGAATACTGCTGAAGAAACATTATATTACATCTTACGCTGCGTCACCTCAAAATGCAATTTTCCGGATGTGCAATATCTGGTATTACACCTCTCTGGTTTTGCATAAATAATCCTATTAGCCTGGAATAATCTTTCTCCCAACCCCACTCACCCATTAAAGCCCAATTTGGATACCACCTCTTCCATGAAGAATTTCCAGAATTCCACCCAGATCTAGTCAGCCTTCTTTAGCACTCTGTAATTTGTTTCTTTGTAAAATTTATTTCGTTGTCTTATTTAAAGACTCTTCTTACGTCTGTCTCCACTAAATGAGAGCTGCTTTTTTTTTTTTTTTTTTTTTGGTTAAAGATGGGGTCTTGCTATATTGCCCAGGCTGGTCTTTTGAGACAGAGTTCTTGCTCTGTCACCCAGACTGGAGTGCAGTGGCGCAATCTCGGCTCATTGCAACCTCCGCCTCCCAGGTTCAAGCAATTCTTCTGCCTCAGCCTGCCGAGTAGCTGAGATTACAGGCACGTGCCACCACGCCCGGCTAATTTTTATATTTTTAGTAGAGACATGGTTTCACCATATTGGCCAGGCTGGTCTCAAACTCCTGACCTCGTGATCCGGCCTCCCAAAGGGCTAGGATTACAGGCGTGAACCACCCTGCCCAGCATTTTTTTTTTTTTTTTTTTTTTTTTTTTGAAACAGAGTCTTATTCTGTGGCGTGTGGCGTGATCTTCGCTCACTGCAACCTCTGTCTTCTGGGCAATTCTCCTACCTCAGCCTCCTGAGTAGCTGGAGTTACAGGCGTGTGCCACCACACCCAGCTAATTTTTGTATTTTTAGTAGAGACGGTTTCACCATGTTGGCCAGGCTGGTCTCGAACTCCTGACCTCAGGTAATCCACCTGCCCCCGCCTCCCAAAGTGCTGGGATTACAGGCATGAGCCACTGCGCCCGTCCCCAGGCTGGTGTTGAACTCCTAGGCTCAAGTGATGATCCTCCCGCCTCAGCCTCCCAAAGTGCTAGTATTACAGATGTGAGCCACCCCACCTGGCCCGAGAGGATAAAAGAGGAATCTTTTTTATCTTTGTGTTTCCCATTGCATACAATATGTCTAGCACATAGTACATCCTCAGTTAATATTGAGAGGTAGGAAAGAGAATATATTCTGTGTTATCACCCAAGCTCTATTTTTTTCCATGTCTTCCTAGGAGAGTTTTCTTTCTCAACCAGGTAGGCCTAGTCTTTTATACCTGGGTCTTCAGTCTAGGTAGGGCCTTTGATGGGAGAAGAATTTAAAAGCTCTGGTCCTTTGTAATTGACTTATACATTGGATTTCTATTCATGTACGAACCCAATGATAATCTGTCATCTTGATTTGGGTGCGTCTTCATGGTCTCTGAAACTAACGGATATGTTACAATTCAGTTTTCATCTCAGCAGTAAGGAATATTATGTCCACAGCCTTTCTTTCCTACCTGTCCTTGGTATTTCTTCTTTCTTTACCTCTCTTTAAAATGTATAGTTGGTTTGAGATTTTCTTTCCCTTTCTGTTCATTTCAGAAAAGCACATACAAACTTGTAATTTCATCTACCTAGAGACAACTGTTATTATTACTTTTTTTTTTTTTTTTTGAGACAGGGTCTCACTCTGTCACCTAAGTTGAGTGCAGTGACACAGTCATGGCTCACTGCAGCCTCCAACTCTCAGGTCCAAGCATTCCTCCCACTTCAGGCTCCCCAGTAGCTGGGACTACAGGTGCTCACCACCACCACACTTGGCTAATTTTTGTATTTTTGTAGAGTTGAGGTTTCGCCATGTTTCCAAGGCTGGTCCCGAACTCCTAAGCTCAAGTAATCTGCCCACCTCAGCCTCCCAAAGTGCTGGCATTACAGGCATGAGCCACTGGGCCCAGCCGAGACCACTGTTATTAATACCTTGGTGTATAATATTATTAATACCTTGGTGTATGTTATTCCAAATACATACACCAAGGTATTATTATATATTCCAAATACATTAATTTATTATTAATACCTTGGTGTATGTTATTCCAAATACATACACCAAAGTATTAATTCTGTCCATCAATTCACTTAACAAATATGTATTGGTCACCAATAAAGTGTCAGGAACTGGTCTAGATATGGGAAGTATCACACTGAACAGTATAGACAAGGTTCATATTCTCATTAAATAGCAGAAGATGATAAATAAATAAGTCCATGTTAGGTAATGAGAAGTGCCTAAAAAAAGAAAACAGGATAAGGAGTATAGAGTGGTTAGAGAAAGTATTTTGGATAAAGTGATATTCAACGCTGTATGCCGATTTACATATCTTTGTTGATTATTCAAGTGTATTTTATTAGTTTTCTCAGTATATCATGAACATCTTTCCATGTCAGTAAATACACTTCTATAATACCATTTTTAACAACCTTATTTTTTGTTGTTTTGGTTGCATGGTTAAGCAAAATTTATTTAACCAATCAAATCACCTGTTGTTTGACATGATAATTTCCATAGGATAAATGTCAAGGAGTGAATTGCTGGGTTAAAGGGTATACAGTATTTTGAGGTATGTAATGTATTCCTAGATTATCTTCTAGAAGATGGTGCCAGTTAATACTCCCACCAGGAGTGTATGAACTCTCCCATCCCCTGCCTGTCTGGTGTGATTTCTTTAGTGATTCTTGAATAGGACTCAGGTAGGGAAAGAGTATCTTTGAAGCCCCAATTGTTTCCCTTTCTGTATCCTACCTTTTTCCCTGCGTGAGCCAATATTCCAGGTACCCAGCTCTTCATCTTGTGTACTATAGAACCCCATTCATAGTGAGCCTCTGAGTTGCAAAAATTATCTTTTTTTCCTGTGCCTTACTCCTGAACATTAACCAAAATTCTCATTTCCTGAGTGCCTTGTTCCAGCTTGGTAATAAATTAATTCATATTAAAGTATTTGCTGTTGATAACTTTAATATTAAGAAGTTGATATATTTTTAAAAAGGATACATGTTAACGGTGTTAAAATTTTTTTTTTTTTTTTTTTTTTTTTGAGACAGGGTCTCACTTGTTGCTGAGGCTGGAGTGCAGTGGCACAATCTTATCTTACTGCAACCTCCGCCTCCTGGGTTCAAGTGATTCTCGTGCCTCAACCTCCCGAGTAGCTGGGAATACAGGTGCACACCACCATGCCCGGGTAATTTTTGTATTTTTAGTAGAGATGGGGTTTCACCATGTTGGCCAGGCCTGTCTCGAACTCCTGGCCTCAAGTGATCTGCCCACCTCGACCTCCCAAAGTGATGGGATTACAGGTGTGAGCCACTGCACCTGGCCTCTAAAGTTGTTAAATTCTAAAAGTGATATTTTAGGCAGTTAGGAATGTTTTTCCTAGATTCCTTTAAATCATTCTACATAGATGACTTTATCTATGTGTAGTTGTATAGTCTACTTTATCTATGTACACCAACCCTTCTCTCCAGTTTTTCATACCAGGATGCATGTGATGAGTTCACTATCACCTATTTTCTGCATTTGCTTTGCTTAGCCTGTCAATTACCTTTTCCATATTGGTTTTTCTTCCCTCCCTAGCTGTCATGATTTTCAAATTTAACTGTTTAGTTGCATAGGTAACATATTCAACATTTACTAAAGGGTATACAGTGAAGAGACTCCTACCCATCCTTGTTCTCCACTTCCCTTCCCCAGAGGCAGCCAATGTTTCCACAACCTTGGCTGTTCTTCTAGAGATATTTTAGGATATGTAAGTAAATATATTGCCATTATGATTTACTTTTTATGCTGTGATAGCACTATGAAGTCAAATAGTTCTATGTCTTAGAGACATGTTTCTGTTAGGGTTCCCCCCAACTTGTGCAGCTTTAAACATTGGAAATATGGTCATATGGCCCTATTTCTATTATTATGGCCACTTACTATTTCTAACAGAAGACAAGTCTAGATTGCCTTGAATTCCTTGTAAGTACAGATTTTTCCCCTCTAGGAATCAAAAGTAAACAATGAGAAGTTTCGTACTAAGAGCCCCAAGCCTGCCGAAAGCCCCCAGTCAGCCACTAAGCAGTTGGATCAGCCCACTGCTGCTTATGAGTATTATGATGCTGGCAATCACTGGTGCAAAGACTGCAACACCATCTGTGGGACCATGTTTGATTTCTTCACTCATATGCACAATAAGAAGCACACACAGGTTGGTATCCTACTCTCTGTTATTTTCACTCCCACCCTCACTCTCTTCAAACTTCTATACCCCTATCTGCATTGCAAAGCTGGAAAAGGAAACATTCTCATATGGGCAGGAGCCCCAGTCTGAAGAGCCAAGAGACACCAACAAAGGAGACACCATCCCCAGGGCTCAGTCCAGGGGACTTGGCTGTAACTAAACACCATGACAAGTGTAAGTGAGGTTTCTGCCTCTTTTGATTCCTTGAGTACCTGATTTTTTTGTTTCATTTTACCTTTTTCTGGTACTTGCTCTAACATGTGTTTACCTTTTCCACAGGTGATTTCCATTAAAACAGTTGGCAGAGGGGGTGGGGGTGGGTAGCTGGGGGCTTCTGGTCCCCTGGTCTTATTATGGGGGAAAAAAAAGAGAAAAGTGGGTCATTGAGCTTTTAGTGCTGTTGTGTGAGCACCTCTGCCTCTTACAAATAGACACTGGATCCCTACAACAGACCTTGGGCTTCAAAGACCCAGAGTGAGGCCAAGCAAGATGCCATAAAGCGCACTGACAAGATAACTGTTCCTGCAAAAGGTATGTTTCCTTTTTGCCACCTTTGTGGTTTCCTTACATTCAGTTGAGGAAGAGGTGTCCCTGAACTAACATTGTAGGAAGCAGCATAGCATGAGACAGCCATTCCTTTTAACAAAGCCGTAGGAATGCCTTCTGTGTACAAAACAGTGTACTAGGTCCTGAAGCTATAAAGAGATCTATAAGACCATGATCTCTACCCATATGGCCAAAAATCTATTCACAGATGTTAAACATAGACATGTCACTTAAAACAGAATTGTCTTTGTCATTGGCTTATGGGCCCAAAATCTTACTTGTTTGGAATCCAGGTTAAAAAGGACAGGAGATGCAGTAATTTAACTGCCTTTTCAACTAAGAACTATACAATATTTTGAGTCATTGTTATTAAGGGGTAAGTGGAGAAGCAGAAACTTCCTTTGTCTTTAAACTTCTCAATTTCTTTTTTTTTTTTTTTTTTCCTCTGAGATGGGGTCTCTCTCTGTTGCCCAGGCTGGAGTGCAGTGGTGCTATCTCTGCTCACTGCAAGCCCCGCCTCCCGGGTTCACCCCATTCTCCTGCCTCAGCCTCCCAAGTAGCTGGGACTACAGGCGCCTGCCACCATGCCTTGTATTTTTTGTATTTTTAGTAGAGACGGGGTTTCACTGTGTTAGCCAGGATGGTCTCGATCTCCTGACCTCGTGATCTGCCCACCTCTGCCTCCCAAAGTGCTGGGATTACAGGCATGAGCCACTGTGCTCAGCCCATAAACTTTTCAATTTCTTACCTTCACAAGTAGCTAGTGCTGCTACTATACCCTTGAGATTTACAGAAGATAGTTTCCTCAGTAATTAATACCAACATGAGAGATCATCATAAAATGGTAATGGGCTATTTGGGAGTATAGTTTTTATATTTCCTGAGATGCTTGGTGCTAGTTAGGGTTTGAGGAGACTCAGCAACAGGAATTAATCTGGCACAGGAAACTCCTAAATTAACCAGTATAATGTTCCCAAGAGGTAGAAGAAATAGAGGACTGTAGTTCAAGCCTTAGGTTGGAAAGACTGTGCCATTGGGATTCATCTAAATACTGCTTCTGACTTCAAAGTGGGTAAGGCCCTCTATACTGTAACCATTTTACTGCAAAGGGGTGGTGGGATTTCCATTGGTTGCTGTCATTCTGGGTGGAATCGACTTATTTCCTTGACTTTTTTCTACTTCTTCCAGGCTCTGAGTTTCTGGTTCCCATCAGTGGATTTTATTGCCAGCTCTGTGAGGAATTTTTGGGGGATCCAATTTCTGGGGAGCAACATGTGAAGGGTCACCAACACAATGAGAAATACAAGGTTGGTCTTTGTAGTAGGCTGTGGAGTTTCCAACTTTTCTGAAGTAATTATTTTGACTTTGTCAAATGGCGTCCGAGCCAGAAAAAGCCATTGACACTTCAAATTCCATATAACCTCTAAGTTCTCCTCAATCCTAGTGGGAGATGCTCAGCAGATAGCATCCCGTATGTCCTTGAGGAAGATAATTCTGGGGATTTCTACTAAATGAATTCTAACAGTAGCGGGGCCAAGATTTTTTTCTCTTGTATTTTCACCAGTTTTTGAGTCTTTATCTTTTTTCTTCCCAGAAATATGTGGATGAAAACCCATTATATGAGGAGCGGCGGAATCTGGACCGCCAAGCTGGCTTGGCTGTGGTCCTAGAGACAGAACGGCGACGGCAGAGTGAGCTAAAGCGCAAACTTAGTGAGAAACCAAAGGAGGAGAAGAAAGAAAAAAAGGCAAAGGCTGTGAAAGAAGTAAAGGAGGATGACAAGGTCTCTGAGAAATTAGAAGACCAACTCTCTGAGGGTAGGAACTCCCCTGAAAAAGCTGAAAATAAAAGGAACACTGGCATCAAACTCCAGTTAAAAGAAGAGGTAAAGAAGGAATCACCAACATCATCTTCTTTTGGGAAATTCAGCTGGAAGAAGCCAGAAAAAGAAGAGGAGAAAAGTTCATTGGTGACCCCAAGTATCTCTAAAGAAGAGATTCTAGAAAGTAGTAAGGACAAAGAGGATGGCAAAACTGAAGCTGGGAAGGCAAAGCCTATCAAAATCAAGCTCTCTGGGAAAACTGTTGTTGCACATACCAGCCCTTGGATGCCTGTTGTGACAACTTCCACACAGACTAAGATCCGACCCAACCTGCCTATTCCATCCACAGTACTCCGCAAGTCATGTTCAGCCACAATGAGCAAGCCAGCTCCTCTTAACACCTTTCTGTCTATTAAGTCCTCTGGAACCACTGCTAAACCTCTGCCAGTGGTTAAAGAGTCTTCAGCTGATCTCCTCTTACCTCCAGACATCATCTCCAAAGCATTTGGAGGGGAAGAGGTGATTCTAAAAGGGTCTCCAGAGGAAAAAGTGGTGTTGGCTGAAAAGAGTGAGCCATCTCATTTACCTGAACAAATACTACCACCTCCTCCACCACCCCCACCTCCACCACCTCCACCACCCCCCGTTATACCTCATCCAGCTGCCCCGTCTGCTGCTCAAGCAAATGCTATCTTGGCTCCAGTAAAATCAAACCCAGTTGTATCTCAGACTCTCAGCCCTGGCTTCGTGGGTCCTAACATTTTGAACCCAGTGTTGCCTGTAGCCATCATGGCCTCAGCACAGCCAGCTGCCATTCCTTCTGATGAGACAGCTCCTGGGGTGAGTGAGAGTGACCGAGACCAGACCCTGTTCTCTGTGTTAGTACGTCCTCCACCACCCCTCTCAAGTGTGTTCAGTGAACAAGCCAAAAAATTAGAGAAGCGAAATTCATGCTTAGCCACAGCCAATGCTAAGGACCTGTATGACATATTCTATAGTAGTGGTGGAAAGGGGGCCCCTGAGACTAAGGGGGCCCCTGAGACTAAGCTAAGTGGTGGTCCATTGGCCAATGGGGAAAATAGCAACCTCTCTAGAACCAAAAGTTCAGACACCTCTTCTACTTCTCCTTTGAACAGCAGTGCATCCCAAGAGGAGTTGCATCAAGATGAGGGTTTGGTCGCTGCTCCTATAGTTAGCAACTCTGAAAAGCCCATTGCAAAAACTCTGGTGGCCCTAGGGAAATGGTCAGTTGTAGAACATGTAGGCCCAAAAAGCACAGGCAGCACCTATGGCTTCCTACAGCCTCTGACAAGGTTGTGCCAAAGCAGGCCTTATGAAACAATTACCCCAAAGACAGACACTTTGGCCATATGGACCTCTAGTTCCTTCCAGAGTGACACTAGTAGGGATATATCTCCAGAGAAGAGTGAGCTTGACCTGGGAGAGCCAGGACCACCTGGTGTAGAACCACCTCCTCAACTGTTAGATATACAGTGCAAAGAATCTCAGAAGTTGGTAGAAATCCACCTCAGAGAATCTGTTAACCAGGATAAGGAAAGCCAAGAGCTCCGTAAATCTGAGGATTGTAGAGAAAGTGAGATAGAGACAAACACTGAACTAAAAGAAAGGGTAAAGGAGCTGTCTGAGGGGATAGTTGATGAGGGAGTAAGTACCAGCATTGGACCCCACAGCATAGATGATTCTAATTTGAACCATGGAAACAGATACATGTGGGAGGGAGAAGTAAAACAGCCCAACTTGCTAATGATTGACAAAGAGGCTGAACAGTCCAATAAATTGATGACAGGAAGTGAAACTCCAAGTAAAGTAGTGATCAAATTGAGTCCACAGGCTTGCTCTTTCACAAAGGCAAAATTAGACTCATTTTTATCAGAAGCTAGGTCTTTACTCAACCCACAAGATACACCTGTGAAAATTTCTGCCCCAGAGTTGCTGCTTCATTCCCCAGCCAGATCAGCTATGTGTTTAACAGGTAGTCCACAAGAGCAAGGAGTTTCAGTTGTTAGTGAGGAGGGGCTAGAGAATTCAGCTCCAGAATCAGCTTCTAGAACTTCTAGGTACAGAAGTCTCAAACTCAAGAGAGAAAGATCAAAAGACTTTCAAGTTAAAAAGATCTATGAGTTGGCTGTTTGGGATGAAAACAAGAAGAGGCCAGAGACCTGGGAGAGCCCAGAGAAACCAAAAACAGAAGCACTGGAGCTACAAGATGTCCATCCAGAGTTAACAGTGACAATAGAAAGCAAGGCCCTAGAAGACTTTGAAGCTACAGACTTAAAGGTAGAGGAGCTTACTGCCCTGGGGAATCTGGGGGATATGCCTGTTGATTTCTGCACTACTCGGGTAAGCCCAGCACATAGATCCCCAACTGTCTTGTGTCAGAAAGTGTGTGAAGAAAATTCTGTATCACCTATAGGGTGTAATTCCTCCGATCCCGCTGACTTCGAACCAATCCCATCTTTTTCTGGGTTTCCGTTAGATTCTCCCAAAACCTTGGTGCTTGACTTTGAGACAGAGGGTGAACGAAACTCACCTAATCCCAGGAGTGTTAGGATCCCTTCTCCTAACATTTTGAAAACTGGACTTACAGAAAATGTTGACCGTGGCTTGGGGGGCCTAGAGGGAACACACCAGGCCCTTGACCTGTTAGCAGGAGGAATGATGCCTGAGGAAGTAAAAGAATCTTCCCAATTAGACAAACAAGAGTCACTCGGATTGGAATTAAAAACAATTAATTCTGCAGGCCTTGGGCCATCTCCTTGCCTTCCAGACCTTGTTGACTTTGTCACACGGACCTCTGGAGTTCAAAAAGATAAACTGTGTTCTCCACTCTCTGAGCCAGGTGACCCTTCTAAATGTAGTTCCCTGGAGTTGGGGCCATTACAGCTAGAAATATCGAATGCATCCACCACAGAGGTGGCAATTCTGCAAGTAGATGATGACAGTGGCGACCCTCTGAATTTGGTTAAAGCTCCAGTGTCAAGGTCCCCTCCAAGGGAGCAGGTAATTGAAGACAATATGGTCCCTCAGGGAATGCCTGAACAGGAAACTACAGTTGGTGCCATCCAGGACCACACAGAATCCAGTGTTCACAACTAAGAATAAATACCTAGAGCTACTTGTGAGTGAATCATTGGCTTCTAGAAATCAGAT
The DNA here is from genome assembly GCF_000001405.40 of Homo sapiens. NCBI lineage: Eukaryota > Metazoa > Chordata > Mammalia > Primates > Hominidae > Homo > Homo sapiens. The sequence continues at coordinate 43,337,103 of NC_000006.12, read as the reverse complement.
GCCCAGATGATCCAAGACTAGTTTGTTATCTCATCTGGAACCTACACCAAGAGATGCAGTCAGCATCTTAAAGTAAATGTTCATGGAAGCTAAAAAATTTACCTCCTTTCCTTTTCCCTTTCCCCTTAAAACACCAGACAAATCGATAACAACTTATATATATATATATATATCTGTAAAAATGTATTTTGTTAATTTTTTTGGCCAATTTATTTTCTCCCACTTTGTCATTAAAATCACATGTCTAACTGGCTCACCACATAGTGTGCTTTGATTGTATTTTGGCTTTGACTCTGCCATTTCTGAAATGTGGGGGAGGATGGAGGCAGCTGACCTCTCCAGTTGCTGTGTTGTATTCCTACCCAATTTCCTGGGCAGTTGATGCATCTCTGGGAAAAACACCAGAAAGCTTGCTGAAATGGAAAACTTGGAAGAATTGTTCATCTCTTAGGCTTCCATTTGGATGGGCCTGCCTTAACATTGTTTGAAATGCAGCGTGAGTAGCTCTTTTGTTTACTGTTTACACCCCTTATTGGCATGTCAACTCCTGTACTTCCCTTACTCTGTTGCCTTTCTTGAGATGCATTGTCCTGCTAACCCACAAACCTGTTTGGAAATAAACATGGAAGAATATCTGGCAGGCTTACTTTTAGAAGACGACAAATCGGTAAGGCTTATTCATGGTTCATTGCCAGGAGCAGATATGCTTTTGAGATCACTTTTATTTTTGAAATGGCCTTTGTTCATTGTATTGTGATCCAATAACACTTTGTATTAAATTGTTTAGCAGCCATTTGTGTTGTGAAGGGGTAGAAGATCTCTGAAACTTGTCTTGAGATTGAACTCATTCCCTGTTCCACAAACCCATATGTATCCTTTCCTCTACCTCCTCCTTTCCCAATTAATTTCAACCATAGTACGATGTTTGGGGTTGTATATTTTGTTAAAAAGATTAAAGAATTTATGAGTTGGCTTGGACAAGTTTAACTTTATTTTTAATGTGTTAATTACTTGGAATAAATGCATTAATCTCATGTTTCCTTCTGGATTTTTGTTTTGAAATCACACACATTTGAACTCCAAAGGAAAACTAGAACAGTGAATCCCTGCTGCCCTATTGTCTATCCGCACCCGCAACCATGCTTTCCTCACTTGTCAGAACTACTTCATGCCAGAATGTTAGGATATATAGTCTGCCCCAGCGCAGCCTGGGTGGGTAGTGAGTAGGCAACAGTTGTCTGGTATTGGTATCTTCCTGTTGTGAAGCTTTTTATATACCTTTGTGTTGACTCTCCGTAGGATTTTCTGGGAACTGAGCTCCCCTAGGACAATCAGGTTCTTGCTCTTGGGAATTAGGGAGCTCAGTCCTCAGATTTTCTCTGTCCCAGTTTCCTCTTGTATCCCTGTTGTCAGCAGTTTATAACCTGACTCAACAGGGCCTTCGGAGTCTTATTTACCCACCTGTTCCTCAAAGATAATACAAAATTGCTGATCTGGATTAACCTCCCCGCTCCCCCAATTTTTTTTTTCCTGTTTCCTTATGTACAGAGCTATAAAATCCCTAGGTCAACATTGGGAAGGATTTTTAATTTTTTTGACTAATGTCAATTTAGAAGTCATTCTGGCCTCTCTTATGTTATGGAAAGGACACAGATTTGGGAGAGCTAGATCCTTGACTGTGCCTCAGTCATTTACCTTGCTGTGATTTTAGACAAGTTAGTTTACCTTACTGTGTCACAGAGTTGTTTTGTGTTGTTTCCTTTGAGATAAGAATCGTTATCTTTATCCTAGCACCAATATGTACAGGGTCAGGGTATCCTGCCCATGTCACCTTTCTAGCCCTGGTTTTTAGGACAAAGCCTGAGTTCAATGCAGTTTTCTTGCTTGGAAACCATAGACTAACTCAAAAGGTGCCATTTAGAAGAGTTTAAACCCAAGTAAGCTTCAGAGAGATTTGTTTTCCCAGAGAACTACTCCCTCCCTGTTATAGCAGGTTATCTATAGGAATTCAGGGAACATAATTTTTAATGCCAGTTTGTGCTGATTTTCAGTCCTGTTCACTTAGTTCCACTTCCCTTTAGGGGGAGACTGATGGTTTTAGAGAAAGAGTTGGGAGGAGGTAACCATATCAAGATCCCAATCCTAACCTTACTTCCTCAGAGGGCATTGAAATCTTACCCTGTAGGTTAGGAGGGGGCTACTTGAGTGAGAAGAGAAAAAGAGGCAAAATTTATTGTAGGAAGGGCAGAACTAGTTCAGGTAGCTAGGGCTGGAGTACTTTGAGCCTAAGCTTTGGTAGTAACTCCTCTTGTATTCTCTGGATAACTTCAGGATTTACACCAAAGGCATCTACCAATCCGGCTTTTTCAAAAATAATGCTCACTTAAGAGTTACGGGAGTGACATTCTTTATATCTTCCTTGAACCAGCAGAGGGAGAACTTTGAGGATTCTGTATTCTGGGCAGGAAGTGTTGCTGCCTCCTTCCTTTTGGTTAGTGGGATCTAGCTTTGGAACCTATCCAGAGAAGACAGGTGAAAGGAAGGACAGAATTCTAACCCAGTAGCTGGAGATAGAGCATATTTTTTTGTTGTTCTCTACTATCACAGTACTGAATAAACTTTCAACTTAGGAGACTTAGGCACATGGAAGAAATGGGCCCTGAATTTTAAATGCAGCTTATGGTGTAATATAACTATGTTTTAAATTTTACAAACATCAGGAACAACTTTTATCAGATATCCTCAATTGTGAGAAGCAGATGATCAGCAATTATGTTTAAATTTGGGCAAATACCTAATTTTACCTAAGGTGTATAACCCGCTAAAAATTCCCCCTGGCCTTGCAAATGGGGGGCTTCCTGCTTTACAAGCCATATTATATTCACAGGGCACATAATATTCTGCTAATATTGCTGAATAATATAGTTAAGTATTACTTCGCCCATGACACTTCATCTTTCTAAAAAGTCAGAAAGTTAGTATTTTGGTAGCAGAGCATGCCAGCACATAGTCAATTTATCAGTCTGCCAGATTCCAGGACTGAGGAAGAATGGGGTGGGGAGGTGGACATACAGGACACATGCATCCAATAGGAACATAAAGTGTAATTTTAAAAATTGGAGGAGGGTTCAGAGAGGATGTAGCCTGTAACAGAAATAAGTGAGGTAGTTTCTTTTACATATATATATATGTATATATGTATATAGTTTTATATATACTATATATAGTATAGTTTCTTTTATATATATAATATAGATAATATATATATAAACATATATAGGCAAGCTTTGTTGATATATTAATATATATCCCTAAACCTTGGTTCTCACCTTAACAAAGCTTACATACTAAATCTAGGATAAGAACCTAAACAAAGTCTTCATTTATTAACGATTTATGTGAGAACATGGACAAATAGTTTTGTGAGCACATCTCTTTAGAGTTTAAAATTGCAGTAATTTTTATGTAATTTTTAACTAAGTTGTGTATACAATATTCATCGATAAGCCACGAAGTTGAATTTATAATGAAAATCTTCTACTCTTAAAATCACAACTCTCCTGATTTGCCCTCAACCCATATACACTTCCAGAAGAATACATATAAAACATGTATGTTTATGTTGTAGCATTTAATGTGGTTGTAATTTTACATTTATGTTTCTTTGATTAATATATGCTCCCCTTAAGTACATGATAAACTCCCCAAAGCAAGAAGTCTGTCTTTGCTTACTATTTTTTTAATCATTGTATTCACAGTGCACAGTTGTCTGGCATATAGCAGGTACTCAATAAAAATTCATTGAAAGAATCAATGTGGTAATAGTAGCTGTTTTTATTAACAAATTGTGAATACTTAGCAAATTATAAGTCAGTAAAAACTGTAAATTGCCTATTGTATTTTCTGGGTGTTTAGCACTCTAGAAGCCAGCTGTCCTCTTGCTTCTGTCCTGGGTCTTTGTATACAAAGCACTGTATCATTGAGGCATGTCAAGGTTGCCATTGGTTCCCTCACTTCAACAGCATTCTGGAATAATGGCACCAGGCCATGATGGGAACACTGCTTCTGCAGCTCCTAGAAGAGAAACTGAGGATGAGAAGGAGTTAAACTGACCTTACAGTTAGCAAAAACAAAAGGTTTTGGGGATCCAGTTTTCAAATGGCCTCCTTTTTCCTTCCAGCCAGACTTCATAAGCATGCTGAAGTCAGTCAAACCCCAAACCCCTCTGATTTGGTTGAAGAAGTAATTCAACAGTTTATGGTCTCCAGCATCCTCTTGTCATCTCATCAAAACTAAATCGTAACCAAAAAAGGTTGCCTTTGGGAGAGGGAAAAGGAATGCTATCACTTTTTATTTTGTATCTTCTGTTTTGTTTCAACATTGTGACCATGAAAATGCATTTTCTATAAAATATAAATGTTTTATAAACTATACACATGCACACACATACATGTATAAAATGATAACATGTAGTAAGGGTTATCCAGTGCTGTGGAATTATAGGCCAGTTTTTTTTTTACCCCTCTGTATACTTTTCTGTATTAAAATTATTTTTTTTAAGTTGTGTCTCTCCTACTCAGTGCATCCCTGTTTTCCTTCACACCTCTTGTCTGTTTTCCATCATTACAAATAGGTCCTGCTGCTTTTCCCTCAAGACTTCCTAAATTCTTCTATTCCCATCGATGCTGGGCAACATACCTTCTTCAGGAATGTCTTACCATTCTTTCCTTCTTCCTCTCTTCCTCTTCCCATTCTTTCCCCAACCTCTGTTGAACTGGTTGTTCATATTCATTAATGTTGTACAAGCACTTGGACATTAAATGATATAAATCAAGATACCTGTTTCACAAAGTAATACAGGTACACAAAAGATAAAAAAAGTCTGTCGCATGCAAAAGGACAGAAGATAACATCTAGATGTAATGATTTAAAGATTTACAGGCTTTGGTTCCATTTGTGGAGGATTAGGCAAGAAAGAAGTTTTGTAGAAAATAAGGGAAATGAGTATGTTTAAGGGAAGTGAACGAACAGGGTGAAAACAGAGGCAGAGTTACATAACGGGAGAACAAAAGGTAGAGGATGTGGAGAAAGCAGAGATAAAATCAGCCATATTAAGATATTATTTTATTTCGTCTCTCTGACACTCTGTCCCTGCTAAGTTTCCACCCAGCCTTCCTGTAACCACCTTCCTAAGGATGACTATGGTCACATTGTTACAGACTCTCACCCACTTATCTTCCTTTCTTTTCAGGGGCAATTCCAAAAGTCTTCAGATTTCCAAAAGGAAGGACTGCAGCAGACATTTCTGCCCCCAGAAAGGCAGGGATAGAAACCACAGAGGCCACGGAAATGATGGGTGCCCTTGTGGCCAGTAGGCAATCACCTGAAGGATCTGACTTCCAGAAGGTGGGTATGACTGATGGGGGTGGGGATAAGTTGTAGAGAAGATCCTGTCATTTTAGCTGCCAGGAAATGGTGAGTTGGGTGAGTGAATGTGTATATTGTTGTACCTGTAGAGGATGAACAAGATTAGAATGTACATAGAGGGTATGTATTTTAGACTTGCCACTCCTCACCTTATTTAGCATTGAATAAATTATTCCTGAAGTCCCATATCTCATTTTGTGCCATGATACTTACATTAAAGCTGTAGAGTTCAGGTCTTCATATTCTTCCTGGGCCCTAGTCTCCAATGTGCCCCTAAGTAGAACATCTCTTATCTCAGTTCTAGCCTCTTTTATTGGTCCATACAAAGACAAAGTAAAATTGGGTATGTCCTTAGAAGATTGGGGTATGAGTAAGCAAAGGAGACTCAGTGAAGCGGGGACAATCACAAAGGAGATGTTTGATCCTTCAATATCAGACTTCAGGGCAGCTGTCCACCAGTTTTCACTCTGTCTTGTACTTGTCCCACACACATTGAAACCTCTGGTACACAGTAGCAGGCAAGCATCATTTCAAAACACCAAGGAAACCCCTTACTCTCTGCTCATTTAAAATGCCAGTAGAGGACCAGGCATGGTGGCTCATGCCTATAATCCCAGCACTTTCGGAGGCTGAGGTGGGTGGAATGCTTTGAGGCCAGGAGTTTGAGACCAGCCTGGCCAACATGGTGAAACCCCATCTCTACTAAAAATACAAAAATTAGCCAGGTGTGGTGGCGCACACCTGTAATCCCAACTACTCAGGAGGCTGAGGCAGGAGAACTGCTTGAAACTGGGAGGCAGAGGTTGCAGTGAGCCAAGACCATGCCACTGCACTCTAGCCTGGGCAACAGAGCAAGACTCCGTCTTGAAAAAAATAAAATAAAATCCAAGTAAGGGCTGGGCATGGTAGCTCACACCTATAATCCCAGCACTTTGAGAGGCCGAGGTCAGCAGATCAGTTGAGCCCAGGAGTTCAAGACCAGCCAGGCAACATAGTGAGACCCTGTCTCTACAAAAAATAAATTAGTCCGGCATGGTGGTCCATGCCTGTAGTCCCAGCTACTCGGGAGGCTGAGGTGGGAGGATCGCTTTGAACCCTGGAGGTTGAAACTGCACTGAACTCTGATTGCACTATTGCACTCCAGCCTGAGCAACAGAACAAGACCCTGTCTCAAAAATAAATTTAAAAAAAACTAAAAATGGGCCAGGCGCGGTGGCTCATGCCTGTAATCCCAGCACTTTGGGAGGCTAAGGTGGGTGGATCACCTGAGGTCAGGAGTTCGAGACCAGCCTGGCCAACATGGTGAAACCCTGTCTCTACTAAAAATACAAAAATTAGCTGGGCATGGTGGCATATGCCTGTAATCCCAGCTACTTGGGAGGCTGAGGCAGGTGAATTGCTTGAACCCGGGAGGCAGAGGTTGCAGTGAGCCTTGATTGGGCTACTGCGCCTCAGCCTGGAGGACAGAGACACCAACTCAAAAAAAAAAAAAGGGCTGGGTGTGGTGGCTCATGCCTGTAATCTCAGTACTTTGCGGGGCCAAGGCTGGCAGATCACTTGAGGTCAGGAGTTCGAGACCAGCCTGGCCAACATGGTGAAACCCCATCTCTACTAAAAATACAAAAAATTAGCCAGGGGTGTTGGCAGTCATCTATAATCCCAGCTACTTGGGAGGCTGGGAGGCTGAGGCAGGAGAATCGCTTGAACCTGGGAGGCAGAGGTCACAGTGAGCCAAGATTGCGCCATTCCACTCCAGCCTGGGTGACAAGAGCGAAACTCTGTCTCAAAAAAAAAAAAAAAAGAAAGAAAGAAAAAGAAAAAAGGAAAAAATGCTAGTGGGTACCTTTTTTTTTGGAGGGGGGACAGAGTCTTACTCTTTCGGCCAGGCTGGAGTGGAATGGCGCGATCTCAGCTCACTATAACCTCCACCTTCCGGGTACAAACAATTCTCGTGCCTCAGCCTCCCGAGTAGCTGGAATTACAGGCGTGTGCCACCATGCCTGGCTAATTTTTTTATTTTTAGTAGAGATGGGGTTTCACCATGTTAGCCAGGCTGGTCTCAAACTCCTGACTTCAAGTGATCCACCCGCCTTAGCCTCACTAGGTGCTGAGGTTACAGGCGTGAGCCACTGCGCCTGGCCAAAAAATGCTAATAGGTACTTTTATTCCTCTTTGTACTTTGGGGCTATGGGCTCAGAAACACAGTGGGAATGAGAACCAGAACCTAGTAAAATTTAGCTGACCTTTAAATCCTGTAAACTCTGAGATTTATTTAAATCTAAGCTGTGTCAATTCCAGATTTATCCTGAAAACTATTAGGCTGGTTTTGTTTTTTTGTTTTGTTTTGCTTTTGGGTTTTTTTTTGAGACAGAGTTTCACTCTGTTGCCCAGGCTGGAGTGCAGTGGCGCGATCTCAGCTCACTGCAACCTCTGCCTCCTGGGTTCAAACGATTCTCCTGCCTCAGCCTCCCAAGTAGCTGGGATTACAGGCGTGTGCCACCATGCCTGGCTAATTTTTGTATTTTTAGTAGAGACAGGGTTTCACCACGCTGGCCAAGCTGGTCATGAACTCCTGACCTCAAGCGATCCGCCCCCCTCGGCCTCCCAAAGTGCTTGGATTACAGGCGTGAGCACCACGCCAGGCTGGTTTTGTTTTTGATTTGTAAGTCCAGGCATTTTTAGAGTCCTGGAGGTCTAGTTTACTGCCCAAATACATCTATGGTTTTAGTAACTTTCGGGAATATTCATGATATTAAGCAAAGCCATCAGTGGAATAAGAAGTCAATCAAGGGCAAAAAGTACCTCAGGGCCTCATGCTGCTGATATATTAGTTAAGGATTACTTATTCCTGAGGCATGACCTGGTGGATGAAGCAATGGAAAGCAACCTGGTGCCAGGGCTGCCAACACGTTGGTCACCACCACTTTCTCTCCTTTGTTCCAGCCCAAGATCTGTTTCTTATCAACTGTCACATTCCTCTGTTCAGGGACAGTCAAAGATGTTGGTCACAAGCTTTCATACAAACTATGACTCACAGCCCTACCTCCATCACCTGCTTTGCTGCTTAGACCTCAGTTCTCCAATGGTGTCTGAGCTGTACTGATCTGGGGGATAGGTGAGGGAAAGGGAACATTTTTTAGAATACTGTTTTTCCTTTCGGACTTCTTTTTTCTGTTATTATTATTCAAAAAGCTTCATTTTTATTTAGCTTTCTGACTCTTCAATACTTTTACAACAATTTTCTGCTCTTCAATAAGGAAAGCACGCTTGATCTTGTCATGAACACATTTAACACACATGGAACCACCATAGGCCCTGCTGACATGTTTTTTTTGTTTTCCACAATCTCATAAGAACTTTAGGTCTCACAGTACAAACCCCTTGAAGTCTGCCTGGGCACACACCACATGCAGAATTTGGTGCTTTCCCAACCTTCTTGGTATAAAGGTAAACAATTATATTACCAGGGGTTTGGGACAGCCTGGTTTTGTTAGAGGCTATATTGTAGGAAAGCCTATGATGGTATGTCAAATGCTGGACCATTCTGAGTGCCCCTACACAAGCTCAAAGGACTGCTCCTGAGAGCTCTAGGCTTCCTCAACTTTTCGATGGTGGCCGATTGTAAAGGAAATATAGACAGGGGAAAGAGAACGTCTGCCATACCTCTAGACCCCTTTGGACTTCTTTTATTTTATATGAATTCACATGTATTATGAATGATGAAATATGTAAGATCTTTTTTATTGAATTACAGTTAATATGTTGAATTTCACAAAACATAAAATTCACCTTTATTTTTTTGAGACAGGGTTTCACTCTGTCGTCCAGGCTGGAGTAGTACAGTCCTGCAATCATGGCACACAGCAACCTCCACTTCCTGGGCTCAAGTGATCCTTCCACCTTAGCCTCCCAAAGTGATATGATTAGAGGCGTGAGCCACTGTGCCTGGCCAAATTCACCATTTTTAAGTGTATAGTCCTGTGATTTTTCGTATCTTCAGTGTTGTACAACTATCACCACTATCTAATTCCAGAACATTTCCATCATCCTCTAAAAAAAAACATATACCCATTAGCAGATACTCCCAGTCACCCCTACTCCCAAGCCACTGGCAATCACCAGTCTCCTTTCTGTCTCTATGGATTTGCCTATTTTGAGCATTTAATATAAATGGAATCATACAATAAATTTCTTTTGTGTCTGGCTTCTTTCACTTAGCATAATGTTGTCAAAGTTCATCCATGTTATACCATGTATCATTGTATTTTATGGCTAGTTATTCCACTGTATGGATATACCATGTTTTGTCTACTAATTGTTGGACATTTGGGCTATTTTCATATTTTGCCTATTATGAATAATCTGTGAACATTCATGTACAAGTTTTTGTGTAAATATACGTTTTTAGTTCCCTAGGGTGCACAACTAGGAATATATAGTCATATGGTAACCGTTTAACTTTTTTCTTTTTTTTTTTTTTTTGAGATGGAGTCTAGCTGTTGTTGCCCAGGCTGGAGTGCAATGGCACGATCTCAGCTCACTGCAACTTCTGCTTCCTGGGTTCCAGCAATTCTCCTGCCTCAGCCTCCCGAGTAGCTGAGATTTCAGGCGCCCGCCACCATGCCCAGCTAATTTTCGTATTTTTAGTAGTGATGGGGTTTCACCATGTTGGCCAGGCTGGTGTCGAACTCCTGACATCAGGTGATCCATGCGCCTCGGCCTCCCAAAGTGCTGGGATTACAGGGTGAGCTACCATGCCCGGCCCCATTTAACTTTTTTCTTTTTTTTTTCTTTGAGACGGAGTCTCGCTCTGTCCCTCTGTTGCCCAGGCTGGAGTGCAGTGGCGCAATCTCGGCTCACTGCAAGCTCCACCTCCCAGGTTCAGGCCATTCTCCTGCCTCAGCCTCCTGAGTAGCTGGGACCACAGGCGCCCGCCAGCACTCATGGCTAATTTTTTGTATTTTTAGTAGAGATGGGGTTTCACCGTGTTAGCCAGGATGGTCTTGATTTCCTGACCTTGTGATCTGCCCACCTCAGCCTCCCAAAGTGCTGGGATTACAGGCGTGAGCCACCGCACCCGGCCTTAACTTTTTTCTAAGTAAACTTTTATATTAAAGTACAATGTTCATATTTTAAAAACAGGCTGGGCACAGTGGCTCATGCCTGTAATCCTAGCACTTTAGGAGGCCAACATGGATGAATCTCCTATCCATGTTGGATAGGATCAACATGCGGGAGGATCACTTGTGTCCAGGAGTTCAAGACCAGCCTGGGTGAAATAACAAGACCCTGTCTCTACAAAAAATAGAAAAATTAGCTGGGCATGGGAGCGGGTGCTTTTAGTCCCAGCTGCTCAGGAGGCTGAGGTGGGAGGATCGCTTGAGGCCACGAGGTAGAGGCTACAGTGAGCCATGATTGCACCACTGCACTCTGGCCTGGATGATAGTAAAACCCTATCTCAAAAACAAAAAACAAAACACATTACAAGTGTTAAGCTTAACAATTTCACAAAGTGAACAGACCTAGGTAACCAACACCCAAATCAAAAAATAAAATATGACCAACACCCTGGAAGCTCCTCTCATGTTATCTTCCAGTTACCACTTCCCCAAAATGTAACCAGTAATCTGACTGTTATAACAATCTCTGGTACTTTTTAAAAAAAAATCGAGGTGAAATTTACATTATAAAATATGTGAAATTTTCATCACCCAAAATAAAACACTATTTCCCTTAAGCAGTTAGTCCCCATTCCCACCTACCTGCAGCCCCTGGCAATCACCAATCTGTTTTCTTTCTATATTGATTTATCTATTCTGGACATTTCATATAAATAAAATCATACAATGTGTGACCTTTCATCTGTATTTTTGTGTTACTATTTTTTCACTTAGCATAATGTTTTTGAGATTCATCCATGTTGTAGTATGTATCAGTGTTTTATTCCTTTTCATAGCTGAATAATACTCCATTATATGTATATATCACAATCTGTTTATCCATTCATTTGCTGATGGACATTTGAGTTGTTTCCACCTTTGGCTATTTCGAATAATGCTGCTATGAACATTTCCTGCATAAGTATTTGAGTACCTGTTTTTTTATTCTTTCAGGTATTTACTAGAAGTAAAATTGCTGGGTCATACGGCTATTCTATGTTTAATTTTTTGAGGAACTGCCAGTTTTCCATAGCACTTGAATCATTTTACATCCCTACAGCATTGTACAATTTCTCCATAACACTTGTTATTCCCCTTTTTTAAAATATAACCATCCTAGTATCTCATCGTGGTTTCAATTTACATTTTCCTTATGACAGCGATACTGAGCATCTCTTTTGTTGTTGTTTTTGAGACAGGGTCTTGCTTTGTTGCCCTGGCTGGCATGCAGTGGTGGGAACACGGTTCACTGCAGCATCAACCTTCTGGGCTCCAGTGATCCTCCCACCTTAGCCTCCTGCGTAGTTGGGGCCAAAGGCACACACTACCACACTCAGCTAATTTTTTATTTTTTGTAGAGAACGGGGTCTTGCTATGTTGCCTAGGCTGGTCTTAAACTCCTGGGCTCAAGCAATCCTTCTATTTGGCCTCCCAAAGTACTGTGATTACAGGTGTGAGCCACTGCTCCCAGCAGTGAGCATCTTTTCATGTACTTACTGGCCATTTTTTTTTTAATTGAGACAGAATCTCACTCTCTAACCCAGACTGGAGTGCAGTGACACAGTGTCAGCTCACTGCAGCCTTCGCCTCCTGGGTTCAAGTGATTCTCCTGCCTCAGCCTCTGTAGTAGCTGGGATTACAGGCGTGGGCCACCATGCCCAGCTAATACTTGTATTTTTAGTAGAGATGGGGTTTTGCCATTTTGGCCAGACTGGTCTTGAACTCCTGACCTCAAGTGATCCGGCCGCCTTGGCCTCCCAAAGTGCTGGGATTACAGGGGTGAGCCACTGTGCCCGGCCTTATTGGCCGTTTTTATATCTTCTTTGCAGAAATATTTATTCAAGTCCTTTACCTATTTTAAAATTGGAATGTTTGTCTTTCTGTTGTAGAATTGTAAGGATTCTTTATATATTCTGCATACTGGTTTTTATCAGATATATGACTTACAACTATTCTCTAGGTTGTCTTTTCAGTTTCATGATATCCTTTGATTGCCAAATCGAAGGTCTTAAAGATTTACCCTTTTGTATTCTTCTAAGAGTTTTACAGTTTTAGCTCTTATGTTTAGGTTGTTGTTCCATTTTGAGTAATTTTTATGTATGGTGTGAGGGATCCAACTCCATTTGTTGCACGTGAATATCTGGTTGTCCCAGCACCGTTTATGAAAAGACTGTTTATTCGCCCATTAAGAATCATGGCACCCTTAGTGAAAATCAGTTGGCCATAGATGTATGGGTTTATTTCTGAACTCATCATTCTACTCCATTGATTTATATGTGTTTCCTTATGCCAGTCCCACACTGTTTTGCTTACTGTAGCTTTGTAGTATGTTTTGAAATTGAGAAGAAGGAGTCCACCAACCTTGTTCTTTTTCAAGATTGTTTTAGCTCTTTGGGCCCTGTTGCAATTTCATGTGAATTTGAGGATCAGCTTTTCCATTTCTGCAAAAAAATCTTGAAATTGTGATAGGGAATGCATTGAATCTGTAGATTGCTTTGAATATTATCATCTTGATATCAAGTATTCTGATCCCTACACATGGGATACTTTTTCATTTATTTAGGTCGTCTTTAATCACTTTCAGCAGTATTTTGTAGTTTTTGTGTATGTCTTTCACCTCCATGGCTAAATCTAATACTAAGTATTTTATTATTTTATATGCTATTGTAATTGGTTTCTTAATTTCCTCTCAAAGTATTCATTGCAGGTGTATAGAAACCCAACTGATTTTCATGTGTTGATCTTGTACCCTGAAACTTTGCTGAATTCATTTACTTGTTCTAGTAGATTTTGTGTGTGTATAGATTCTTTGGAAATTTTTATTTTTTATTATATTTTACTTATTTATCTATTTACTTATTTGAGACAGAGTCTTGTTCTGTCACCCAGAATGGAGTACAGTGGTGTGATCATGGCTCACTACACCCTCAGCCTAGGCTCAAGCAATCTTCCCACCTCAGTCCCCCAAGCAGCTGGGACCACAGATGTACACCACCATACCTGGCTAATTTTTAAAATTTATACTGCTCAGGCTGGTCTCAAACTCCTGGGCTAGAGCAGTTCTCCTGCCTCAGCCTCCCCAAGTGCTGGGATTACAGGAGTGAGCCACCACACCCACCCTGGGATTTTTATATGCATAAAATCATGTCATCTTACAATAGAGATAGTTTTTCTTTTTCTTGCCTAATTGCTCCAGCTAGAACTTCAATACAATGTTAAGTAGCAGTGGTGAAAGTAGCATCCTTGTCTTACTGCTGATCATAAGGGGAAAACTTTAGTCTGAGTATGAAGTTAGCTGTAGGTTTTTCATAGATGCCCTTTATCATGTTGAAGGAGTTCCCTTCTATTCCTAGTGTCTTGAGAATTTTTATTATGAAAGGGTGTTGGATTTTATCAAATATTTTTTCTGTGTCAATTGAGATGATCATATGTGGAGTTTTTTCTTTTATTAATGTGGTATATTACATTGATTGATTTTCTTTTCCTTTTTTTTTTTTTTTTTTTTTTGAGAGATAGTCTTGCCCTGTTGCCCAGGCTGGAGTGCAGTGGCGTGATCTCAGCTCACGACAACCTCTGCCTCCCAGGTTCAAGCAATTCTCCTGCCTCAGCCTCCTGAATAGCTGGGATTACAGGTGCAGGCCACCACACCTGGCTTCTTTTTTATATTTTAGTAGAGACAGGGTTTCACCATTTTGGCCAGGCTGGTCTTGAACTTCTGACCTCAGGTGATCTGCCCGTCTCAGCCTCCCAAAGTGTTGGGATTACAGGCGTGAGCCACTGCGCCTGGCCTCTATTGTTTTTCTATTCTTTATTTCCTTTATCTCTGCTCTAATTGTTTCTGTGTCCTTCCTCCTGCTAGCTTCTCATTTAATTTACATTTCTCTTTTCAGTTCCTCAAGGTGTAATATTTGGTTGTTGATTGGAGATCTTTTTTTTTTTTTTTTTTTTTTTTTTTTTTGAGACAGAGTCTTACTCTGTCACCCTGGCTGAAGTGCAGAGGCATGATCTCAGTTCACTGCAACTTCCACCTCCTGGGTTCAAGTGATTCTCATGCCTCAGCCTCCCAAGTAGCTGGGATTACAGGCATGTGCCACCACGCCTGGCTAATTTTTGTATTTTTAGTAGAGATGGGGTTTTACCATGTTGACCAGGCTGGTCTCGAACTCCTGCCCTCAGGTGGATCCGCCCGCCTTGGCCTCCCAAAGTGCTGGGATTACAGGCGTGAGTCACTGCACCTGGTCAGATTGGAAATCTTTTAATAAAGTAAGTGTTTACAGCTATAATTTCTCTTGGCACATTTTTAACAGCGTCCCATAAGTTTTGAAGTGTTGTGGTTTTGTTTTTATTCATCTCAAAGTGTTTTATACCTTCTTTTATGAGTTCTTTGACTCATTGATTGTTTTAGGAACGTATTGTTTATCCAGGTGTAGTGGCTCATGCTTGTAATGGTTTACAGTGTAATCCCAGCATTTTGGGAGGCTGCGGTGGGAGGATTGCTTGAGGTCAGGAGTTTGAGATCATTTCAGGCAACAAAGCAAAACTTCACCTCTACCAAAAAATAAAAATAAAAAGTTAGCTGGCTGTGGTGGCTTGAGCCTGTAGTCCTAGCTACTCAGGAGGCTGAGGTGGGAGGATCACTTGATCCCAGGAGTTCAGGGTGCAGTGAGCTATGGTTATGCTACCACACTCCAGCCTGGGTGACAGAGCAAGACACTGTTCAAAAAAAAAAAAAAAAGAACGTGTTGTTTAATTTCTATATGCTTATGAACTTATCAGTTTTCCTTGTTACTGATTTCTAGCTTCATTGCATTGTGGTTGGTGAAGATACTTGTATGATTTAGGTATTTTTCTAATGTATTATTTTGTAGCCACACTTGCTTTATGACCTAACACATGATCTGTCCTGGAGAATGTTTCATACACTTGAAAAGAATGCACATTCTGCTATTGTTGGGTAAAGTGTTTTATATGTCTGTTAGGTCTACTTGGTTTAGTGTTGTTAAAGTCTTCTGTTTTCTTATCAAACTTCTGTCTAGATGTTCTATTTACTATTGAAGTGTCGTACTGGAGTCTCCAACTATTATTGTAGAACTGTCTATGATCAGCTCTCCATAACCATGGATTCCACATCCACAGATTCAACCAATCATGAATCAAAAATATTTGAAAAAGTTAAAATAAAAAATAATAATACAACAATTAAAAAATACAAATAAAAACAATTGTAGTATACCAACTGTTTACATAGCATTTATATTTTATTAGGTATTATAAGTAATCTAGAGATTATTTAAAGTATATAGGAGGATGTACATAGGTTATATGCAAATAGTACACCACTTCATATAAGGGATTTGAGTACTTGCAGAGTTTGTTATCCAACAGGGGTCCTGGAACCAATCCCCTGCATATACAGAAGGACAACCATATTTCTCTCCCTTCAGTTTTGTCAGTACTTGCTACATATATGTTGGGCTTCTGTTGTCTGATGCATGTATGTTTATAGCTGCTATATTTCTTCTTGATCATTTGACCCTTTTATCAATATATAATGACTTTCTTTGTCTCTTGTAACAACTTTTTTTATTTTATTTTATTTATTTATTTATTTTTTTAAGAAACAGGGTCTTGCTCTG
This sequence comes from Homo sapiens, assembly GCF_000001405.40. Lineage (NCBI taxonomy): Eukaryota > Metazoa > Chordata > Mammalia > Primates > Hominidae > Homo > Homo sapiens. The sequence continues at coordinate 43,320,881 of NC_000006.12, read as the reverse complement.
TTGCTTGGGTAGGCATGAGTGCAATGGCAGGATCATAGCTCACTGCATCCTTGAGCTCCTGGACTCAAGCAATCCTCCCACTTCAGCCTCCAAGTAACTGGGACTGTAGGCTCATGCCATGGCGCCCAGCTAATTATTTTAAAATTATTTTGTAGAAATGGGGGTCTCACTGTGTTGCCTAGGCTGGTCTTGAACTCCTGGCGTCAAGTGATCCTCCTTCCTCAGCTTCCCAAAGTGCTGGGATTACAGGCATGAGCCACTACATTCAGCCTCTTTTAACAATTTTTTTTACTGAAAGTCTGTTTTATCTGGTGTTAGTATATCTATCTCAGCTCTCTTTTGATTACTATTTCCACGGAATATCTTTTTTCATTCTTTTCAACCTATGTTTATCTTTGGATCTAAAATGAGTCTCCTTCAGGTAAGAAAGGAGCTGTAAACAAAATTTTAAGAAGAATAAAGTAAAATAAAATGAATCTCTTATATACAGCATATAGTTGGATCATGTTTTTTCTTATCCATTCTGCCAATTTCTGTCATTTAATTGATGTTTTAATCCATTCAGCTTACTCTGACAAAATAGCTTAGATTGGGTAATTTAAAAACAACAGAAATTTACTGCTCACAGTTCCAAAGGCTGGGAAGTCCAAGATCAAGGTGCTTACAGATTTGGTGTCTGGTGAGAACCTTCTTCCTCATAGATGAAAGTCTTTTCACAGTAACCTCACATGGCAGAAAGGGCAAACAGGTTCCCTGGCCTCTTTTATAAAGGCACTAATCACATTCATGAGGCCTCTGCCCTCATAGTCTAACCACCTCCTAAAGGCCCTATCTCTAAATATTATTGCATTGGGGATTAAGTTTTAACATAATTATGAACTAGTTCATAATTGAACTTGTTCATAATTATGTTCATAATTGAACTTGCTTTTTCCTCAATTTTCCAGTACATTTTTTTCCAGCCTTTATTTTCCAGCCCTTTTTTTTCCCACCATGTTATCTTTTAAATCATGCATTAAGCAAATACGTATGTAAAACTACCTACAATATCATAACTTTACACAAGATGATATAATTCTTGTTTTGTTTTGAGGCAGGGTCTTGTTCTGTTGCCCAAGCTGGAGTGCAGTGGCATGATCACAGCTCACTGCAGCCTCAATCTCCTGGGCTCAAGCAATCCTCCTACCTCAGCTCCTAAGTAGCTGGGACTACAGGTGTGTGCCACCACACCTGGCTAATTTTTGTTTTTTGTGGAGACAGGGTTTCACCATGTTGCCTAGACTGGTCTTGAACTCCTGGGCTCAAGCAATCCACCCACCTTGGCTTTCCAAAATCTGGGATTATAGGCATGAGCCACAGCACTTGCCAGATATAATTCTTTTTTTTTTTTTTTTTTTTTTTTTTTGTGATGGAGTCTTGCTCTGTCGCCCAGGCTAGAGTGCAATGGTGCGATCTTGGCTCACTGCAACTTCCACCTCCCAGGTTCAAGTGATTCTCCTGCCTCGACCTCCCAAGTAGCTGGGATTACAGGTGCCTGCCATCATGCCCGTTTATTTATTTTTTTTTAGTAGAGACAGGGTTTCGCCATGTTGGCTAGGCTGGTCTCAAACTCCTGACCTCAGGTGATCCACCCGCTTTGGCCTCCCAAAGTGCTGAGATTACAGGTGTGAGCCACCACACCCAGCCTCAATATATTCTTATGTGCAAGAAACATTTATATTGTATAAAGATACGTGTTTTGTTAATTAGGACCCTTGGGGTTGTGTCAGAAACCTAATACTTTCTATATTGTCTAGTGGTTAAGAAGAAGAAAAAAAGAAACCTAATGCAAATAAACTTAAGAAAGACGATCGGAGTGGTGACTTATGGGTTGGTAACCAGGAAACTGAGAGCCACATCCAGAAGGTCAGAGATGTCATCTGGATTCTCTCTTCCCCAGTCCTTCTGCTCTGCTTGGCCTTATTTTCAGAAGTCTCTCTACTCAGAGGCAAGATACCCCCTTCAGTTTCAAGCTGTCTGGTCCTTATAGGCTTCTATCTAGAAATTGAGAGTATATCCTTTCTTATAATACCAGTCTTAGGGAGGATGATGATTAGTCTGATTTGAGCCACATTTCTATACCTGAACAATTACTATGGTCAGATGGGTGAAGTACTCGGACCAGGTCCAGGTTACAAGCTCATCATAAGAAGGCAGGGTCTGCCTTATTAAACCACATAGACAAATTTGAATTAACATGGAATAGGGAGAGATGAGGTTCTTCAAAGGAAATGCTTCAAAGTAGAAAATAAAAATATAAAGCTACAAAGGTTCAGTGCCTTCTTTGTAGACTTTCTCTTTATGGCTTTTATCAAAAGATCAGTGTTCAGTTTCTTGTCTCCACTAAGATGCTGCCTTCTTTTTTGGTAATAGGAGGGTAGAAATTACAAATAAGCGCTTTATAGCTCTGCCTGTTCCAAAAGCCCAGGAGAAGAAGAGGAAAAGCCCAATCATTTTGGATTTGGGAAGAGGGTGGAATTTGACTCCTGATTCTGTGACCTTGAGCTTCATAGAGGAAATGAAAGACTCCTCTATGGAAAGGTAAGCATTTGCATTTGTATGAATCACAAGATTAAACTGTTTTAGCCTCATTAACATAGCATTAACATAGTCTCATGACCTGTAAGGACTATTTTTGTATATTATTTAAAAATTACCCTCCAGACCTTAGCATGAAGATGAGGAAGTTACTAGGACTTTACGCCAACTCCACGGAGCATTGCCACCATCTATCAGATTTATAAGCAAGCTGACTACCAAGTTTCACTTCTTTCTATTCCTCCTCAGTTTCCAGCATATGGATACATTTTTCATGCTGCAAATTATTTGTAGGTAGTTATTTTTATATATTTTCAGATGAAATACACATTTCTAAGTGAATACTTGAAAAGCCAAATCCATCTTTGCATGAAAAACCATCGTTTAAAGATGTTATTGATTTCTTCGCAAACATAGGTTGAAGGCACTCATGGCAAAGGTTTAGGGTGTCCTTTCCTGCAGTCTTGATTCTGAATTAGTCTAGTTGATGCCACTGAATCACAAAATGTAGCCTACTCAATATCCCTAAGCAGCTAACCACTATTAGCTTTATACAGAGTACTCTCAACAGGTTCATGTAATGGCAAGATGATGCTGGAAAATGAGGGGGAAAAAAATTAAACAGACTCTTGCTAGAGCCATAAATGATGTTTATAACTATACAGCAGCAGTTCTCTGTGGGTGGGGTGATTAGTATGTTTTAAGAAAGCAAATTCAGTCTTTTTTTGTTTTGTGTGTGTTTCCCTTTTTAAAAAGTAATATAAACTACAGAAAGTAAAGCTTTGTAGTTGGAGCAGACATGCAGAAGATGCAATGAGAAAGCAAAAGGTTTATGGGTAGTAAGGATTAAGAAACACAACTATAAAGAAATAAGACTGATTTTTCATTAACTTACCAGAACTGAGTGATTTCCCTTTCAAAAGAGTTATCTAAGAACAAAGTTCTGGGTAATGCCTTAAAAGTCACAGGCATGGCCGGGCACAGTGGCTCACGCCTGTAATCCCAGCACTTTGGGAGGTCAAGGTGGGCAGATCACAAGGTCAGGAGTTCAAGACCAGCCTGGCCAACAAAGTGAAACCCCATCTGTACTAAAGATACAAAAAATTAGCCAGGCATGGTGGTGCATGCCTGTAATCCCAGCTACTTGGGAGGCTGAGGCAGGAGAATTGCTTGAACCCGGGAGGCAGAGGTTGCAGCCAGCCAAGATCACGCCATTGCACTCCAGCCTGGGTTACAGGGTGTGTCTCTGTCTCAAAAAAAAAAAAAAGTCACAGGCATATGACCATGTACTTGAACAAGCCTACAAAGACATAAATGGGTGGAGTTTGTTGTTGTAATCAAATTCACTGCAAAGCTAACCTGACACATAATAGCAGCCTTATTTATAAGGTTGCTTTATAGTTTACATAACACTTCCCCACATTCTCTTATTTGCCACATAATTAATGATAGACATAATTGTGCCACATGCTAATTAAGCTTAATTAGTAAGTTCTTATGAATGACTACAATTGGTGGGACTTGTTTGCTACCAAAAGCAAATTTTCAGTTCTCTATTTACTTAATTAGTTACCTACTATTTATAATCAGGATCAGTTAAGTTATATTTTCTGTTTTGTATCATACATGTTGATCCTCATGTATATTGAGAAACAAAACTCCTGGCGGGGCACAGTGACTCACAGCGCTTTGGGAAGCCAAGGCAGGAGGATCTTTTCAGGCCAGGAGTTCAAGACTAGCCTGGGCAACGTAGTGGAACCCCATCTCTACAAAAAATAAAAAATTAGCGAGGTACAGTGGCACATGGCTGTAGTCCTAGCTACTTAGGAGACTGATGGGGGGATTGCTTGAGCCCAGGAGTTCCAGGTTACAGTGAGCTGTGACCTGTACTCCAGCCTGGGTGACAGAGCAAGATCCTGTCTCTTGAAGGAAAAAAGGAAACAAATTCCTGAGACCTTATTCCTAGGCAGCTGAACTTCCTTCACTCCAGGACACTCGTTGTTACCAACTCTCAACCTCTACCAGTCCCCTCTTATTCCCACATCTCTCACTAGCACTCATCTATCACACTCAGGGGGACTTGTATATAACATGTAACATTCATTCACCAGCAAGTATTTGTTGAGCACTATGTGCCAGAGATTTGAGCAAGGCACTGGAAATATATGCAATGGTTGGCAAAGCAGCCTGGTCCCTGCTCTCATGGATCTCACAGACTAAGGGGGCAGACAAAGCCCAGATTGGAGTGGAGGAGGTAGGCAGGAAGTTACCATATTTATTTCACTTTCTAAACTACAACCTGTCCTTTATCAATAATAAAGATGATGGGCTGGGTGGTGGCTCATGTCTGTAATCCCAGCACTTTGAGAGGCCAAGGTGAGTGGATCACTTGAAGTCAAAAGTCCAAGACCAGCCTGGCCAACATGGTGAAACCTTGTCTCTACTAAAAATACAAAAATTAGCCGGGCATGGTGGCACACTCCTGTAATCCCAGCTACTAGGGAGGCTGGGGCAGGAGAATTACTTGAACCTGGGAGGCAGAGATTGCAGTGAGCTGAGATCATGCCACTGCACTCCAGCCTGGGCAACAGAATGAGACTGTCTCAAAATAGTAATAATAATAATAATAAAGGATCTCTGTTTGTCTTTTATTTCTTATTTGGTTCAGCACTCAGGGAAAACACAGCTGTCATAGTTTGGGCCCCCTCTACCCTCCAGGAGAGGATGGTGGTATAGAAACAGTGCTTGGGGTCAATAACCTGGTGTGGAGTAGTTGAGGGGGAGCTGAGGTTAGGTAGGAATTGATGAGGTGAAGATACTGGGGAAGTGAATTCTCAGAAAAGATGGCCTTTGCAAAAGCCCTGAGGCAGAATAGAACTTAACAGATTCAAGAAGCTCATTTGATGTGGATGGAGGGGTCGATGCAACAGGAGAAATGGCTAGAAGACTGGAAAAGTGGAGGGTCCTGTCTTGAGGATACTGAGAAATCATGGAAAGGTTTTAATGACATTTCCCTGCCCCTTGCATCTCAACCCATTATTTTCCTGGATAGGCCCTCTTATCTTCAGGTATGGAGGTGCTGTGCAGACAAGTGTAGTGTCTTTTCAGGTTGAAACACATGGGCAAAAACCATGCTTAGGGGGGTATAGAGTGGAAAGAGTATGGGCTCAAGAGTCAGAATGCTTGGGTCTGTATGATGTTTTACACATTTCTTTTTTTCTTTTTCTTTGAGACTGAGTCTTGCTCTGTCGTCCAGGCTGGACTGCAGTGGTGCGATCTCGGCTCACTGCAACCTCCACCTCCCAGGTTCAAGCAATTCTCATGCCTCAGCCTCCTGAGTAGCTGGGATTACAGGCACCTGCCACCACGCCCAGCTAAGTTTTTTGTATTTTAAGTAGAGACGGGGTTTCACCATGGTGGACAGTCTGGTCTCGAACTCCTAACCTCAGGTGATCCTCCCACTTCGGCCTCCCAAAGTGCTGGGATTACAGGCATGAGCCACCGCACCTGGCCAAATGTTTTACTAATTTCGTAACCTTACCAAGCCACTTTCTTTTTTATACAATTGGGAATGTAACATTTCTACCCTTCATCAGCTCTAGTAATGCCCTCTTTCTAACACAAGTTTCAAGCTCCTTTTTGGGAAAGGAATCACAGAATCATAATTGTTAAATCATGAAGAGGCTTTAAAGTTCTATCTGCATATGATATTTGGATACCTTCTGCAACACTGAGGATCAGTTGGTTTATTGTCCAGTATTGTGTCCAGAAACAGGAAGCTCACCACTGTCTGAAGCAGCCACTCTATATTGGGGCTCTATTAAAAGGGTTTTGGAGGGGACCTAATCCAAATCTGCTTCCCTGTGTTCTCTCTCCAGGGGTCTTGGTAGTACCCCTAATGCCTTTTCCATGTGACAGCCCTCCAGGGACTAGAAGTCACTATCTCTACGGGACCACTTACTCACCTAGAATGGAAAAGCTTGTTTCTTCAGCTTTTCTAACAACACTAATCAAACGGTTAATTCCTCGAGCAAACACAATCCTGAAACATTTATGTACCTAATAATAGAGCTTAAAAACATGAAGTAAAGTTAGTGGGAGAGTTTAATAATAATAGCTATCATTTACTGATTACCTATACTGCACTCACTGTTAAAGATACACAGATAATTCTCCATCAGTTCTGTCAAAGTCAAACAAGTAAACAAGTGTCATACAATGTTACAGATACTGTAACAGAGGTCTGTGCAGGAAAAAGGCAGGGCGGGCACTAAGGGAACAGTGGTCTTTGTGAGAAAGAGGCCTGCCTCTAATGGGAGATGACACAAACTGCACCTTAACAATTGAGTAATACCTTCTTTGAGGTGGACTTACCCATCTGTAGTATTTATTAAAATATCATTTTAGAGACTTTAGTCACACCAACTGTTCTTCAAAACATCCACTGTCAGTAACTCAAATGCATTCCTACAAGAAATGTGTTTTCCCAGTTATTCTTTACATAGCTTCTGTTCGAGTCAATAATGGAAACCAGGCAAAGAAGAAAAGTGGACTACTGTAATTTGCTGTACCTGCAAATGCATAGTGCAAGTGTTTGGAAGGGTGGAGCCTCAACTAGTCTTTCCTAAGCACTGAAATAGAAGAGCCGAAGCATATTGTGAGATTAGGCCATACAATAAAGGCCCTACAAGATGTGGGGAGCAGTAAAGCATTTGCGCCACTGACTGATTGCAAGCTATGTGAAAGCAACATGGGACTCACACCGCAAGGTTTGTTCCTTTGTGTTGGGCCCTGTGCTAGATGCTGGGGTAAAGATGACCTGCCCAGGCAGATGAGGCAAGCACACAAGGTAATCCAAGACAGAAAGTGCTAGAGAACCTTGGAAAAGGATTATTTGATGTGTCCTGGAAGTTCTGAGAACCTGGGAAGATGAAATTAGCCTTCCTTGAGGAGGCAGCATATCTAAGAATAAACATACCAATGCAGTCCTCCCAACCTCCTGAAGTGGGTACTTCTCTCTGAGAGCCATAGGGAGCAAAAGTCAGTAAACCTGTAGCTTCTTCCTCCAAGAAGAAACTAATGACTCGAAGATGTACAAGTGGCAAACAGGTATATGAAAAGATCATCAACATAATTGATCATACAAATACAAATCAAAACAGATAACATCTCACCCAAGTTAAAATGGCTTTTATCCAAAAGAGAGGCAATAAGAAATGCTGGCAAGGATGTAGAGAAAAGGGAACACTCATACACTGTTGATGGGAATGTAAATTAGTACAGCCACTGTGGAGAAGAGTTTAGAGGTTCCTCAAAATCTAAAAATAGAGCATAGCAATATACGATGTAGCAATCTCACTACTAGGTAACCACAAAAACTAAAAATTATTATTTTTTGAGACTGAGTCTCACTCTGTTGCCCAGGCTGGAGTGCAATGGTGTGATCTCAGCTCACTGCAACTTCCGCCCAGGTTCAAGCAATTCTTGTGCCTCAGCCTCCCGAGTAGCTGGGATTACAAGCGTGCACCACCATGCCTGGCTAATTTTTGTATTTTTAGTAGAGACAGGATTTCACCATGTTGGCCAGGCTGGTCTCGAACTCCTGACCTCAAGCGATCCACCCACCTCAGCTTCCCAAAGTGCTGGGATTACAGGCGTGAACCATCGCGTCCGGCTTCATTTCTTTTTTAAATAATTTTTAGGCCAGGCACGGTGGCTCACACATGTAATCTCAGCACTTTGGGAGGCCGAGGCACATGGATCACTTGAGGTCAGGAGGAGTTCGAGACCAGCCTGGCCAACATGGTGAAACCCCGTCTCTACTAAAAATACAAAAATTAGCTGGGCGTGGTGGCGCGCACCTGTAGTCCCAGCTACTCAGGAGGCTGAGACAGGAGAATTACCTGAACCCAGGAGGCAGAGGTTGCAGTGAGTCGAGAACGCACCACTGCACTCCAGCCTGGGCAACAGAGCGAGACTCTGTCTCAAAAAAAAAAAAAAAAAAGAAAAGAAAAAAAAAAAACAAGAAATGAGAGGCAGAAACAAGACAGGAAAATTCAGTGGAAGCTAAAACTAATATTTTTCAAATTTGTTAAAGAAGAAGCCTTTCAAGAAACAGTTATAAAACTAAGCATCTTGAAATATTCCCTGAAACAAGAAACAAATAATGAGAAAGTGTAGAAAAATTACAGTGTGGAAGGCTTCTACCCTTAGAACTTAAGAATGATAAAACAAGTGTTATAAGTAAAAAGGATTGATGGAGACAATTCAGGAACAGGAATATCCAGTGGAAGTTCATAGACCCCAGTCCCTACCCCATTACCCAGATGAAGGAACTGATGTCCCAAGAGGAGACACTTAAGACAGTGCGCCTTTCACCTAGCAGAGCACAGCACTGCAGTCCATTGATGAATTTGGTGCAAGCCCTTCCTCAACGGATTTGATGTAACAAAGGAACTTACTCAAGAAAACTCGGTTTCACTTCCATCCTTCATAGAGGGATTGATTATTGTCTCCTCTGCTGGGACACTGGCACAAGTTTATCAGCTCTTCCCTCCAGCTCTTCATTGGCTACCTTTCCCCCCAGTCCCCCTGCCTTTTTTTTTTTTTTTTTTTGAGACAGTCTCACTCTGTTGCCCAGGCTGGAGTGCAGTGGCGTGATCTCAGCTCACTACAGCCTCAACTTCCCGGGCTCAGGTGATTCTCTCACCTCAGCCTCGCAGGCACATGCCACCAAGCCCAGCTGATTTTTTGTAGAGATGAGGTTCGCCATGTTGCCCAGGCTGGTCTCTAACTCCTAGGCTCAAGTGGTCCACCTGCCTCAGCTTCCCAAAGTGCTGGGACCAGGCGTAAGCCACCACTTCTGGCCGCCTTTTTTCTTTAGTTTTCTTCAGGTTCTATTGTTGTTGTTGTTGTTGTTGTTAAGACATTACGCATATACCATAAAATTCGCCTTTTTAAAGTCTACAGTTCATGCTTTTTAGTATATTTCCAAGGTTGTACAAACATTACTGCTATCTAATTCCAGAACATTTTTATCTTCCCATAGAGAAGCTTCGAACCCATTAGTGGACATTTCCAATTCCATCTCCTTGACTGGCCAACCACTAATCTACTGTCTGTCTCTGTGGATTTACCTATTCTAAATATTTCATATGAATTGATTCATATGATATGTGGCCTCTTGTGTCTTGCTTTTCTTACTTAATGTTTTTATGGTTTACCTGTGTTGTAACATGCATCAGTATTACATTCTTTTTTACAGTTGAGCAATATTCTATCATACAGATATACTACATATTGTTTATCCATTATCAGTTAATGAACTTTTGGGCTGTTTCTACCTTTTGACTATTGTAAATAGTCCTGCTATGAACATTCATGTACAAGTTTTTGTATAGACATATGTTTTCATTTCTCTTATATACCTGGGTATAAACCTGGAAGTGGAATTGCTGAGTCATATGGTAACTCTATGTTTAACTTTTTGAGGAACTGCCAGACTGTTGTCCAATGTGGCCACACCATTTTATGTTGCCACCAACAATGTATGAGGGATCCAATTTTGCCACATTCTTGCCAATATTTGTCTCTTTAATTATAACCATCCTAGTCAGTATAAAATGGTATCTCATTGTGGTCCTAATTTGCATTTCCCTAATGACTATTGATATTCAGCATCTCTTCATGTGCTTATTGGCCATTTGTGTATCTCTAGAAAAACATCTATTCAAATACTTTGCTCACTTTTAATTGGGTTGTCTTTTTGTTATTGCATTATAAGTTATTTATATAATCTGGTTACTAGATCCTTATCAGATTTGCAAATATTTCTTCCATTCTCTGGATTTAAATTTCTTGAAATATCCTTTGAAGCACTATTGAACTACTTTTTTTTTTTTCCACCAGTTGTCAAATGATCCTTTATTGAAATATTTTCCTTTGTGCTTAACTGGCTGGGCATTCCACAGAACCACTGTTGATATCATCTATGATGTCATGAGGGTGGCGGCCATCAACATTACAGCCCACAGACTGGGCAGTCCCCAGGATCTCTTTAATGGTGCCAGAGAGTCTATTGAACTACTTTTAACAAATATTTATCTGGGCATGGGGGCATATACCTGTAATCCCAGCACTTAGGGAGGCCCAGGCAGGTGGATCGCTTGAGCCCAGAAATTCGAGACCAGCCTGGGCAACATGGCAAAACCCCATCTCTACAAAAAATACAAAAATTAGCCAGGTGTGGTGGCATGTGTCTGTAGTCCCAGCTACTCCAGAGGCTAAAGTGAGAGGATCGCTTGAGCCGGGCAGGTGGAGACTGCAGTGAGCTACGATGCACCACTACATTCCAGCCTGGGCAACAGAGACCCTGCCTCAAATAAATACATTCATTAAAAACACAAATATTTAAAAATTTTAAAGCAAACCAGATTAGAAATGTGTAGTTGGTTTTCATTTTTATTTATTTATTTATTTTGAGATGGAGTCTCGCTCTTGTCCCCCAGGCTGGAGTACAGTGGTGCGATCTCGGCTCACTGCAACCTCCACACCTCCCGGTTCATGCGATTCTCCTGCCTCAGCCTCCCGAGTAGCTGAGATTACAGGCATGCGCCACCACGCCCAGCTAATTTTTGTATTTTTAGTAGAGACGCAGTTTCGCCTCGATGGCCAGGCTGGTCTTGGACTCCTGACCTCAGGCGATCCGCCCACCTTGGCCTCCCAAAGTGCTGGGATTACAGGTGTCAGCCACTGTGTCCAGCCACCCTACAGCTTTAGGAGTAAACGATTGTATACAGACCATGTTCTGAGGCTTCCAAACCGAGTCTTGAGTTCATTAAGGGATCCATCATAGTGATAGCTATAGCTGTTACAGCGTTTACATGCCAGGCGCTGTTTGGGCACTCTACATGTATTAACCTATTTAACTCTCATAACAATCCTATGAGGCAGAGACTGTTATCATACTCATTGCACAGATGAGAAAATGGAGGCAGAGAGGGAGGTTCAGTAATTTGCCTGAAGTCAAAGAGTAGGGTACCAGAGACGGGCTCCAGATTTTGTTGCTTTCAACCACTTGCTATACTGCCAAGGTGGAATTTTGCATTTCAAAGAATGCCTACTCCCTCGCTTTGGAGAGAGTAGTGTTTTAATGATGTCTGCACTGTGGACATTTTTCCTGTCCTTACCGCTCCAGAAACTAGTAGAGCTCCCTGTCCAGGTGTCTTCGTTACACATGTGCCTTCCTAGTCTGGAGTCCACGGCTTCAAGATCCTCTCTCCTCCCCGTGGGTCTGACCGAGGCTTTAATGCTCTTTGAAGTAACAGCGAAATAGCCCTTTGTCTCCCAAGTGGAGTGGTTCTAAATTTCTGATAACCAATGAGCGCCGAGGAACCGCGGATTCCGCCCAGGGAGGCTCAAAGCTGAGCCGTGGGTGGAGCCTGCGGAGGGGGCGGAACTGAGCCGCAGCGGCGTACCTACTGTGTGCCGCGTGCGCTGCCTGGAGCGGAGCTATGAGCTGGACCTGTCCGCGTTGCCAGCAACCTGTTTTCTTCGGTGAGGCCCGGGCTGCGGAGGGGGAGAAGATGGGGCGAATGGGAGCCGCTGGATTCCCTGAGGACGCGGAGGGCTAGCCACAGTGTAGTCCCAGACACCCTTTTCACCTGCAGCGGCTGGTAGTCTCCGCACCACCCGCTCCCACTCGGGTCTTCTCCCTTCCTCTGAGAGCTCTGTGGGGAGTGTGAAACCGGAGCGGGATGGAGCTGGCCTCCTGGAGACACTCATCTCCAGGAAGCAGGGCAGGCCAACCTAATTCCCTAGAGGGCCGAAGAGGGAAAGGAGGGGCCCTATGCTTGGACAGGCTCCTCGCAGCTCGGTTCCACTTTGTCCTCCACAGCTGAGAAGGTGAGCTCCCTGGGCAAGAACTGGCACCGCTTCTGCCTGAAATGTGAGCGCTGCCACAGCATCCTGTCCCCTGGCGGGCATGCAGAGGTAAGACCTGGCCAGGGAGCACTGCCCTGTTTACATCACTGCCTCCCACCCCCCAGGCACCAGCCCCCAACTTCAGCACTGGAGGCCTGCCAAAGGGAACCTCAGTAGCCAACCCCAAGGCCGCCCACCTGGTGGACCCCACACCAGCCAGGAATTTGGGAACCTGGGTCGTGACTGTGGATCCCATGGTTTTGGGGATCAGGGTGAGTGGGAAGCAGCGTCACCTTCTGAGCTGCTCTTGCTCTTCCTCCCTTGACCACAGTGGAAATGCTGGCATGCCAGCCCATCCCCCACCCCTCCCAGGCCCACCAGACTCAGCCAGTGGACAGACACACCTGGCAGCCTGTCTGGGGTGAAGGCCTGTGGGGCATGGCTCCCGCTGGCCTTGAGTAACCCACTTCCCTCTGCTTGTGCCCAGCACAATGGGAGGCCATACTGCCACAAGCCATGCTATGGGGCTCTCTTTGGACCCAGGGGTAAGTACCAGCCTTAAGGGGCCATGGGTCAGCAGAACCCTCCTTGTGGCTGGGAGCTGGGGGCTCAAGCCTGACCTCCCCTATTCTCTCTTCAGGGGTGAACATTGGTGGTGTAGGCTCCTACTTGTACAATCCCCCCACTCCCAGCCCTGGCTGCACCACTCCTCTCAGCCCCAGCAGCTTCAGCCCTCCCAGGCCAAGGACTGGCCTCCCCCAAGGCAAGAAAAGTAAGGCTGGGCTCAGCTCCTCCCAGTCCTCCTCCCGACCCTTCCCCAAGCTGGAGCGGAGGTTGGGCCAGGTGGCAGTCTCCTATCCAGCCCTCTGCTTCACATTCTCACAACTTCATTCTTGGCAAAGTCTTCTCTATCTACTCCCCGCTTTTTTTTTCTTTCTTTCTTTCTATTCCCTCATGTGAGCTGCTGAGTTAAGAGGTAAATTGTTGGGAGGCCGAGGCAGGTGGATCATGAGGTCAGGAGTTCGAGACCAGCCTGGCCAGCATGGTGAAATCCCATCTCTACTAAAAATACAAAAATTAGCCAGGTGTGGTGGCTCATGCCTGTAATCCCAGCTACTTGGGAGGCTGAGGCAGGAGAATCATTTGAACCCAGGAGGCGGAGGTTGCAGTGAGTCAAGGTCATGCCATTGCACTCCAGCCTGGGCAACAGAGCGAGACTCCATCTCAAAAAAAAAAAAAAAAAAAAAAAAAGAGGTTAATTGGGCAGATGGCATTATCCCCTCTCCTCGTGTGTTACAGGTGAGGAAAGTGAGATCCAGACAGGGCAAATGACTGTCCATCCACAAAGCTAGTCAGAGGCAAAGCTGGCCAGGAACTTAGGTCTGTCCCAGGCCAGGGCCATGGAAGGAATGATCTAAAGGAGAGGAGTCATTGGGATAAGGCCAGCCTCTCATATTCTTCAACTTTTCTCCTCTGGTCCCTGTTCTTTCCCTCCATTCCCTGAAGTAGGCAATGACACTGTGCTCCCCAACACCTGACACCCGTGCTGTGGCCAGCTCCTATATCAGCTCAAGTTTCCTGAGGATTGAGTTGCTAACAGGGTTGGGATGGTGGGTACGTGAGCCCCTGGGAGGATGAAAAGGAAGCAGGAGAAGGAAGCAGATAGTCCCTAATACACATAGGGATGGGGCAGGAGGTGGAGTCAGAGGGGGCTCAGCTCTGGGCCTGTAGAAGGCAGACTCTTGGGCGCCTGGGTGGGGCACTCTGGAATGAGCATGGCTTTTGAAAGAGGACAGCACCATATGCAGGCAGGTGCTGGTGGGCATCTCCACCTCAGACATAGCCAGGGCCTCTTCCCCTTTAAAGGCCCTCCCCATATGAAGACATTCACTGGGGAGACCTCGCTGTGCCCTGGCTGTGGGGAGCCCGTCTATTTTGGTAAGTAACAGTGGAAAACTTGGGGAGGGGGATACAGGGTGGGCAGCAAGGGGGAGGGAGGTGATCCAAGGCAGGTAGGTCTCCCTACTCTACCCCTAGAATGGAAGCATTACCACTTCTTTCCACCACCAGCTGAGAAGGTGATGTCATTAGGCAGAAATTGGCACCGACCGTGTCTGAGGTGCCAGCGTTGCCACAAGACCCTGACTGCTGGGAGTCATGCTGAGGTGAGCAGGGCAGGAATGAGTGGTTATGTTGGGAGGAGGCTGGAGATGGGAAGAGAACCAGGCTGAGACAGCTCTCTTTCTCTCTGTGTCTCAGCATGATGGAGTCCCCTACTGCCACGTCCCCTGCTACGGCTACCTGTTTGGCCCCAAAGGTGGGCAGCCCCATCCCAGACACTGGGATGGCATGTACATGCCTGAAGTATGGCATGTACATGGTCTGTGGGTATGTGTGGACAACTTCCCCTGTGGTTAAGCATACCCTGGCCCCCCCACCAAGTTCCCTCTAGGCCTGAACCCTGCACCACAGACCCAGGGCCTTTGGTGATAGGGCTCTCTCTCTCAGGTGTGAACATTGGCGATGTGGGCTGCTACATCTATGACCCAGTGAAGATAAAATTCAAATGAGACGCTCACAAAAAAGGTCACCCTAACTCAGGCCTCCCATCATGCCCCTCATGGTCCAATGGAAGCTACAAAAATCTCCAGTCCCATGGGGGTTGGGGAAGGTGGGATCTTGGGGGCCTGGGCCTAGGCTCCATGGTAGGCCAGAGAGTCTAGACTTTCTCTGCCAATTTTTTCCCTTTCCCATTTCTATCTGGTTAGGGAACAGCCCGTTTTGAAGGGTATCCTCCTCCTGGCCATCACAACCCCTTTCCCCAGCACATTCTGGAGCTTCAAGGTACTCATAAAACTTGTGTTTATTGAATTTCAGCCTCTGTGGCTTCTTCAATAAAATGTTGGCTCCCATGCCTTCAACTCTTCTTTGGGCATGAGACCAGTGGGTTGGAGGATGGGGAGTGTGGGGGTTGGGATGACATGCATTGCCCTGCAGGGTGCCTCGGAGGTAGCAGGGCCAGCCATGAGAACAAAAAGCTCTGTTCTTTTTGTCCCTTGGGCCTGGCATTGGCAGTCCTAGCACCACACAGTGGACAGCATGCCCACCAGCCCCATTGGTACCAGAAGTCTCATATGCTAGTCCTTTCTTTAGCACCATCTCTAGAAGAAGCAGAAGCACCTTATTCAGTAACTCATTTGAGCATGGCAACAGATCCTATGGTAGGGCCTCCCAAGAGGCTTCATTATCCATTTGGGAGATGAACAGACTGAGGCCCAGAGAGGGAAAGCCACATGCCCAAGGTCACACAGCAAGTTAATGGTGAAGGTTTTATCAGAGCCCAGGGCAGACTCAGTGGCTTCCTATCCAGGGCTCTTCCCACAGCTCGTCACCACTGCCCCAACCCAAGGGGCACCTTTATTTACAGAATCCTCCCCAACCGTGAGAGGGGTGCCCAGCAGCCCACTGCATTCTGGGAAGTCAACTGTTCCTAGAAGCCAAATAATCAAGGATGGATGAGCAGAGGGAGCGGGTACTGGCAGCAACTCCGGCCCTAGGCAGAGGGTTCGATACTCCCAGCCTGAGTTGCAGGGCCTGCCCTTCTGCTCTCCCAGCCCCTGCTGCAGAGCTTCTGTGGAGGGCCTGCCTCCACTCCCACTTAGTTCTGGACCTGCTTCATGGGCATCTCTTCCTCCTGAAGACTGGTTGGGGCACTAGGGAGGAAGGAGTTGTGAGCAATGGTGGGGTTTAATCCCCGAGCCTACCACCCCAGCCTGCCCCATCAGGGCTGTCCCAGGGCTCACCCCAGTTCCTGGTATACAAACGCCTGTACAAGTGACTCACACACATGCTTGTACACACCCCTGATGTGTAGGCATACTTGAGTGTGCACACATACACATCTTCCTGAACAACCTTATGTATTTGTGTTCATACACTCATGTACACATTTATGCTTGCAGTTTACATGCCCCCAATCATGCACCCTGAAACACTCACCTGTGCACGCACACATACATGCACCAAGTACACATGTGCAGATATAGTTTCCTGTCTGAATCCTAAGGTGTCAGGTATCTGAGCACCTGCATCCATATGCATGTTATCACACGTACACAGACACAGTCCTGTGCACACACCTCTTTCTCTCCACGTCCTGGATGGTCTCTGGCAGCTGTGCCTGCCTCGTCTCTGGCAGCAGGAGGGCGGTGCCGGCAGCCAGCAGGGCGATCCCCCCATAAGTAAGCTTGGGCAGTGACAGCCACACTCCATCCAGCAAGGCCGCCAGTGGGGCCAAAGAGCCCCCCAGCCGGCCCACCAGTGCAGTCAGCCCCATCCCTGTCTGTCTGTTCAGAGAAAGAGGATGAGGGAGGCAGATGGTGTTCACACCTACCTGGAGTCATGCCCCACAGGGCTTCCCTCCAGGGCTGGCAGGCCCTGATACTCCCTTCTCCCCATATAGCTAAGAAAACTAGGACTTCTTTCAGTTGGTCTTCCCACCCACCTTCAGGCCAGGAGACCTCAAGCCAGCACCCACCAGAGGACAGGGCCCCCATTCTGACAGAGTACCAATTAGGTATCACTAAAGGAGAAGACAAGTCACCAGACTGGGAGATAAGGAAAGGGTGATGTGGAAGGAAGAAGGTCAGTAGTTTGTACAGGCCCTGCCATGTTGTTCGAGGAGGCAAACCTCTTTCTAAACATGACCAGATGCCTAGAATTTTCCTCTTCCCACCTCTCAGTAGCTAGCTGAAAGACCCCCCCAACCCCGGGCCTTTCAAGGGGTTGCTCTTGGGACAGTCCTCAAGGGCATCTCTGCCTTCCAGGGGTGAATGGGATGGGGGTGGGCAGGATGGGGCTTCTTGGGGCTGTTTTCTTCTTCTTATTATTATTATTATTTAATTTTTTTCTTTTATTTATGTATTTATTTGAGACAGAGTTTCTCGCCCAGGCTGGAGTGCAATGGCATGATCTCAGCTCACTGCAACCTCCATCTCCCAGGTTCGAGCGATTCTCCTGCCTCAGCCTCCCAAATAGCTAGGATTACAGGCATTCGCCACCACACCCAGCTAATTTTGTATGTTTAGCAGAGACAGGGTTTCACCATGTTGGTCAGGCTGGTCTCGAATTCCTGACCTTCAGTGATCCGCCCGCCTTGGCCTTCCAAAATGCTGGGATTACAGGCGTGAGCCACAGTGCCCGGCCTTGGGGTTGTTTTCTTAAGGAGGCCCAGAGAGGATGTCTGACGTGGCTCAGGGTCACATAGTACAGAAGATAAGATGCTCTGCCTTCTCCAAGACTAGGGCAAACACAGAGGGCCCTGATTAGCTCTGTATTCTGGGTGTAGTGTGGAGAACGAGTGAGAGGCTGGGTGCGGTGGCTCATGCCTGTAATAGTGCCTGTAATACGAGCACTTTTGGAGGCTGAGGCGGGAGGATCGCTTGAGACCAGGAGTTTGAGACCAGTCTGGGTAATATAGCAAGACCCCGTCTCTACCAAAAATTAAAATTAAAAAAAAAATGAGTGAGAGACCAGGTTGTGGTGCGTGTATGTAGAAGTGTTGGTTAAGACACGTGACTAACAAGCCCCATACCCCCAGATCAGTTGCAGGCTTCCTCACCTGAGCACCGTAGGGTACAACTCTGAAGTGAACAGGTAGGCAGTGGTGAAGGCAGCTTCAGAAAAAGCTTTCCCCATCACTGCCAGGACAGTGCTCCAGGACTTCATATCTGGAGGGAAGCGGGTTCAGGTAGTGAGAGGGCCTTGGAGGAGAGCCAGGGGTGTTCTGGATAGGGTGCGGAGTCTCCAGAGTGGGCCAAACTTAAGTGGTGGAGAGTCTGAGCTCACTGGGTAAGAGCAGGGATCTGGGGGAGGAGTGGGTTCTTGGCCAGGAGGTGGGGTCTCCGGGGAGTGGGCAGGGTTCCTGGCCCGGCTTCTGGGGTGGGCAGAACCTATGGGACTGGGCTCACCGGAGGACACTAGCAGTCTAGTGCCGAACGCCAGGGCCGTGCCCAGCAGTGTCCCGGCTTGCGTGAGGCGGCGTCCTGCGTAGCGCACCGACAAGTAGACCAGCAGCTTGGAGGGCAGTTCCACAGCCCCGAACAACAGCTGTGTCTGGTACACGTTCAGCCCCAGCCCCGACACATCCAGACTCAGGCCGTAATAGGAGAAGTTCACTCCGAACCTGAAAGGAGTCTCAGTGCCACTTGGCGGACCCTCCTTCCCATCCCTCTTTGGCCTCTCTTCTCAGGAAGACTTGGCATTTTACAAGGGCAATCTCCTTCTGTCTCTGCAACCCCCGGTCCCCCCGCCAGGACCTTCCCTGACATCCATAATGCCCTCTGTGCAGCATGCGCCAGTAGTCAAAGCGCCTTTACCCTAATTTTCACAGCAACCCTGACATGGAACTGACAACAGTCCGTTTTACAGAAGGGACACTGGGGCTCTGAGTGGCTAAGTCATCTGTCCCTTTCCAAGTAAGGAAGTGGGAGTCTGAGCTTGAACCCATGTGTCTCTGCTACCTGCTTCATTTTCTGACTTCCCCAGGCAGATCGCCCATGGAGGTTTATCCTCCTGCCCTCCACAGTGACACTCTACTTGTCCCTCAGAGCCCTTCTCACACTCAGCACCAGCCTGGAGTTTGCTCCTCCCTCCCACCACACCCATGCCAGACCCAAGCCAGCCTCCTCACCACACCACCACGCAGCACAGTGAGATGTGTCGGAGCCGTGGTGTGCGGAACAGGTCTAGGTATGAAGGTCTTCGGACCACCCGTTCCCCGGCGGCCACTTTGCTCACAGCCTGGTAGGGAAGGAGGTGAGGTTGTAACATCAGAGTTGGCTATGTGATCTCAATGGGACACAGTACTCTCCCCCCACCCCTCTCTATTCCTCCCATCTGCAGTGGTGGGGATGGAGATGCTCATGGCAGCTGAGACGAGTGGGTCTCGAATGATGGATGTGGCCCACTGGAGCCAGGTAGGACATCCTAAAGAGTTCGGAACTCTCTGTGGGGGCCCAGGGGCTTTTCCTGCCATATATGGTGGGCTCTGGGAGGGAGGCACTTGACACAGCCCACTCCCCACCACACACATATATGCATGCTCACACACACGTTCACCCTCACCTCCTGGCTGAAGCTGTCCTCACACACTGGCCGCCCATTGAGCCTGGCACAGTGGAGCAAGTACCTGTGGGCCTCTTTCACATGGCCTTGGGTCAGAAGCCAGCGTGCAGACTCAGGCACCCACCTAGGAATAGGCAGAAGGTCCATCAGCCAGAAAGTCATGACCCTAAGCCACATGTTCCTGGACATACTACAGGCTCTCAACTTCCAGGCTCTTGCTCATGTAGTCCCCTTAGCCTGGAACATCATCTCCTCCCCAAGCCCTCCACACTTGATGAGCTCTTATTCATCTTTTAATGCCCAGTTTAAAAGCCACCTCTGGGCTGGGTGCAATGGCCCATGCCTGTAATCCAAACACTTTTGGAGGTCAAGGCGGGAGGGTGGGTTTGAGCCCAGGAGTTCAAGATCAGCCTGGGCATCATGGCAAGACCCTGTCTCTACAAAAAATCAAAAAATAAATATTAGCTGGGTGTGGTGGCACACGCCTGTAGTCCCAGCTACTCAGGAGGCTAATGCAGGAGAACCACTTGAGCCTGGGAGGTTGAGGCTTCAGTGAGCTGTGATTGTGCCACTGTACTCCAGCGACAGAGCAAGACCTTATCTCAAAAATAATAAAAATAAAAATAAAACACCTCTTCCCACACTTCCTTGCCCAGGCCCAGGTCCTCCATAGCCTGGGAGTCCCTTATTCAACTGAATTGTCCTTACCCTCAAGACCAGCTCCCAGCACCAGCCACTCACTTCTCCCATGGGTGGCAGGAGGGAATGAGATGAAGGAGGGACAGACATGTAGACATATCCAGAAGGGTCATCCAAGGCCAAGTCATCTTTAGGAGGCAATGTAGTGCCCACCCTGCCTGTCCTCCCACTCTCCGGCCTGAGCTCCCCACCCCCATGCTGGCCCTGCCCCTATCCCCAACTCTCCAAGGGGCCAGCCTCAATTTATGTTTGGCTCTGTCTTTATCTCTGACTCTCTGTATCTTGTTCTCTGTTTCTCACTTTTCCTTGCCATCTTCTTTCTGTTGATCTCTGTCTCTCTGTCTCTTTTTCTCTGTGTCTCTTTCTGTCTCTTGGTCACTTCGTTTCTCTTTCCCTTCATCTCTCAATCTCTCTATCCTCAAATCTCAGGCTCTGATTAATCTCATCTTTCACTTCCTGTATCTCCCGCTCCCCAGCTGCCTGCAGTCCTCACCAGAGGCTGAGGATGCCTGGGGCACAAGGCAGGGTGACAGCTAGCAGAAGCCATCGCCAGTCCCGTATCAGGTACCCAACCAGTGCCAGCAGCATCACGCCCCCTGTCCAGAAGGTGCTGCTCAGGACTCCAGCCACGGTGCGGTGCTCCACATCCAGCCACTCCAGCTCTGGGCCAGGACAGGAGACAGGAAGATGGTTAGTGAGGACCAGATGGGCTCAGCCTCACTCTGACAACTGCCTTCTTCCAGCCCTCTAGGTCCTGCCTGTTTCTTGCCTGCCTCACCCAGTGGCATCACGATGATGGTAAAACCAGCCAGGGCTGAGCCAGTAAGGGTGCGGGTGATGGCAAACATTACATAGCTGACGGAGGCTGCAGATGCCAGGCCCAGCACCAGGGTACTCACGTAGGCTACCAGCAGCAGACGCCGCCGCCCAAACCTGCAAAGGGGTCATGCAGGGTCAGTTCCCTGTGGAAGGAGGTTCTAAGGCATAGGTAGACTAGGCTCATACCCCAGCTAGTGGGAGAAAGTTCCCCCAGCCAGTTTCTTATTGGCCCAGTGCCTCACCCCACCTGTCGGACAGATATCCAAAGGCCACAGCCCCCACCAGCACACCGGCGAAGAAGAAAGTGGACGCAGCTCTGTTCAGACCTTTCTGCTCACACACCAGATCCCACTGCAAGGACAGGCAGAAAGGGACCTCCTATGAACATCAGCCCCTCTCCAGCAGGCACCAGCTCCTCCTCTCCAGACCCTGGAGCCTTCTGAGGCGAACTCTGCCATTCTGGTACCTCCATGCCAGATAATAAACCTCCCAACGATTCACGCCAGCTTGGGGAATAGGAAACTTTGTCCCTCCCCAGTCCTGCAGCCTCAGCTTCTTCCCAAGGAAGGCCTCGACCTGCTGCCTCCCAGGGAGACTGCCTCCACCGACATTCCACCTCCAGATGGATTATGTAAATACCGACCTGGGACTGGAAAAGAGGAAGGGAGAAAAGAAGGCCTCTATTGTTTCTCCACCTCTTGCTGCAGAAATTGCCTTCTCAGCTCTTTGTCTCAACTCCCTGAAGCCACTTTAGCCCTTCCCTGCCTTAATCACCTCCCAATTAATGATGATGATAACAGTTCTTGTGTAGGATCCTGTTACTACAAGCCATGAACTAAAAGTGCCTTATATTCATAGCCCCCATCTACAGATTGGTAAACTGAGACTTTAAGAGGTAAAGTAATACATCTAATGCCTACACAGTAACCACCCAAGGCAATGGCAGGCCCATCCCTCTCACATGTCTCTCAACTTCTGGGCTTAAGTACCTCAGTTGCAATGGTAGAGGAGAATTCTGAGTGGTCGTACTCCCAGCCCTGAGAGCAGGGCACTGTGGCAGGTTCATCCTCCAGCTCCCCACGGCTCTGCCTTTCTTCCCCCAACGTGGTGTTGGGGAGAGCCTGGGGATAGGCAAAGCGGAGGCAGGAGCTGAGCGTGCCATCAGGCTCCCGGGGAAGATGGGCCTCCAGCCACACATCCTGATGGCTGAAGTTGGCAGGGGCACCCGGCAGGGCACATCGGTGGGCAGGCACGGCAGCCAGGAAGATGGGCAGGAGGAAGTGCAGTGGTAGCAGCACTCGGGGCAGGGCCAGCAGTGCCACATTCCGCAGTTGGAAGGGCCCAAAGCCGCCCACCTGCTCCAGCAGCTCCTCAAAGCCCATGCTGCTCACCCACCAAATGCTTCAGGTGCAGCCTCCCTCTAGTATCCAGCCAGCTCAAACTGCCCACCACATAGACCCTTGGACTCTGGAGGTGGGAGTGGATGGACTGGAGAGCCTGCAGCCAGAATCCAGCCCTCAGGGGCTGGCCCAGGACTGGGCCCTCCCCAGCCATCAGGTCTCCAGGGACCTCTACCTGTCTTGCCTGGTGCCTGGGGGAAGGGGAAGCCATCCATTCAGAGGTCACTGGCTCGTGGCTCTGGGGCTTACCCATTAGTGTTCAGGGACCAAGGCTACCATGATGAGGTAGCTGGGTGATGGCATAGGAGGTGAGCCCCTAGCCCCTTGGTCAGCAGAGCTCCCAGGATCCCTAAGAAGAGGAGGCCCCTGGGGCCTGGGGCCAGCTCTCCCAGGGTGCCCTTTGTCCTGTGAGACCTTAGGTCAGCCTTGCCTATTTGCAGCTACAGCCATGGCCTGGCCGACAGCCCAGGATTCAGGACTGAAAGCTGGATCCTAACCAGGTTTCTTTCTGCTGAGCCATGAGGCCTCCTCGCATCCCTCTCCCCTGCTGGGAGCTGATGCCCTGGCCTAAGACACACCTGTGATCACACCGGGCAACTTGATGTCTCTGAGGATCCCAGGCTCATCCCATTCCCACTTCACTCAGGGACTCTCCCCATACATATGGTTCCAACTGCCTGTCCCATTCCCCTATTTCCAGCAGCTTCCTAAATTACCTTTTGGAGGGATAGGGAATGGCGGGGGACATGTTGCCAAGGTACCTGCAATGCCTAAGATTACCTTTTGGAGGGGTAGGGAATGGGGGAGGGGGAGTTACCAAGGTCTTGTCAAAGGTACATGCAATACCTAAGACTCAAATGTTCAATCTGACCCTCCCACTCAATTCTCAATCATGGTCCCTGCAGCAAAAGTACAGCAGAAACCAGCAATGTCTGGTTTATTCTCATCTGATTCTCCAAACACTTAGCTGGCAGACCCACTGGTTTAATCCAGCTCCTACTTTGAACAGGTCAGAAAACTAAAGACAGGGAGGGGACCTGCTGGGGTCACACAATGACTCAGCAGCAGAGCTGAAGAAAAGACCAGGTCCCCTGACTCCAGACCAGGAATCTCACTTTTGACCTAAGCTGCTGAGCTGGTGATGTCCCAGTCTGCTCCAGGCTGGGATCCCTGAGAAAGCGCTGGGAAAGGAGCTAAATCGATGGCATGGCGTGTGTTAATGGGGGTGCTGACAGCCATGGAGTGAAGCAAGAGGCAGCTAATGGTGGTGGCAGTGACAGGGGGTGACAATGAGAAGAAATGTTTGAGTCTCTAGTGCATCCTCGCCATTCTAGAGGGTACATAGATGCCTCAGACACGGTCCCTACCCTTAGGGAGCTTACAGGAGGGTTAAAATAAGCTAACCCTCCCTGTCTCCAGTCTCACCCCTTTCAACCCATTCTCCATACACTGGCCACAGTGAACATTTAAACACAAATCTAAGAGGGTCACATCCCTGTTTAAAACCCTTCACCAGCTTCTGCTGCCTGAGGGGGAAAGTCTAGCTCCTTAGCTTGGCCCTTATGACTTCCCTAGGACTAGATCCTCTCCCCCAGTCCACCCCTGACCCCTCTCCAACATGCTCCCTTCCCTCTAGTTCTCTGCACACACCAGCTCATTGGCATGTCACACCCTAGTGTGGTCCCTTGGACAATGTGGCTTCCTCCTCATTCACCAAGTGGATGCCCAAACCTCCCTGAAGACCAGCTCAAGGGGAGACACCTCCACCCTTCTCATCCTCACTCACGTGTGACCTCACACTGTTGGTTCCTCCCTCATTTAATACTATGTAATGATATTATTAATATAAAATGTATAAAATACCATAACACTTTGCAGCTCCTGAGAGGTAAGTTTTGTGGTCACCCCATCTCCATGTCCCATCCAGTGGCTCCACAGGGTAATACTCTGAAGTTTTTTCACAGCCAGAGAAGACAGCTAACGAGGCCAACCTCAGCCATTGGCTGTGACGACTTAGTTTTCACAATGGGAATTTCTCTCCTGCTTTAATATCAGAAATAGCTGATAATCATGCAGTGGTTACCTCTCCCTCCTGACATTGGCTCCTAGGAAACTCAAATCTAAATCTGCAGCCCTGGCCAGGCACAGTGGCTCATGCCTGTAATCCCAGCACTTTGGGAGGCCAAGGCGGGTGGGTCACCTGAGGTCAGGAGTTTGAGACCAGCCTGGCCAACATGGCAAAACTGTCTCTACCAAAAATACAAAAAATTAGCTGGACATGGGGGCAAGCGCCTGTAATCTCAGCTACTCAGGAGGCTGAGGCAGGAGAATTGCTTGAATCTGGGAGGTGGAGGTTGTAGTGAGCCGAGATCGTGCGACTGCACTCCAGCCTGGGCAACAGGAGTGGAACTCTGTCTCAAAAATAAAAAATAAATAAATCTGCAGCCCCTTTCTCCAGAGAGTAATTTGGCATTAATTTTACCTCTGGCTCCATCTTATTCCCTGGCCCTACCTCATAGGGAAGCTCTCTTCTCTGATGTCATTGAAGAATGATGGTGACAGTGACCATGATGGCTGATGATGGAGCTGGACAGGCAGGTATGAAATGCTGAGTCTAACCAGAGGATGGATAGATCAACTCTGAATCACCAGTTAAGAGCTGGTTTTGATTATATTTTAACCATCCTCCCACCCCTCCAACCTGGGAATTCTAACCTGAGCTCAGAGGCCAAGGTAGAGACCTTCATTTATACCAAACTGGATGGAGAGGAGCCTTGTGCAATGGAAAATAACTCCTGGCCAGGCATGGTGGCTCACGCCTGTAATCCCAGCACTTTGTGAGGCAAAGGCGGGTGGATCACTGGAGGTCAAGAGTTCGAGACCAGCCTGGCCAACATGGTGAAACCCCGTCTCTACTAAAAATACAAAAATTAGCTGGGCGTAGTGGTTCGTGCCTATAATCCCAGCTACTCGGGAGGCTGAGGCAGGAGAATTGCTTAAACCCAGGAGGTGGAGGTTGCAGTGAGCTGAGATTGCACCACTGTACTCCAGCCTGAGTACAGTGTAAGAGTAAGACTCTGACTCAAAAAAAAAAAAAAGAAAAAAGAAAAAAACTCCTTAATTGGAATTATTACTAGAATTATTGGAGGGTTCAGGAAAAATACATTCTTGGAATAAACAATTTGAGATTGCTTGCAATAGGGAATTCTTACACTTTAGGCCTTTTACTCTTTTGCCCCCGCCCCACTGAGTGACCTCAGATGACCTACCCATCTTAATTGGGGCTTCAGTGACCATTAACCATTGCTGCAACCCATGTAGTCATTTCCTACACTGTTGATGGTGGCAATGACAAAATCAATTGCAGTGGTAAGTAGGGTGGTGGATGGTATAATAGTAAGGGAGGTGGGATCCTGGTGATGGAAGTGATGGTGACAGGGGTGATTGGAGTAGAGATGAGAGGATGGGGCTAGGGCCGCTGGTAGTAATGATGTGGTCATGAGGGTAGCAGTGGTGATGAGGATTATGTGATAGATGTGGTAATGATGGTGACAGTGATCTGGTGATGGTAGTGATGATGTGATGGTAATGATGGTAGTGGTGATGTGATGGTGGTAATGTTGCTGGTGGTGATGTGATGCTGACGATGGTGATGTGATGGTGGCAATGATGGTGATGTGATGGTGGTAATGGTGGTGGTGGTGATGTGATGGTCGTGGTGATGTGATGGTCATAATGATGGTGGTGGTGATGTGATGGTGGTAATGATGCTGGTAGTGGTGTGGTGATGGTGGTAATGATGGTGGTGGTGATGTGATGGTAGTAATGATGGTGGTGGTGATGTGGTGATGGTAGTAATGATGGTGGTGGTGATGTGGTGATGTTGGTAATGATGATGGTGATGTGATGGTAGTAATGATGGTGGTGGTGATGTGATGGTGGTAATGATGCTGGTGGTGATGTGATGGTAGTAATGGTGGTGGTGATGTGATGGTAGTAATGATGGTGGTGGTGATGTGGTGATGGTAGTAATGATGGTGGTGGTGATGTGGTGATGGTGGTAATGATGCTGGTGGTGATGTGGTGATGGTAATAATGATGGTGGTGGTGATGTGATAGTAGTAATGATGGTGGTGGTGATGTGATGTTGATAATGATGATGGTGGTGATGTGATGGTAGTAGTGATGGTGGTGGTGATGTGGTGATGTGATGGTAGTAATGATGGTGGTGGTGATGTGATGGTAGTAATGATGGTGGTGGTGATGTGATGGTAGTAATGATGGTGGTGGTGATGTGATGTTGGTAATGATCGTGGTGATGTGATGGTAGTGATGGTGGTGGTGATGTGATGGTGGTAATGATGCTGGTGGTGATGTGGTGATGGTGGTAATGTTGGTGATGTGGTGATGGTGGTGATAATGGTAATGATGATGTTGCTGATGTGATGGTGATGGTGAAGGAGGTGATGACAGTGTGTAAGCTCCCTGATGGCAAGGACCTTGTCTTTTGTTAATCATTATGTCTTCAAAGCCTAGTGGAGGTGATGGTGATAGTTTGGGAGAAAAATGTCTGTGATCTGAGTGAAGACGAAGCTAGTAATGGTGGATAATGAAGACAGAGGTGCGGATTGTGGTAAAATTGGTGGTAGTGGTAATGGATGGTGTTACACCACTGCCGGTTTAAAGGTGAGGAGAAATGCAGAAGATGCCACCTGGAGCTGCTGAAAATGGGCTTACGTCATATGACCTCTAACCCATGGCCAGAAAGACTCTCCTTCCATATCACCTCATCACCTTAGGCAATGAGCAGGCTCCTGAAACTCCTGAGAACTTAGAAAGATGGTTCTAAGTCCTTTAGCCTTGCATTGGCCTCATCTATTGTCCTGGCCTTGACTCATCAGTAGGCCATGGGAAAATCTCAGCAGGCCCCAGCGTCTGATGATTAGAGACACAAGACTCTCCACATTCCCACCCCTGTCTCTTTTCTGAGGGGCCCCTCTCTATCAAAAAAAGGCTCATCTAAATGTCCCTGGTCTGTGGCTCCCATCTAGCCCCTGACAGAGCAACCTTGCTCAAGCCATTTATTTCTCTGTGCCCCTGCCCTCACACCTCTCTTTGACCACAGGACAAAGAAATGTCTTTCTGTGAGGGAACAGGGAGAAGGTCTGCCAGGGACCAGAGAGGCCCTCGCATGCAGAGCATCAGATAGTCCTTGACAGCCAAGCTGGGCCTCGGGAAGTGAATGTGCCTGACAAGTCTCAGGCTCCTGGGGGCAGGAGGTAGGCAGAGGGTCTCTGCAATGCCTTAAAGCCCTGTTCCTTGGCACAGCCTGTCCTGGCTCCAAGCCTGGCCCTACTCCCTCCTCACTCTTCTCTTCCACTCCACGATTTATGCCTGTGACTCCCCACACTGAACTCCATGCAGTCTCGCCCCCCACTCTTTGCCCGTGCTGCTCCCCCATCCCCTGGGAATGTCCTCTCCTCTATCTGGCCAGCTCCTGTTTGTCCTTCAAAATTCAGTCCAAGAGGCACATCTCTCTCTAGGGGTTTTCCTTGAAGCTCTCAGTCTGGGCTGGGAGTTCCTCCCTATGCCTTGAGTATCAAGGCACATGCCACATATAAAATGAAAGTTAATTTCCAATCACTTTTTTTTTTTTTTTTAGAGACAGGGTCTTGCTCTGTCGCCCAGGCTAGAGTACAGTGGCATGATCATAGCTCAGTACAGCATCGAACTCCTGGGCTCGGGTGATCCTCCTGCCTCAGCCTCCTAAGTAGCTAGGACTGCAGGCACATACCATCACACCCAGCCCCAGCCACCTCCTTCAGGTCATGCTGTGCTTTGTCTTAGCGCCTGGTCGGTGCCCGACATCTGGCATAGCCTCTAGCACATGTTGGGCTCAGCAATAGTCTGCAGAATTAGTTAAATTAATGGGTTGGATGAATGAAAGATGGATTAAATAAATAATGAATGAATAACCCATGACATTCATTCATTCAATCTCAATAATCGAGAAAATTAAAAAATACAATAAGGTACCATTTTTATCTATTTAATTATTTGGGGGGGTTTTCTCCTAGAATTAGACTGGAAGAAGTAAGATAGGTTGGAGCCAAGAGTTCTAGTGCCAAGTTTAGCACTATTTGAAATAGTGAAAATAGTGAAAAGTCGGAAAGAGTAATGAAAAACCAATATGGAGCTGGTTAAATAGATTATGGAACATTCATGCCATGGAATATGATGTAGCTATTAAAAAGAACACAAGGATTCTCATGATTGCTGGTGGAAGTGTAAAATGATGTAGCAATTTTAGAAAAGTTTGGTAATTATTCAAAATGTTAAACATATCATTACCATATGATCGAGCAGCAATTCCACTCCTAGGTATATACCCAAGAGAAGTGAATGCATACATCCAAACAAAACTTGTACACAAATGTTCATAGCAGCATTACTCATCAAAACCTAAAGCAGAAACAACCCAAAGTCCATCAACTGACAAATGGATAAACAAAATGTGGTGTGTCCATATAATAAAATATTATTTGGCAATAAAAAGGAATGAAGTACTGATAAATGCTACAATATGGCAGTACCTTGAAAACACGCTAAGTGAAAGAAGATAGTTACCAAAACATCATATATATATACACATATATATGATGGGAGGACCACCTGAACCCAGGGCTGGGGAGGGGCGTCGAGGCTGCAGTGAGCCATGATTGTGCTGCTGCACTCCAGCCCGGGTGACAGAGTGAGACCCTGTCTCAAAAAAAAAAACACATTTCAGAATAGTAGGTATAATATGCTCTCCTTTTTATTTATAATAAATATGTATATATAGACAGAGAGAGAGCTATTAATTACAAACAGGAAAAAGAAGGTCTGAAATGGTACACACCAAGCCATTTGTAAGAGTTACCTTTATGTGGTCAGCTTCATGGATAGGGAGGGGGCTTTTATTTTATATGCCTTTAGCATTTGCCTTTTTACCATAAGTATGTCCTGCTTTTGACAGTTTAAACAAGAAGGAAAGCGAAATCACATGGAGATTCCACTGAAGGCTGATGAATCAGGGCCTAGAGCACGCTGGCATCCATGCCAACAGAAAGAGTGTCCCAGGAGCCAGGATGTTTCTGGAATGCCAGAGAGTGGCCTTCTTGGAGGGACAGCAGGACTTTGCGAGCCTGGGCCTTTTTACCTTGGATCTCAGGCAAAGCCAGGAGCCTGGCCTGGAACCAAAGTTGTTTATACATTGACGAGGTGAAAGATTTACACCGAGTGAACCTAGGGTTCAAAATTCACAAGCTCCTACAGTATGTACACTAGAACAAAGCCTCCTTTCTGCCCAGCTCTCCTGCCCCATGGCGGCCAGACACCTCTCACTCATCTCACCTGCCTTTCCAGACACAAAATTGTACATTATATGTATGCTTCTTTTTCTTATTCTTGGTCTTGGAGACTGGTCCATAAGTGTATACTATACAAACAGACAACTCCTTCATTAATTTTTTTAGAGAAAAAGGTCTCACTATGTTCCCCAGGCTGGAGTCAATCTCCTGGGCTTAAGCAATCCTCCTACCTCAGCCTCCCAAGTGGCTAGACTACAGACACACCGCAGCACTCAGCTAGCCTCCTTCATTTTAGAGTCTCACAGTACCCCATGGTTGGGACCCCATTTTATGGGTGGGCCATGCTCTACTGAGCAGCCCCAATTGGGCATTTAGATTTCTTCTGAACTTTTATAGGTCCATAGTCTCTTATCCAAACTGTTGGGATCAGAAGTACATACATGGTTGTACATGTATGGTTGACCTTTGAACAACACGGGTTTGAACTGCACTAGTCTGCTCATAAACTGATTTTTCTCAATAAAAGTCACAAGTTTTGTGCCTGTCTCTCCTGCTCCCCCTCCATCTCCTCCACCCCTGCCGCCTCTGCCACCCCTGAGACAGCAAGACCAACCCCTCATCTTCCTCCTCCTCCTCAGCCTTCTCAATATGAAGACAGTGAGGATGAACACCTTTATGATGATCCACTTCCACTTAATATTTTCTCTTCCTCATGGTTTTTTAAATAACATTTTCTTTTCTGTAGCTTACCTTATTGTAAGAATACAGTATATAATATATATAAAACATATAAAATATGTGTTAATCGACTGTTTATTATTGGTAAGGCTTCTGGTCGACAGTAGGCTATTAATGAAGTCTTGGGGGAATCAAAAATTATAGGCAGATTTTCAACAGCAAGGGGTTTGGTGCCCCTAACCCCTGTGTTGTTCAAGGGTCAGCTATATATGTGTGTGTGTGTATATATATACACACACATATATATGTATATATGTATACATATGTGTGTATATATATATACACACATATATATACTATATATATGTGTGTGTGTATATATATACACACACACACACACACACACACATATTCAGAAAGGTAATTTAGCATATATTCCATATATTGTAAAATACCCTAATGGTGGGCCGGGTGCAGTGGCTCCCATCTGTAATCCCAGCACTTTGGGAGGCCGAGGCAGGCAGATCACCTGAGGTAAGGAGTTCAAGACCAGCCTGGCCAAAATGGTGAAACCCCGTCTCTACTAAAAATACAAAAATTAGCTGGGCGTGGTGGCAGGCACCTATAACCCTAGCTACTGGGGAGGCTGAGGCAGGAGAATCGCTTGAACCTAGGAGGCAAAGGTTGTAGTGAGCTGAGCCCGTGCCACTGCACTCCAGCCTGGGCAACAAGAACAAAACTCCGTCTCAAAAAAATAAAAAATAATAAAATACCCTAATGGGACTTATCCCATCATCAAACATGTTAATGTTTCCACGGCAAATATGGATGATAAGTGGAATTAATAAAGATTATAAATGGTCTTGTCAGGTTTTTTTTTTATAACAAGTGAGTGTGTGCCAATCTAATGCGAGAAATCCCAGTTTTCAGAACTTTCTGGGTCTCAAAAGTGCAGATGAGGCTTTCTGGAGCCATACAAAGAATACTGCACTGAATAATTTTGGACACATGTAATTTTGCAAGTGTACAAATACATCCACAGGATACAGTTCTAAAGTAGAGAAGCAGGGACACAAGCTATGCTCATTTGTGATTTTGATAGATTTTTTCATAATAATAACTTTGCCTGTGAGCTGATACACTGCATGGTTTTCCAGACACTCTCACTTTTGTCTGTTAACTTTGGGGTAATGAAAATTCTTCCTCGAGAGTGGGAAGGAGGAAGAGAAGCAAATTAAAGGGTACAGGCGGGGTGCAGTGACTCACCCCTGTAATCCCAACACTTTGGGAGGTCGAGGCAGGTCAATCACATGAGGTCAGGAGTTCGAGACCAGCCTGGCCAGCATATCAAAACCCTGTCTCTAGTAAAAACACAAAAATTAGCCGGGCATGGTGGCGCACATGTGTAATCCCAGCTACTCGGGAGGCTGAAGCACAAGAATCACTTGAACCTGGGAGGCGGAGGTTACAGTGAGCTGAAATCACACCACTGAACCCCGGCCTGGGCAACAGAGCGAGACTCCCTCTAAAAAAAAAATAAAAATAAAAATAAATAAATGGTATAAACATACAGTGAGATAGAAGGAATAAATTCAATGTTCGAAAGCTGAGTAAGGTGACGATATTTAACCAAAATGTATTGTACTTGGGTAATGGATGCTGTAAACACCCTGGCTTGGTCACTACACATTATATACATGTCACAAAATTTCTCATGTACTCCATCAATTTGTACAAATAATTTAAAAAACTCTTCCTCCTGGCCTGTCTGCACAAAGCCAGACTCAGGGTCTCTGGCCCTCAGGAGAAGCGTCCAGAGGGCTGTGAGAGTGTACGATTTGCAGTCAGAAGGACAGCAGGACAGTCCCCTTCCTCCTCTGTGACCCTGAGCAAGTTACCTGTGTCTGTCCTGAGCTTTCATTTCCTCCCCTGCCTCCAGGACAGTCCCTCTGCACTTGCCCACCAACCTGTGCTCCACTCTCCTGGCCAGCCCCAGCCCCAGGAACTGGGTTTTGCCTGCCCTCCCTCAGGGAAGAAGAGTCCAAGCCAACAGAAAAAGGTCCACAGGCTTTTTAATGGTGTGATGGCTACTTCCCTTCCGAGACCCGATCTAATCATTGACAGTGGCTTCCAGGGTGTTGGGGTGGGGTGGACAGGTGCAGGATGGGCAGAGGCCATGCAGTGACTGGGAAGGGCTTGGGGAGGGGTGTTACATTCTGTTTGGCATGTAAACATTCTTAGGTGGCTTCCCGAGGGAGGGGAAGGGCAACTCCCTGCTCCCCACCCCATGCCCACCAGGGCTGGTCCCTGGAGTTCAGAAGACTGAGCAAACCAGGCCTCTGTGAGGAGCTGGGAAATGGGGAGCCTGGGGCACAGCCCCTCTCCTCTCCTGTGCCCCCTTCGTGCACGGTGTGGCTGGGGAGGGAAGGCATGTGTTGGGGTGAGCAGACCCTGCATCTGAGTCAGTGACATAGGTTGTTGTGATGGGGAAGTGCTGAGGGAGGTGGTGTGACACTTTTACAGAGGAAGGGCTCAGGACCTGGAGGCCTGGTGGAGAGAATGAATGCTCAGGGGGAGGAGGCTGCAGCTGGGGTTGGGGGCACCGGGAGATGTGGCTTCCTCTGCCCTGGATGCTTCCTGGGGAGAGGCACAGAGGCAGTCCCCTAGGTGACCCCCTCCCCACTGGCCCACTTTCCCTCCCCCACCTCTCCTGGTGACATTCAGTGACTCAGAGGCCTGAGGTCAGTTGGGAGCCCTAGGGAGGTTTGGAATCCCAAGGGCAGACTGGGTTTTGCGTCTCTGCCAGCTCCAGTGCTGAGTGAAGCTGGGGGTAGAATGGACCTGGGGCTCTCTCAGGCCCCCTTCTTCCTCCCAGCTCCAAACCAGGGTGTTGTTGGTCCTGGGGCAGAGGTGAGGCTGGGGGCCCTACATTCACGGTTCGGTTGGTGGCAAGGAGCAGGCCCAGGGCCTGGGCACCAGGAGTCATATCCTGGTCCCCACCTGGCACGAGCTGATTGTCATTCGGAGAAGCTCTAGGTGGGAGGCAGTGGCCCTTCCTCCACTCCCTCTGCTGGACCCAGAGGGCAGTAGAGGGCCTTGGGAGGGCCTCAAGTTGACAAGGAGGGCTCTGTCCGGAGAAGTTTCCTGAGTGTTCTGGGAGCTTCTGCATCAGCGTGGGGTGGACGTCAAAGGCTGTCCACCCAGGAGTCCTCCCCTCAGCTGGTCTGCAGAGAAGCCACCACCCTGGCCTGGAAGTGGCTGCCCAAGCTGCTGACTCTCCATGAGGGGGAGGCTGCTTTCAGGGTCAGCTGCCTTGTGGGCATCCTTCCGGGTGATGGTGGCTGGACGCAGCCAGACTGCTGGGGCACACTAAGGCCTTTCTTCCTCTTTCCCTGGATGTCTTGGCTTGCTCTCTGTGACTCAGGGAAGGACAGAGAGGCTAGGCCAGGGGACAGAGGCTGCAGGGGCCTGTCCAGATAGGCAGGGCTGGCTGTCCCATCTGCAGCCGGTGTGCTGCTTGCCCCAGATGTAGGCAGTTGAGGCTCATGATGAGGTGGGGTGAGCTATGCAGGAGCCAGAACCCAGGAAGAGTCCCCACATCCATTCCTGGAGTAGAGCAGCTGCACGGGCTGGGGTCAGGGCAAGAAGGAACAGGCTGAAGGGTGAGCTGAGGGAAGAGTGGGCTTGGGCTGGGGACCCATCACTCAAGCATACAATCTGGAAGTTAGAAGGGCCTTTCTGCCTCCAGGGGCCAGCTGTCTGTTGGTCCACCTGTCTCTGCTCTCTCTGCCCATTGCGGGAGACGATGCCTGAGCCAGCCCTCCCTCCCTCCCACAGGCGGGAGGACAGGGAGGGTGACCCCACCAGAACTGAGTCCCCGAATCTCCGAAGGGCCAGTGCAAAGATGGTAACCAGCCAGTCTCCACCTGCTTTGAACTCAGGAAAGAGCAGGTTGGCTGGAACTGCAGTAGGCAGGACTGAGGTTAGATGACAGGAAGGAATTCCTGATGGTGAAGGGTCCTGAGCACTAGATCAGGGGAACAGGGGAGGGAGTAAAACTTTGTTAAAGCCCCCTCCAACTTCCCACTGGGAAATACTTGCCCAGGAAGGCAGCCCACACACTTCCTATGGTTCCCACAGAGGCTCCACCCAAATCTGGAGGCAAGAGGTTTCTGCACCCCAGAGGTGCAGGGGAGCACATCCCCTGCCCACAGAATCACCTGCCCACCCATCTCCAAGATCACTTGCCCACTGCCTCTCACCGAGTTGTCCAGGATGGAGCCAACTTTGGGGCAGGTCAGACCTGCCCCCTCACACCTGAGTAGACCGATGTTCCCTGGGTCCCCAACCCAGCCTGGCAGTCCAGAGGCCGTCCCTGGCCACAATGGCTCCCAGAAGACTGTGGGGCTGGACCCTCGCGGGGAGGCTGGAGCCTCCACTTCTGGAATTTGAGGCTGCTTCTCTGAAGGGGTGGGGGGACTTTGGCTGGAAAGGGGTCGGAGGAGGGCAAGGCGCCGCAGGAGGTGTAGGCAGAGATTGCTGGGGGAGCATGGAGCGTAGCCTAGGCCTGGTGGGCGAACGAACCAGGCGTCCCCAGAAGTGGAGTCCTCGATGAAAAGTGGCTGAGCCTTCCCCGGGGCGGAGAGACTGATGTGAGGCTGGCCGGCCTGACGGGCGGCGGGAGGATGAGAGGACACAGGGCGAGGAAGGGGAGGCAGACCCTCCCCGCGGCGCGGGGCCGCGTCCCCCACGGGCCCTAAGGCCTGGCGGGGCGCCGCGTGTGCTCGCGCGCGTCCTCGCGGGTGCAGGCGGAAAGCTGGGGCCGCGGGTGGCGCGCGTCGGGCGCGTAAGGCTGTGCTGGGAGCTGCTCCAGTGTGGCCGGCTGCGGGTGGGGGGCCGGGGTGAGGGTGGGGGACCGCGGAGAGCAGCGGGCGTCATTATCTGGCCCCAGCCCGGCCCTCCGCGCCTCCTGCCCGGCCTTTGGTTGTTGCGCGCTGAGCCTGGAGTTTCCCTCTGGGTCCTTTCTTGGAGCCCCCGGGGGAGGGGGTGCCATCAGGCTGGGCCCGGGCCGGCGGGACGCCCCGGGGCGGGGGGACCCCGGGCCGGGCCTGGTGCGAGGGGGAGGGGCTCTCTCTGCGGGACAGGGACTGGCTCCGGGGGGACGCGCTGGCATTGCGCGCGGCGGATGTGGACGCGGGGAGGCGCGGGCTGCGCGGCGCTGGGGGCCTGGCTCCGGCTTGGGCTCGCCCTGGGCCCAGGCCGCGGCCAGGAGGTTGTTTGGGGCGGAGGTCAGCAGCAGTGGCCGACCCTGGGGGCGTCTGCAGCTGGAGCCTGCTTGAGAGCAGAAGGCAGGAGAAAAGAAGAGGGCAAAGAAACAAAACAAGGAGAAATATTTCAGAATCCTCCTGGGCACTGAGCACTGGAGTCCGGCATCCTCAGAGCTGAGACTGAGACCATGGCACAGATGGGTAAACTGAGGCCTGGCTCTCTGTCCTCCAGGGCAGGACCTCGAGGGGCCACACGCTTCCAGGCTGCTGCTGGAAGAGCCTGCTGCTGGCTTTCTTTGGGGTCCTCATTTCATCTTTAAAATTCTCATGGATTTTGCATTCTAACCTAGAATATACCTATGTTTATATTAATATGAAATAATGTTTTCTCCCAAGGAGTCAAAGCACTGGGCTTTATCCTTTGGCTTCCAATGCCCCATGGCATACCAGAGGCTGTGTGTGGACCCACTGGCCCCCATCAGCTTTTCCTAAGCCTGGCCTCTCCGGCACCCCCTCCACACATGCTTACTGAAGCCACTTCACTGAGCCCAGTGACAGGGCTGGAACCCGAATCAGAGTGAGGCAGAGCACAGTTGGGAGGTGCTGGACAGGAGGTGTCACTGAGGGTCCCTCCTGATCTTCCATAGCCCCTGACCTTGGTTCTGGAGAAGCCCCTCCTGGTGGAGGCCTGTGGCCACCCTCTGCCCACCCTGGGGCTGGCAGCGGTTTCTCACCTGCTGGTGATGGCTGTGTCCAATGCTGGGGCCGCGCCATGGGATCTGCTGGCGGGCTGCTGGGCTGCAACAGGCATGGGCATGCGGAGGCCAATGGGGCGGGGAATCCGGCTCCTGGTGGCGGCTGCCCTCCCGCTCTTCCTGGGCAAGGCCGCTGCCGGCTCAGAGGCGGGCGTGTCCTCCTCAGAGCCCGTGCCTGAGAGGGTCTCAGAGGCACGGCGCTGCTCCTCACTGGAGGAGGACGAGGCCCCTGAGGCCAGCCGCAACAGCAGGCGGCCCTGCCTCTTCTCCATCACCAGCCGCGCCAGGTCCTGCTGCGGCCGAGCCCGCTTGCTCCACCGCTCTTTGGCCGACAGTGAGCCTGAGGGCTCCGAGCCCGTGTCCTCCTCAGAGAGCAGGACAGGGATACGGCTCCTGGGGCGAGAGCCTGGCATAGCATGGCGTCTGGGGGAGATGGTGGCCACTTTCTCAGGGCTTGGCTCCAGCGGGGACACCGGGGCTGGCCCGTCTGCAAGGGCCGGGCCATTGGGCAGTGAGTTTGTGGCCATCTCTGAGGGGGTTTCCCGGGGGGCCCCAGACAGGGCAGAGCCCTCTATCTCAGCCCCATTCAGCCCTGACAGGGCGAGGCCGTTCTCCAGGGGCGCTCGGGCCCCCTCCTCCACAGCGCCCCCATCAGAGGCCAGCTCCAGACCCAGCTCGCCCCCAGCGCTGAACTCCTCAGACCGCAAGGCTTGTCCACCGGAAGACATGACGTTGAGGTGGGTTTTCTCCGCAATGTGCACAAAGGTCCTCTCAACTTTGGTGAAGGGTGAGGAGGTGACTGCCACGCCCCCGACCCCTGTGGTCACTGTCCCGGCCCCCAGCCCTGCCCCAGGCCCCGGGGGCTTGGGCTCAGACTTGAGGACAGAGGACAGGGTGCCTGGCTCAGATACGTCCAGCTGGCTGCCCGTGGGCTGGGGCCGCTCATGCTGAGGAGTGAGGGCAGCCAGGGTGCCCAGGTCGGGGTCGGGGGCCAGTTCGGCAGTGACGGGCGACTTCTTCATGTCGCCAGGAGAGACAAGCACCAGCGTTTTGGAGCCCTCCTCAGGCTCCAGGTCCCCATCGGCCATGGAGGCCCGGCCCCTGGACTCCTTCTGATCGTCTGCCAGCAGCGTGGACGGGGCACCCTCCTGGCTCCGGTCAGTGCTCCTCTCACTCCCCTCACTGCTGGAGCCACTACGAGGCCCCAGCACCTCCCCCAAGGCAACTGCCGCTGCAGCCTCCTCCTCCTCTTCCTCCTCCTCCTCTTCTTCCTCCTCCTCTTCCTCTTCCTCCTCTTCTTCTTCCTCATCCTCTTCTTCCTCTTCCTCATCTTCCTCCTCCTCCTCCTCTTCCTCCTTCCCATTAGCCTGAGGCTGAACAGGAGCCAGTGGGACCTGGGGGGTGGTGAGCAGCATGTGCGAGAAGCCCACCCTCCGGACCCTGTTGAGCAACCGCGCCCGTTCTCGGTAATCGGAGAGGTCTCTTTTGAAGTCCTGGTAGGGCAGACTCAGAGGCACAGCTCGTGGGAGGCCATTCACCTCAAATGGGGGCGCCACGGAGAACACCTGCAAGGGGCATACACAGGGACCCTCTGAGGTCACCCACCCTCCTGGGCCCAGGAAGACTTCAGCTGCACCCACAACCTAGGAGACTCACAGGCCCAGGTCGTCTACCAGAGTGTGAGCTCCATAAAGTTAAGCACAGGCACTGGGTCTGTCTTGTTCACTGCTCTGTCCCCAGGGCCTAGAATGGTCTCTGGCGCCTAGTGAGTGCTCAGGAAACCTCTGATGAATGACTGTCCATGCTCTAGGTCCCCTGAAGTCCCAGGCCCTGATCCTGGTGGCCTTTCTGCCTCCCAGCCTCTCTATGTCCCCAGCCCCTCTCATCGCCATGTGCATCCTGCACCCGAGTCAGCAACAATAACAGAAAATGAAAACTGGAAGGAACCACGACCACCACGCAGATCAGCCCTTCCTTTTACAGATGAGAAAGCCAGGTCCAGAGACGGCGGCAAGTATCTGTGCCACTTCCTGGATGGGCTGTGCCGGGCTGGCTCCTAGATGCCCTCAGTACCACCTCAGGGTGTGCAGTTTCTCTGTGGCCAGAGAGCTGGCTGCCCAGGGCCACCAGATCCTGTGCTGGACAAGGGCAAAGGCGGGGCTGTCCTCTACCCTTAAAAGTGCAGGCTGGGCCCCTCGACCTCCAATCCATCCTCTCAGCCAGGAATTTGTCCAGCCCTCGACAGGTATACTTGAGCTCCATTCCATTTTCCTCTTCAAAGTTTTGTGCAGAGCCCTTGGCAATGTGATGGACAAAGCAGTCCTTGGTTTTCTAGACTCTTGCCATGTCCCCCTTAGCCTCCTTCCTTCCAGACTAGAAAGGTCTGACCACCTGGTCAGGACCTTGGCTGCTGTGTCTCCTTCACTCTAGCTCCACCCTGTTCAATACACAGACATCCCCAGGCACCCGCAATGCCCTGGGCGCATCAGGGCTGACACAGCTTTGTTCCATGGTGGGACGGTGCTGACGATGTCCAGCACTTTGCTAGCATTTTCGAACACGCTGGGCTTCTGTCTTCCTAAGCTAGCCGAACACAGCCCATCCAGACCAGAAGCCCCGGGGATATCCTGCCTCCCCACTTTCCTGCCCATCTACGCTGCCAAGGAGTCCTGCCAAGCATCCTTCTTAAACTTCTCTGTGTCTGCTACCCCAGGCCCACGAGCACAGCCTTGCCTTTCCTGGTGGTTCCCCAGCCACCGGCCTGTTCTCTCCATTCTGCACTGCCGTCCATCCTTTTTACATCTGCCTGAGTGATCTTCCTGAAACTTAATCTGATTCCATCTCTCTCTGCTTCAAATCTGCTATGGCTGCCACAGTCCTTAGGAGACAGTTCAGATCTTTTTTTTTTTTTTTTTTGATATGGAGCCCTGCTCTGTCGCCCAGGCTGGAGTGCAGTGGCACGATCTCGGCTCACTGCAACCTCTGCCTCCCGGGTTCAAGTGATTCTCCCATCTCAGCCTCCCTAGTAGCTGGGATTACAGGTGCCCGCCACCACGCCCGGCTAATTTTTTTTTATTCTTAGTAGAGACGGGGTTTCGCCGTGTTGGCCAGGCTGGTCTCAAACTCCTGACCTCAGGTGATCCACCCGCTTCGGCCTCCCAGAGTGCTGGGATTACAGGCGTGAGCCACCACGCCTGGCCTAAGACAGTTCAGATCTTTGACTTGGCCCATGAATCCCCCACCCAGCCCTGTGACCTGGCTACTACTGGCTGCTCTGGTCTCACTTATTGCAACACCCTCCGTCCCCTGCCCCTGCCTACACTCCACGCATTCCGATGCTTCCAGAAGTTCCTAAGTGCATCTTCCAGCTCACACTTAGCCCAGGCAGTTTCCTCCACCTGGGGGCTCCTCTCACCTCCTCTCTGCACATGATAACTTGCTACCCTTCCTTCAAGACCAGCTCAAACAGCTCCTGGTCTTAGCAAAGAGGAGACAAAGCCTTCCTGTCAACTTTCCTGTCCACCCACCAAGCAGATTTACTTATTCTCCCTTTTCTACTTGTTTTCCACATCCTTCTGTGAGAGAATCTCCCACCTATTGTCCTACATGCGTGTATTTATAGGGTTCCCTCTCCTGATACACAGAGATCCCTGAGGGTTTCTTCATTTACTCCCTCAAGAAGTGGTCTTTGAATGTCTCTTGTCCTGGTCACCATGTTATAGTCTAAGAATCTGTGGATCAAGTATGAACAAGATAGAGATGGTCCTTATTTTCTCTATATCAGGAAACTAAGTGGGGATATGCACATTCCACAAAGGTTGTGATCATAAATGAGGTCATATAAGCAAAGGCATATAGCAGTTGCTCAATAAATGTTAGCTCTCTCCCACCCCTACCTCCCACCTCCTGCTCTGCTCACCTTGGTTTGGAGGTCATTGGCCCCCTCCCCAACCCCAGAAAAGCCTGGATGCCACACCTATGGGGAATAGCGTGTGGGGAAAGGAGGGGGCTCTGCCAGCCGAAGCCTCCATGCAAATAGCACAAAGCCTGGTGGAGAGGAAGGCAGAGACCTCCAAGGCTGAGGATCTGTCCAGGGCTGTGGCTGCTCCCCTTCCCAACTGCCATGATCTTCCCTGTAATCAGACCATCAGTGAGGATTTGGTGGGGGTGATGCAAGAAGATAGCTTCAGATTCCAGCAGGACCCCAGCAACCCTGTTTGGGCCAGGTAGGGAACTTTCTTAGAAAACTTTTCTTAGTTAGAAAGTTTTCTTAGAAAGCTTTCTCAGAAAGCTCCCTACCTGGCTCAAACAGGGTTGCTAGGGTCCCCTCAGCCTGGGGAACATGGCAAAACCCTGTTTTCACTAAAAATACAAAAATTAGCTGGGCGTGGTTGTGCACGCCTGTGGTCCCAGCTACTCGAGAGGCTGAGGAGATCAAGGCTGCAGTGAGCTGTGATCGCACCACTGCACTCCAGCCTGGGCAACAGAACGACACTGTCTCAAAAAACACAACAACAACAACAACAACAACAAAAAACTTTGTCCCCTCCACATATAGGCTGGAAGTGTCCAGAAGAATTTACTTTTTCTGCACAATATTCGTTCTTATTAATCCATTCATTCATTTAGCAAACACTAAGCACCAACTGTGTGCCAGGCCTTGTGCTGGGACACTTTGCCAGTCACCAATGTTATGGCTAGAGAAAATGGCTGGATAGAGGTGGAGGGGCTGCTGTAAGCTCCCGGATGAGTGGGGACCATGGGGTGGGTGGGTGCTGGCACTGAGAGTCAGGGACAGGTAGACAGACAGAGAGCTCTGAGCATGTCTCTCTCCCAACCACCTCTGAACTCACCCAACTGGCACCAGCACATCCTGCCCAGTAGGGATGGCCTTTAACTCCACCAGGCCACCCATTCTCCTCAGAACCTTTACCTATTGTCCCTCTCTAATCCCTGGCACCTTGGTTAGAGACACCCTTTCCTTTGCTCTCTGGCCAGGCCCTGGATCTCTCTGAAAAGGCCCCATGTAGAGGATGGGATCCCCCGCAACACACACACACAGTGCTCACATTGGATGGTTGTAGGTGGAACCCTTTCTCCTGCCTCCAAGCCCTCCCCTCCTATTACCTGGGAGAGAGGAGGAATGAGAACTGGAAATCAAT
The DNA here is from genome assembly GCF_000001405.40 of Homo sapiens. Classification (NCBI taxonomy): domain Eukaryota; kingdom Metazoa; phylum Chordata; class Mammalia; order Primates; family Hominidae; genus Homo; species Homo sapiens. The sequence continues at coordinate 43,279,129 of NC_000006.12, read as the reverse complement.
GATCAGTCATAAAATCAGACTGGGAAACTGAGGCACAGAGAGGGGCATGGATTTGGGCATTGGTCCAGGTTATGAAGCACATCCACCAGGGTGGCCCAGGACCCAAAACTCTTTCCAGTGTCTCCCACTCAGTCCCACATGGGGACACCTGGAACCCTCTGCCTTTTGGGAGGAAGAGCCCTGAATCTCAGGGTGAGGACAACTTTGCCCTAAGGATCACTGCCACCCCCACACCAACCTAGGCATGCTGGCTTTTCGGTTTCAAAGTCCCTCTGCCCTTCCCCCATCTGGCTCTGTGCTGGGGAGGGGCAGAGGCTGGGCTCAAATTCCTCCCTCCTCAGAGAGTAGCCTAACCGTCTCCCTGCCTCTCCTGAATGCCCAGTGAATTATTCATCCATTTGCCCATTTGATCTTGAGTTCATTCACTCAGCCAGTGATCCACAGACACCGTCAGTGTGCGTGGCTCTTTAGCTGTCTGACAAAATTCACACCTTCTTGCTTCCTTCTCAGGGCAGCAACCTTTATGATTCTAATCTGCTTATTGTGGTTCCCAGGCCTGGCTTGGCACAACATTGTCCAGAGTTGCTTTTTAAAAATACACAATCCTGGATCCTACCCCCAGATTCTGTAGGTCAGAGAAGAGGCCCAGAAATCTGGCTGTTTTAAAGCTCCTTAGTGATTCAGAGTTCAGCCAAAGGCATATATGGTAAGGGTTCGGCTGTGGGGAGAGGAGGAGGACAGGCCAATCAAACTGATACCCTCAGAGAGAATGAAAGCCCCAGCCCCTCCCCTCCATGCACTGTGCCTCATCTAGAGGGCTAGGCCTCACCAGCTCAAGAGCCCAGCCCAAGTCCATGTTTACTCCAGTTAGGAGGAAAAGTGAAGGGAGAGGATGGACCAGACTCTGATCTTCAATTGCCACCAACAAAACTGGGCTCTCATGCCCTTGGGGAAACTTCTCTGACACCGACACTGGAGACGGGGCTCCACATAGCCCCACCCTTAACCCCCACACAGGGTGCATGGAGCCACTCCTGCCTGGACCCCAGCCAGCCCCAGACTTCAGGCACTGCACCCCGGCCCACAGTCCCAAAGTCCAAGATGTGGGGCTGGGAGGCGATGTGTGATGAAAGCAGGAGGGTGAGCCCTGGCTCCCCACTCCTCCTATGCTGAGGTCGGAGGCTTGTGCCTCTCACAGCAGTTCCTCCTCCTCTCTCAGAAACTGCCTCGTGCATGCCTCCCACCTCCTCTCCTCCAGTAGGGAAGAAGCACCCCCAACACCCCTGCTCCACCTGCGAGGAGATGAGATGTGCCTGCATCACCTCTGTCAGCTCCGCACTCAGCACCGCCTCTCCCAGACCCTTCACTTGCATTTGTCTGTCTGTGCCACCACTCTCCAAACGTCTCTGCCAAGCCAAGAGCCCTCCCTCCACTCCACCCCACACCCAGGAATGCCGGGGAAGGGGAAGGTGGCGGAAGGGGTAAGATGACCCGGGAACGTGGCCACCTACCCTGGGTCTATGCAGAACCACACCCACTTGACCCCACATCTCTGTGTCCAAAACCCACCCTTGCCTGCCCCAGGGCGAGGAGCTGACAGCCTGTGGGGGGCGTCTTCTAAATGCCCCGGGGCTTTGGGAATGCAGCTGGAGCTTGCCCCTTTGCCTTTCTGGTTGGCAGTGTGCGGGGATGGGGTGGAGGTATGGGGGGGCCTTCCTCTTTTACATTGTCCTCCTCACCTTTCCCCTCTCTCTCCAGTCTCAGAAGTCTGCCATTATTTCCTTCTTAGTGGCCCACCCCTCCCACTGACTGAGTTCTCCTTCAACCCATGTTCCATCCCTGCACCCCCAACCCCAGGTTCTCACAGTCCATGCTCCAGTGTCCCTCCTTGGCGGGCCACCCCCACCCTGGCACCCCCAAGGCCAGGGCTGCATCTCCCATATCTCTCAGATTGCCCATCGTAGCAGAGGGCCAGTGGGAGGCTCCTCAGTACAGTGTCCTCTCACAGGCCTCTGGCATCCTAGCTTTCTAGTCCCACCAGACACTTGGTCTCAAAAGCCTGATCCCATACAGAACTGATCACTGGGCCTGGTGGGCCCAGCCCCCTACTTCTACACACCCTCCATCCCCACCCGGAAGTTGGCAATTTGGAGCTGAGTCCCAGAGACCAGAGTCCACTCACCCCTTCCCTCCCCACCCGTTCAGTGAAAGGAGACTGCCAGCAGGGCAAGGGTGACTCAAGTCCAACTAGGCCCAAACCTCTGGGGTGCCCTCCTCACCCAGCTGCCTGGCTAAGGTGTGGACGAAGCTCATCCACTGACCCAGAACTTGCCCACCCCTCAGTCCCAGAGTCAGCAACAGACTAACCCCTGCCCTCTGCCCAGCCCGGCGACCTCAGAGCCAGGGTCTACACTGAGAGCTGGGAAAGGAAGGGGGAGGGTGAAAGAAAGCAGGCGGAGGCGCAGGTTCCTGGAAGGCGTCTTTAATCAGGATTTGGTAGTACACAAGCTCTCCGGATTGTCTGCATTAACATACAGGGACTTAAAAAGGCACAAAATCCCTCGCACAGCGACGCGTGACGGCGGGGCGCCCCCTCCCCGCCCGTGCGCGGCCGTGTGCGCGTGGGTGCGTGTCCGTGTCCCACCCCCGTGGCGGCGCCGCGCGTGTGCGTGTCGGTTTCAAGTGTTGGATTTGTACAGTACTCGCAGTCTAGGGGCAGGGGGCTCAGTGCATGCTTTTCTACCCGGGCCTGGGGCCACCCCCCGACGCCGCTATGTACACTAAGGAGGACGCACCCCGGAGAGAGAGAGGAAGAAAAAAAGCGTCCCATCTTCGTGTGCGTGTGTGTGCGTGTGAGCGTGTGTGTGGTTTTGAGTTTTTCGTGCATGCTTCCGCTGGCCAGGGTCGGGAAATAGTGCAAGCGTATAATACAGTATTATTGCAGTACAAAATGGGGGGTCGAGGGAAGGACTTACGATGGGAGGGGAAGGCTCAGGAATAAACCGACTGGGACTCAGGACCTCCGCGAGGGTCCTCTCGCTAATCCCCTTCCTATCCCTCCCCTACTCCGCCCCCACCCCGCAATTAGAAGGCGTCTCCTTACGCAGGAAGGGGCTCAGCTGGGCCCCGGTGCTGAGTTTCTCTCTCCTACCAGTCCCGCTTCTCCGGGGGCAGGGGCCAGCCCCTCTCCTCGCTCGACACTGAGAACTCTGAGGGCCCGGAGCCCCGCCCCCTCCCCCACGGAAGCCCCTCCGAGCGGGGAGCGGGGTCGACGGAGCAAGTGCAAAGGAAGCAGATGTTGGTCCCTGAGTTTTATTTTCGGGGGTGGGGGTGTGGGAAGAGCTGGAAATGGGGGGGCATGTTTGGTGACCCCCAGGGCCCTCAGTGGTGGGGTGGGGCAGGGGACGCGGATTGGGGCGTGGGCAAAAAGGGGGCTGTTGGGTTGCTCTGAGAGACCTGGGCTCAAAGCTCTGCTCCCCCTCAACTCTGGGCTCTTTGGCATCCAATTGCAAGGCCAATTATTGGGGCGGGGTGGGGGGCAGCCCGACGGGCAGTGAGGTAACGGGAGTCAGGGGTGGGGCGACAGGGCCCTCCGAGCCTGGAGGCTTAGCCGAACGCCTCCGCCTGTCCCCATCCGCACCCCAGCCTGGCAGCACTGAGGGGAGCCCCACTCCAGCCCGCCCCCGCCCCGGGGCCAGGGACCCAAAGGCCGCCAGCCAGCAGCAGGGAAAAGCAAACGAAAACGGGCGCGAAGGCGGGGCGACGGGGGCGGCGGGGGACGCGAACCCAGGGGAAGCCTCGGCGGCGGGGTGGGGCGGGAGCGCGGCGGGGCCGAAGTCCGGCGGGGGGTGCAGGGCGCCGCGGGGCGCTGTGTGGGGCGGGCCGTACATTCGTGGCGCTGGCCGCGGGGGCGGGCGGATGGACGGGACCCCTGGCTTGGGGACCTGCGGGGGTCCGGCTGCGCAGTCCTCGTGCCCTCCCGGCCGGGGCCGCTAGTGCAGGGTCCGGAGAGTGGGCGAAGTGCGCGCAGCTACGGAGGGAGAGTGTGTGAGTGTGGGTGTGAGTGTGAGTGCGTGAGGGCCGGTTAGTGAGTGGCCAAGTGGACCCCACTGCCCGCACCCCCACAGCCTGTGCAGGGAGGGAGGGTGAGTGGTGGGACTGACGGCGGAGCCAAGCGGAGGAGAGTCTAGGAAGGTTGTAGGAAGGAGTCCTGTGGGCTCCATTTCCCCCTCCTCTCCACCCCTTCCCCACCCCTCATTTGGAGGAAGCGGGCACTCAGGCTTGGGGCCTCCTGGGCTGGGACGCCCACTGGATGGTGTGTGGGGAACCAGAGGGATATGGGAGGGTTGTGGCCCTCAGACCTGGAGCCCTTCCCTTAGGGAGAAGGATGCTTGACATTTTCAGGGGCTGACTGTATGGAGGGTGGGCTGGTTCCTGCCCCTTGAGTTGAGTGTGTCCCAGGTCTAAGTGGAGTTTGGGGTAGGGTGGGATGGGGTTCAGGCCCTCCGGAGAGATCTACACTTCCATCCCCAAGTACCACATCAACCCAAGGACAGCAGAGGATACAGCATTTTCCAGGCTCCCCACACACAGCTGGAGTTGCCCCCATCCCCGGTCAGAGCCACACCCTCCCCAAGTATGGTTCCCTCCACTGCCCACTCCATATAAATACATTTACACAGCTCCTTCTGCCTACCCAGGGGCCCAAGGCTCCCCCGACCACTGCCTGAGCAAGACAGCACCACCCCTCCCCAGAAAAAGGGATCTAGGCAGGACAGAAGAGAGAGCGAGTCCGGGTGTCCTGGGACCAGCATGGCTCAGAGGTGCCACCATCCCCCACCCACTAGGCAGGGCTGTGTCTGTTTTCCCCAAAACTGGAAATGCAAAGGGATATCGTTGGGTTCAGGATGTTAGCGGTTGGGATGAGTGTTCAGTGGTTATTGCTGTGACCCAAGCTGCCTTGAGTGTGTGGGGGATGTATATTGAGTTATCGAAAATTTACTAGCGCATTTGTCACGGACCCAGGGTCCTCAGAACATACCCTCTCCCATGGAGAAAATACTAGTCCCACCAGGAGGCCCCCACTCACCACAAAAAGGTCCACTGGCCCCCACACTCATTCAGGCACTTATGCACACCACATGTATAAACACAGCACACACCACACATCCCCACTGGCCAGGTTCGAGTTCCTGGGCAAGAACACTGTCGCCTTTGAGTGCTGCAGCCCTGGACAGAGGGTGGTGCAGGAAGTCCTCAGGCTCACAGTGGTTGCAAAATGAGTTTAGGCCACCTCTGCCTGTAAACCATTTTGGTTTGGTTCATACAGTGATTTTTCTTTTTAAAATTAGATGCCAACAATTAAAAATTGGGAGATTTCAAATAAAAATTAGAAGATAGTGGCAACAATTGGTTGAGCTGAGGATGGTATGGGCATGGGAGTTCCCCTGTTTACCACAGTCCCTGAACCTGCCACTTCCCTGACACTGTTTGGATCTTGTTGATGTACGAGTTGGTGACACCCATTCGGTGTTCACAGATGCCAGTGTCTTCCCCGTCTGTGAGTCTGACCCCTAGGACCTCACCAATCCCACTGAGGTCAGGCTTTGGAGCCCCTGCTTTCTCATGCTAACTCCTCCTCTGCCCACCTGATCCCCAGAGCTGCTGTGGGATGCTTGGGGCCATGTGGGATTGAGGGGTTGGAGGTCTCTGGAGAGACAGGGTCCAGCCATTTTAACCAACCCCAGTACTCTGGAGTGACTCCCATCTGGATGCCACCCCATGGCAAGGTGGGAATGGGAAAGGAAGGAAAATATGGCTTGCTGACAACTCCCCTCTTTTCTATAGACTGAGGAGGGGGCCCACCGCAAAGGACAATCAATCAACCAATACATAGACCAAGATGTTTCACAAACTCTGTCAAACAAGACCTCAGATTATTCGGCATGGGTGGGTTTTTTATATGTTCTGGTAAATAAAATGTTCTGATTAATTTGTTGAATGCAGATAATACTGGGATCTACCTCATAAGCTATCATGAGGTTTAAATGAGTTAATTTTGTAAAGTGCTTAGATCGCTGCCTGGCACATAATAAGCACTGTGTGCCAGTGGCTATTAAATAAAATCACAAATAATTGTAAGCCACCACTAAATGCAGAGTGAGACTATGAAGTGCGAAAACACCACTTTCAAAATACAACAAAGACAGCTGTCTCTTTTCAAAGCTGACCCCGAGGAGGCTACACGCTTTCCCCAAGCAGGGTATCAATCTTGAAACATTCTGGCCTTCTCTTGGGAAATGCTTCAGAAAACAAGAGTGACAATATTGCAGGCTCACAGCATCCCCACCTAGCCTGGGAACCGGAGACCAGCAACTCGACCCAAACCATGTGAAGCTCTGCCGAGCTTCACATGAACTTAATCCAACACAAGTGGCTTAGATGACCTTAACAATCTCCAAGAGTCAAAGCCACCCCGAAAAGATAATATTATTAAGATCACCTGTTAGCTCAGAGCTTTATGGCTTACAAAACACTCTCCCCTCCACCATGGAGGATATACAAAAGGATGTCCCCCTAAAGGACAACATGCTTTGAACCATGGCCTTGCTTTAAAGGACACACCCTCTCCCACAGGTGTCAGTTCTGAGGTGGGGGGTGTGTGTTTGAAAACTCAGCCGCCTTCTCAATGCTGGATCTCCCACTTCCAAAGGCGTTGGAAACAGTAATATGTATGTAATGCTGAAATGAGGCTGAAGCCAGTGCCATCATCTTCAATATTTCACAAGGCACTTTGGGATCTTAGAGTACCTCAGGGTTCTGGTCACTGAGATGGAGCTGTGCTCAGGGTTGAGTAGTGGAACCCTCTAGAAGGGAATGCTGGATCACAGAGTGCTTGGTTTCATCCAACCCCAGATTGGGTGGGGGGGCCCTTGCCCACACTGCTGCTGACTTATGGAGCAGATGGTGGGCAGGTTCCCTTCACTTCACCTCCTGCCACTACCTGGGGTGGATGGGAAGAGGGCAAGAGGAGGTGGCTGGGGGAGGCAGTGCCAGCAGGAGGGGAGTGGGGCCACTGTTCAGCCTCACCCCCTCACCTTTGTGCTTTTTGTTTTCTGTCCCTTCTCAAAGGGTCCACCTTGACCCTCTCCTGCCTACTGCCTGAGCAGGGTGCAAAGCCATCCAAAACAGCCCAGAGGGCAACAGAGGCTTGGGTTTGGGGAGATTCAAAAGTGAGCAGCTGAGATGGGGGTGGGGGTGGGGCACAAGTATTAGAACCCAAATCTGGCTTTTGTTGCCAGATGGAGAAGGTGCTCTTGGCCCAGACATCCTCAAAAATAAATAAATAAATAAATAAATAAATAAATAGACTTACAAAGAAAGATTTTGGGGAAAGGAGTGTGTGACTATGGAGTGGCTTATGTGAATGGTGTGGATGAGCCATACCACAATGGTGGCCCTCTGTGTGGACAGTTTGGCTCCAGGGCACTGCCCACCACACTTATGGCACCCCCAGGCAGGGGCCAGGGCCCTGAGGCCTCTACTCTAACCAGAGACATCTGGGGAATTGATGGGCCAAGCAGAGGTTACAGGGAGAGAGGGGTAGAAGAGTGAAGCTGGGATGAGAGTAGCTACATAGGAAACTACCAATGACTGCATAGACATCTTTCTGGCTCCCTAACACACATGTGCATACACACACTCATACAGCACTGTGCAACTTGCGCACGTGCCAGTCACATTGAGGTCTATGTAAATGGCACTTCCTGGAATTACACAGTGCACAGCCTGAGCATTCATCCATGGCAGCCCTTCCACATGCACAAACGCTCATTCGTAAGCACACTCTTATGCACAAGTGTACGCGCATGCACACAAGCAAACATACAGACACAGTCTCACTGAAATAAACATTTTGCAAATCTTTGGGCCTCCTCCCCTCCCCATACAGGCACGGCCCTTTCTAGTACCCACTTCACTACTACCGCATTCCCCAGGGGAACAGAGGTGCTGGCTGACATGGGCAGGATGAATAAAGGGAAACTTGGGCTCCCTGCAGTGAAGGTTGGGGGCTGAGAAATGGGCAGAAGAGGCAGGCGCAAGCTGGCATCCTGACACTTCCCCACTCCCAAGTGTCCAGATCCCTATCCAACCTGCCTCTCTTCTGCTGTGTCTTCACCACCGCCCTTGGGGCTGACCGAGCACCTACAGGAAGGAGTCACCTTCTGAGAAGGGCAGAGGTGGGGCTGCTCCCGCCTGGGATTTGTCCTGAGACACTGGTTTTGCTGACAAGCACATGGTTTCTCACGTCATCCTTAACAACCACCTTAGCTGCCACTGCTTCTAAGCTGGGTCTCCTCGTTGCTCAGTTCCAGCCTGCCTTGGGAGGTGGATCCCAGGCCCCTCTCATCCATCCTCAGTTCCTGAGGAGCCGAGGACAGACACCCAATCCTACCAGGGAGTGATGGCACAGGTGTCTTGGGGGAGGGGCAGCCTACCATGGACTGAGCCTTCCTGGGGTAAGATGTGTGAGGAGAGAACTCTGTCCTCAATGATGATGGCCTGAGAAAGTCTCGCTAGGTCACAGGGCTCCTCCCCCGATCACTGAGCATTGAAACACTCCCCACCACATTCCAAACCTGGCTGTCCTGGCCTCCATCCATACACAGGGACACACACACACACACACACACACACACACACACACACACACACCATGCAAGGAGGGTCTTGGCCTCCCGCCAGCCCCTCGGGGTGGATCAGACCCAGCCATGCCAAGAGATCACAAATTAAACAGAACAAAGCCCATACCAGAGTGCCTCTGGCCCTGCAGGCCTCATCTCCCTGACACCTCTCTTTCCACTGGACTCTGGACCCATCAGTGGCTCCAGCTGAGCGCCCCTGCCCTGTCCTGGAAACTGTACCACCAGCCCCACCCCTCCCTGCACCATTTGGCTGGCACCTACAAAGGGAGCTGATGGGGAGGTGGGACGGAGACTCTGCTTGGGGTGGGAGTATTACAGTACCTTGGGCCAACGTTCTAGGGGGGCTGTATTGCATGATGGGGTGGGATGGGATGTGTGAGTGTGTGATTATTGCGTCCTGGGAAGGAACCATGGTCCTCTGCCTGCTCCCCACCCCCCCCCACCTGCCCCCTCCAGGAGGGGGGGGGCCCAGCCTAGGTCTTGTGGGTGAACCGGGCCCACACCTGCTGCAGCTGGGACCGCGAGATGCGGAGCACCGAGGGCATGAGTCTGTGGTTGCCAGCAGCGAGGGGCGCGTGGCGCCGGTGGGGCGCCCGCACAGGGCTGCTCTCAGCCGAGCGGCTGCGCTGAATGAGGGAACCGGAGGAGCCCGAGGAGCCGCCGCCGCCGGGGTGAGGGTAATGCTCCGTCTCCAGCGTGGAGGAGGAGAACACGGAGGACGCCAGTCGTCGCAGGGGGCTGTACCGCGGGAGGGAGTGCCCCGAGAGTCTGTCCTCCTCCAACTGAAAGAGACCAAGAAAGTGGAGGGAAAAGAGGTGTCAGGCACAGACTCGACAGCTCCGTCTCCGGGGCCACCCACCGCTCACAGCCCCTGCGGCGCCGGCGTCCCGGGCAAGTGGGCGGGGTCAGGCAGGGTGGAGGAGGGTGCAAACCACCCGCCCCAAGGTCCTGCCTCAGAATCTAGGCTCTGGCCTCCAACGCCCTTCCCCCTCCTCCTTCTCTCTGGAACTTCTCACACTATGGTCTCTGCAAGGAGACCATGGTCACTCACCTCCTCCGAGAAGCCTTCCTGGCTTAGTCCTACCTAGCTCAGGGTTGTTCTGGACTGGGGAACCCTTTCTCTCAGGAACGTGGCTGTGTGCTCTGAGAGAGTTCCTTGCCATGTGTTGACAGCTGTGTGTGGCATGTCTCCCCAGCTAGATTCCGTGCTACTCATTAGGGCTCAGAAACTTTCCCTGTACACCCTCCGCCTTGGCACCCCCGCCCCATCACAGGGAGGTGTTGGGATCGGGGTGACCATGCGGCATAAGGTGGTACTCTAGAGCCCAATTACTCGTGTTTGAATCCCAACTCCACCACTTAAAATCTGAGTGACCTTGAGCAAGTTACTGCACCTCTCTGAGCCTCAGCTTCCTCCTCTGTAAAATGGGGGTCATAATGGTGCCCACCTCAAAGGGTGGTCGTGAGGATTCGATGTTATAAGATGTGCAGTACTTGGAACAGCACCCGCCATGGAGTAAATGCTGTGCTCTTCACTGAGCTATTTTAGTATCTAATTTTAAATCACTCTTCCAAATGAGGGAAGGGATGGACTCGTAGGAGGAGGGGCAAACTGAAGTCATTTCTTGAAAGTGGCTTTTTCCCTGCCCCCTCAAAGTCTGAGCCACCAGGCAGCTTGTGTACAGGGCTGGGCAGAACTGCTGCCTCATCGCCTTCTGGAAGAATCCTGCTCTGTGCCCCCATGCCCTCCGAGTGAAGTGGAAGTGTCCCAGATATGTGGGGGTAGAAATGGCGCCCAGGGTGTTACCAGACCTCTCCCAGCCTGACCCTCTCTCTTCCTGAGACAGAGGCCAGTTGAAATAGCTTTTACAGCAGCAGCAAGGACTGCCTGGGCCAGCTCCTCCAGGAAGGAGGGGGCCTGGGACACTCAGCCCCAGCATCCCTTGCTGCTGTCACATGGGGGCACAAGGGACTTGGCATGGAGCCTCCAGCAGAGTAGGGAAGAGGGAGAACATTCTAATAGGACTGGCTTTGCTCCCACCTTGCTTTCCGTTTCAGCTTCTTTTTGGCCAAGTCTAGGATCCTTCTGAGCTAGTCCCATCTGCACCAAGGGTTAGGGGTCTAAGGCCCACCCAGAGAGGCCAAGGGACAGAGGCACCACCATTGCCCAAAGCCCCCTCTCACAGCACATGTGGGTGGCTTGAGTTAACATTCCAGCCAGAGTTTGCTCAGCTGCCAGGCAGAAGGATTTTCATAGGATGGCATTGAATCCCAGAGGGCTCTTGCCCTTCAGATTGGGCACCACTTGTGGCCACCTACTTGTCTTCAACACCAGTTGAAATATCACCTCTGTGAGACCGCTCCAGCTCCCTCCCCTGCAAGCTCCCAGCTTCTAGCAGATAAGAGTGCTCTGTTATCTCCCTGATGGACCTGGATTGTTAACATCTTTCTAGACCTTTGCATCTCCACCCCACTGCTTGTGACCTTGAGCTCCAAAAGGGCAGGACTGGGCAGCTTTATTCATCTTTGTCCCCCAGCCCCTAGCACACTGTCCAGCACGTGGCAGGGAAATGCTTTGGTGGCTGCCGGGCAGTGTCTGTGTACTCAGCGCATGCTGACCTGCTGTGCTATCGGTCAGAGACAACCGGTAAAGGCAGGCAAACAGCCCTCCCCCAGATCACACACTTGCTAGCCTGCTTCACCCTTGCCCTAGCTTTTCCCGCAACTCCTAATTTGCACCTTAAATTTCCTTGAGAACAAAGCCAGGTGTGAAAAAAGAAAAAAAACAAAAACAAAAAAACCCACCATCACCAAAGAACAATAGATACTTTAAAATTGTGCCTGCTTTCACACTGTTTCCCTCCCGGTTCCCCACATGTGCAGGTGACAGAGTTGTAGGTGCTCATAGTTTAAATGATTGGTGTTATGAGGAAGTTCACACATCAGGCACTGAGAAAATTGAGGTAGGTCTAGAGAGGGCGCCTCCAAAAAGGTGGTGGGAAAGAGGGAATTCAGCAGAGACTTCCTGCCTGCCCTGAGCCGCATAATCTCCGCCTGTGGGTGGAGAGTCCCAAAAACTGTGATTCTAGGAAGCAGCCAGATTTGGGAGGTCCTGCCATAGGCCCAGGCTGGGCTCACCACTTCCTTCAGGCCAGCCCAAAGACAGAAGAAAAAAATAGGCCAGTCCATTTCTCCCTGCTCCTCTACCCTTGATGAAGGAAGATCTCTGCTTCACCCCGCTGTCCTGAAGTACTTGGCGAAACATGTTGTACCCCATATGTTCATCCAGAGACACACACAGAGGCTGCCCTGCACACTGACATGGCCACAGGCACACCTGCTGACATGGCCCAGACAGTGGGTATGCACAGAACACACACACACACACACACACACACACACACACACACACACACACACACACACGCATGCTCCAGGCTCTCTCTGATCCTGCACAAACCATCTGCTCTCTCTGGCCTGTATGTTTTCTGTTAAACTCACAGACCTCAGGCTGGGCGCGATGGCTCACGCCTGTAATCCCAGCAATTTGGGAGGCCGAGGCAGGCAGATCACCTGAGGTCAGGAGCTCAAGACCAGCCTCAACATGGAGAAACCCCGTCTCTACTAAAAATACAAAATTAGCCGGGTGTGGTGGTGGTGCATGCCTGTAATCCCAGCTTCTCGGGAGGCTGAGGCAGGAGAATTGCTTGAACCTGGGAGGTGGAGGTTGCAGTGAGCCGAGATCACGCCATTGCACTCCAGCCTGGGGAACAAGAGCAAAACTCCGTCTCAAAAAAAGAAAAAAAAAAAATTCACAGACCTCAGACGGAATGGCTCAGAGCTCAGCTCTCGGAACGAGTTGCCTGGGTTCAAGTCCCGTTGCTAACACTTACCAGCTGGTGGTCACCAGCTGAGCTAAAAACTTTGCTTCTCTGAGTCTTAGTTTTCTTACTTTTAAAATCAGGATTCCCTGTTCACAGTGTTGTTGTGAAGAATATACATGTAAACATGAAAGTGCTTAGGACAGTGCTAACTATTGTTGTCATTATTAGAATTATTACTCCAATTGTTACCATCAATAGAAATGCTTTGACATTCTAGGCATCTGTGGTTCTGTACACACTTGCAGACCTGCTGCATATTCTACACAAATGCAATAATGTGTGCACCCACATGCAGGCACATACATGTGGACACATCCATCCACCAGTGCACAGCTCGAGCTCCGCTGACACAAACGCACATGCACAGGGGCAGAGTGCTAACCAACCTCGATTCTATACACTGTGGGGAACCCGAGGCCCACAAACACCTCACCCCCAAAGACACACACAACTCATCTCTTGCTGACATAGGTAGTGCCAGTCCCTGTCACAAGCAGGACCCGAGCCCGAGACTGATTACAGAATCGGCCTGTGCTTCCCCACCCCACCAAATCTCTCTCTCCCCACCCGCTTGGCCAGAATTCCCCAAAGTGAGGATGAGTCCCAGGACACAGGTAGGAATCTGCAGGTAAGAAAAACTTTAGAGATGAACCTCGGAAGAACCTCAGCTCCCTCACCTGGAGACCCAGAAAGGGACACTGACTGGCCCTCAGTCACTGGGAAGGGAACGGCAGAGCCAGGTCCAGACCTCAGTCTCCTGACTTTAATTCTCGGCTCTCTCTTGACACTGTCTGTCACCCTCCCTAGACTCTGCACTTCCTACGGGTACAACCTATTGTGCAAGTCACCTCTGATGCCTGTGGTACATGGCACACAGTAAATACTCAGTGAGTGTGGATGAATAAACGGGAGCGGAGCAAGGACCCCAAACACATTTTGCTCCCTCTCCTGCTGCCTGGTGCTGGGTGTGGTGGGAGCAATGGCTAGTTACAACGCAATGGTGCCAGCCCACTTGACTGCCAGGTCTGCCAGGGCTGCTCCTCCAACTCAGGCCAGCTAGGGCCTCTCTGGGTGAGGACTCACGGGCCCCACTTTTTGAGCCCCCAGTTTCCAGTGTCCAGGCAAGGCCTGGATGCATACTCCCCAGGATCACAGCTCAGAGGTCCTCTCTTCTAGAAGGGACCTCTAGATAGGGATGGGGTCTGCATACACTCCTGCCCACAGCTGCTTTTCCCAGGGCACCCATGTGATCCCAGGCAAGGCCTCCCAATCTGAGCAAGTGGTAGAACTGGCCCCTGGCCCAACACCTGGGCACCTCCCAGAGCCACCTAGAGTGTACGCCCCCAATGTGGGACCACTATGTGGAACGCGGCACAGCCCCTGAGCCCCTTCCGGCATCCCCTCCATGACTCTCCCCAGCCCCTCTGTGGGTTCATGGACCCCATTTGGAGTTTTCCTCCATTTCCCAGGTCAGAGTTCAGCCTCTGTCCCACACAGCAAAGCCTGGTCAGGCCAGTGGCTCTCTGCCTATTCTGACACCCTGTCCTTGTCAGAATAACCTAAATATCATGAGACATTTTGCAATTTGGCCACCATCTGGCCCCTCCCTGCCCTTCCAGCCTTGTTCCTCAGTCCTCCCACACAAGGAGTTGCCATTGCAGCCAGACTGGGCTCTCCCAGGGCACCCAACACACCTGTCCCTGTGCTCAACTATAGTCTCTCTCGCCTTGGCTCCACTCCTCCCCACGGCCATCCACCTGGCTCTCAGAGCTCACCTCCTCCATGAAGCCCGCCCTGATCATGGGAACCACTTCCCACTCCTCCCTGCTGCCCTCCAGACCTCTCCTGCCCTGATTTCGAGGACCTTCTCCCCTGTGCTCCTCCCATGCTCCGACCTCTCCCTCTCACTCATCATGCAGAGCTCCTTCTCCTCTCATTCCCCCTAGATGTGAGCACCTCTCAGCTTCTGCCCTCACTTTTGGGTTCCACACCCTGCACAGTCCTTTTGGGTAACATCACCCATTCCCATGGTTTCCCAAACCCCGAAATCTGTATTTCCAGGCGAGATCCCTCTCCTGAGCCTCAGGTGCCTACACGTGGACATCCCTTAGATTCCATGAAGTTATTATATTTATTTTATTTTATTTTATTTTATTTTGAGTCAGAGTCTCGCTCTGTCACCCAGGCTGGAGTGCAATGGCACAGTCTTGGCTCACTGCAACCTCTGCCTCTTGGGTTCAATCAATTCTCATGCCTCAGCCTCCCAAGTAGCTGGGATTACAGGCAGGCACCACCACACCCGGCTAATTTTTTGTATTTTTAGTAAAGATGGGGTTTCACCATGTTGGCCAGGCTGGTCTTGAACTCCTGACCTCAGGTGATCTGCCCACCTTGGCCTCCCAAATTGCTGGGATTACAGGCCTGAGCCACCGCACTGGTCAGATCATTGTATTTAAATCTGAATTCTCATTCCCTTCAAAACCACTCAGGGCATCAGCCGAGACACGAGACGCCCTGGCCCCCACTCCATCACAGCCTGCTTGACCTATCCCCAACACCCTTGGCACTATCCACCTTGCCCCACATCCACAGCCCCACCTCAGCCCAAGCCACTGGGACACTCTCTTGCCACTGCCTGCCACGTGGCCTGCTTGCATCTCATTTCAGGCCATTTCAATCCATTTTCCACACAGCAGCCTAAGGATCATTCAACAGTACCAATGTAATCATATTGCACTCCTGTTTAAAAGCCTTCAGTGGCTCACCAAACCTGCAGCATCAAGTCCTGGCCCCTTAGTATAGCCCCAAGTCCCTCCGTGGCAGGGCCCAGGGCTGACCTCACAGCCTTGTCTGCTGCAGTGTGCCATCAGCTCAGTGTTCTCAGATCGCCCCCTCCCGGCCTGTGCAAAACACTGTGCCCGTGGCCTGCGAGGCCCTTCTCCTGCCTTGTCACTTGGCTTCACTGCTCATAGTGCCAGACTCAACTCAGAACTGAGAGGGCACTTCCTCTGGGAAGCCTTGCCTGCCCCTCAAACATGGTTTCAGACCCTTAAGCCTGTCTACCTCCATCACAGCCCTGTGACTGCTGGCTTACTGGTCAGTAGTGCCAGCACACATGGAGCACCCCAGGCCTACACACCAGGACTCTGGGCATCTGGAGATGGGGAGTGGGGTGCAAGCCCAACCTTACCTGTCTCTGTGGGCCTGTGGGGTCCGACTCTCTCCGTCGAGGGCGGGGTCCCGAGTGCAGGGGTGAGTGGGAAGGGCTGCCAGGCGTGGGGGGCTGTGACGTCTCGGAACGGCCATCGCCCTGGCTCAGCTGGGGTGGCAGGGGCTGGGGCGGCAAATGCTGCAGGTCCTCCTCCGCCAGCGCCTGCATGCTGCGTCCCCGGGGCCGGACGGTGGGCTCTGCCCCCAGCCGCCGCCGCTCTTCGCCCTCCTCGGGCAGTGGCCGCAGCTCCTCGGGCTCCTCATCCGTGGTGCCCGATGTGCTGGGCTCAGCCCCTGGAGGGAAGTCCTTGAGCTCCGTCTCCTTGTCGATGATGACCCACTCTTTGCTGTCGAAATCCTCCTCCTCAGCCAGCGGCACCGAGCGGAAGGCGTTGCTCAGGGCCTCCTGCTCCACAGAGGCTGACACGTCCATGCGGCCACTGGCCTGTCGGTCAGCGTGGCCTGTGTCCACTGACAGCATCTGGGCTGGCTGAGAGGAGCAGGCCTGGCGCGAGGGCGAGCCAGGCAGATCCATCCGTGACCTGCAAAGCCACCCCTCACGGGGCTCAATACCTGGCCCCACTGGACCCCCAAGGACCCCACGCCAGCGGCAGGGTGGGGCGTGACTCCCAAAACCTCCTGACCGCAGTACCCCTCCCACCCTGAGCCAGGCCAGTTACCTCTAGGTTGTCACCCTCCAACCTCACTTCCTATCAAGGCTTTGTTAGTTCGTTTGTTAGTTCGTTCGTTCATTCATTCATTCATTCATTCAACAAATGTTTTTGAATGCTTACCGTGCTCCAGGAATACAAACAAGCAGAAAATAAACTCGGGTTTCTGTGCAAGGAACGCTCTCTCCTGGGCCACCCTAGGGAAGCTAATCTTCCTCAGGCAAGCTTTGTTCTTGCCTCTCCAGTGCTCACACCCGCCAGTGGCTGCTTCCTGCTGCTTCCAGGCAAACACACCCAACTGGCCCTTGAGTTTACAGAGGGCTTTCCAGCCTCCTCTGCCATCACCCTCCAGGCCTGCCTGGCTGGTTTCATCACCCCCAAGATGGCCTTGCTAGTCCCAGCTCAACAAACTCCAGTGACTCCCCGGCCCCAACAACAAAGTCCACATTCCTTGGTTTACACTCAAGGCCTCTCACAGCCTGAATACAGCTGTCTCCCCATTTCCCTCACCAGCCCCATCTCAGATTCCACCCTTACGGCCCACCCCCAATGTAGCCTCTCCCCACAGGACCTCTCCCCACACACAGCCTGTCCTTCTACCCTTTGCTGTCTGATACAGGTTGGCTGTCACCTTGGGCAGGTAGCCTGCCTTTCCCATCCTACAAGGATTAGTGCGTTCTATCTCTCTCTCATCACAGGGTGAACCTCATGTCTGTCACATAATCTGTCTCCCCAAGAGACTGTGAGCTCTGCTGCGCAGGGCCTGGGTCCCATCTGACTTTACCCCAAGGGCATTGATCCTGCCTTGGGACATCTCTTCTGTCGTTATCTTTTTTTTTTTTTTTTTTTTTGAGACAGAATCTGTCACCCAGACTGGAATGCAGTAGCATGATCTTGGCTCACTGTAACCTCCACCCCCCAGGTTCAAGCTATTCTCCTGCCTCAGCCTCCTGAGTAGCTGCGCTTACAGGTGCACACCACCACGCCTCCCTAATTTTTGTATTTTTAGTAGAGATGGGGTTTCACCATGTTGGCCAGGCTGGTCTCAAACTCCTGACCTCAGGTGATCCACCCACCTTGGCCTCCCAAAGTGCTGGGATTACAGACGCGAGCCACTGTTCCCAGCCTCATTATATTGAACTGTGCTGTGAATCTCACATTACTTTCAGAGCTTCTCAACTTGGGGTCATGCCAGCCCCAAGAGGAGGATATTTCTGATTGTACAGTAGTGTGTGTGTGGGGAGGTGCTACACAAGAAAGAATCGCCCTCTCTCAAATGCCAGGGTACCCCACTGAGAGCCAGCACGGAGGCCTAACCTATCTGGGGTTTGTGCCACTCCCTCACATTCAGGCTGTGGGCAGGGGGCTGACTTTCATTCTCCCCCAGCATCGAGCCTGTGGTTCAATGGCTCTTCAGCTGCAGAGGCAGGGGTGCAGATCAGAACTGCCTGTGGGGCTTCCTTAAAATACCACCACCCCAGCCTACGTGGGACCTGCCCAGTCTGACTGTGCACAATATTTTCATTGACTTGTTAATAAAGACTTAAATAAAACATCCTTGAGAGAGGCCACCTAGGGTCTTATATTTATGCTCCCATGTCAATGGCTGATATCATTTCCTTTCTGAGGCACAGTTTGTTTTGATGGATGTAAAGGGGAGAAAGGGTGCCAAAGAAGGCTCAGGGCTAGTGGTGCTTGTGCGTGTGTGTGTGTGTGTTTGCATGTGTGTGTGTAATGGGAGCTCAGACGGAGGGTTGGAGACAGGAGACAGTGGGGTGGGAAATCCAAATCTCAACTGCTTTTGTACTGTCTCCTGCTCCCGAGTGCCCCAGAGCCCATCCAGACCCTCTGCTGTCTATGATATCCTGTTCAGCCCTCAACTTTCTCTACCATCCCTGCAACTGGGGTTCACTGTGAGCCAAACCAGTTTGCTTCTTGTTTTCTAAAAGCAGGCAGCCCTTCAGGACTGTCTCATTCAAGGCATTTCCCACCTCTCTTCTCCACTCATATCCCTTCCCAAACTGCCTTTCCTCATTTCTCCGTCTCCAGGGAGAGGGACTCCAGGCTACCACAGACAAAAATGGTGGTCTTCAGTCCTACGTAAGCCAACCTGTGTGAGTGTGTAAGGACTGAGGTTGCTCACAAGGAGACACACAGAGTGGATGCCAGAAAGGATACCCCTCCTATCCCCAGGACTGGGTCTTTGGAAGAGACCCCTTTTCTGGTGCAGAGAAGGCCCCAGTCCTACTGTGGAGTGAAGTCCCACTCAGAGGCCAAGGGAAGATGGAAACATCTCTCAGGGGCCTCCCCACCTGATGTTGTCCCACCCACCACCAGCACAGATGGGGACCGGGCCCTGGCCCTTGTTGTCCACCCACCATCCGAGGTCAACAGACCATTCTCCCACCCTCCCATCTTCACCTCCTAAAGGCTCACCTAGCTTCTCAATGCTCCTTTTCCCCAACTAGGTTCCCGCTGGTCCCCTCCCCTCTGTGACTTCAGATCCTTCAGCCCTAACCCCCAAAACTTGCCCTGCTCTCTCTTCCAGCAATTCCCAGGCCCCCTCCCCCAAAGCTGAAGAGAGCCTACCTCAGCTGCACTTGAAGTGTCTATAATTAGTCTCTAGGAGAAGAGATTCTGGAAGCACACACACCCACCAACCAACTCGCCCCTCACCCTTCCTGGGCCCAGGCGCCCCACCTGTCCCTCCTGCAGCCTGCACTCACCCAATTACGTTTCCTGGCATGAGCCGGGACCTCTCTGGATCCCCCACTGGTTCTCCCAGGCCCTGTCTCTGGCCCCAACTGAGTCTGACCCCAGGCCCAAGTATAACCCTCTCAGCACTTCCCAGGGTCTGCCCACCTCCGCCACACATCTAACTTTTCCTCCAGACCAGCCACGTGAAGGCGGAGAGGGCCTTGGGCCCCAACCATGCCCCTGGCCCCAGACCCACCTCCTCTCAGGTAGCTCCACTCGCCCGTCCGCCGTGGACAGCCTTTCTGACTCAGGGCTGTTCACCCTCCGGTAGCGCAGAGAACGGACTGGGGTTGTGGGGGAGTCTGGGGGGGCACGCACTGGGGAGCTGGGGACCCCCATGCCTCGGCTCTGTTCCTCCTCCACACAGGGGCTCTGCAGGAGAGGGGAGTGCCATGAGCTGGGGCTGATGAGGCGGCTGTGGGCGGATGGTCTCCTCAGGGTGAAGGAGACAGAGGATGATGATGATGGAAGACACAGCGAGGCTAGTGCGGGGAGGGACCGGGAAACAGAGGCAGGGCAAGCAGGCAGATGGCCGGGGACAGGGTGCTTAGGAGGAACAGGGCAGGGGCACAAGGCTGGGAATCGGGGGTGAGAGAAAAGGCCACCCACGCCCTTCGCCCTGGCGGCAGTTACTTTGCCGATGTTGATCCGGAGTTTGTTCCGGTTGACATCTGTCTCCTCCCAGACTTCAGCCTCAGGACCCCCGGGGTGGGGGACAAGGTGGGGACTGGGGCCCAGCCCCTCAGAGGGCCTCCCGGGCAGAATTGGGGGTGCATTCTCCTGGTCACTCAGGTGCTCTCCCTGTAGCACATCCTCGGTGTTCTCCCGGAGCAGGTCCCCAGGCACTGGCGTCACATTGACCACCCTGGAGAGGGCAGGAGGGAGCCATGGGCAAGGCTGGCAGGGGTGCCCTCTCCTTCCATGGCCCTCTCCTACCAGCACAGACCTGGAGACCACCCCCAGGAGCGGGCACAGAGGCAGTCCCGTCAGGGGTGAGAGTGTCCCTAGGCCCATCACCATTGCTGGCCCACAAAGCCTCTGAGACCAGACGACCCTCAAGTTGGCAGGGGCCACAAGGAGATGTAGCCATCTAGCTCTGTTGACTTAGTGGATCCTGCTGTCGTTCAAGGACCTGCCAGATTTCCATTGGCGTTCACTGTCTGGCTTCCTTTAGACCCAGGAATGGGTCTAAAAAGGAGAATCACTTTGGAGATCCTTTTAAATTTAGTTTTCTTTTATTATTATTTTGCAGTCTGGGAGCATAGATTGAAGTTGCCCTGAATATACACTTAAATTTTTTTTTTATTTAATCTTCTTTGATGATTAAACTTTCGAGTTCTTTAAGCAATGTCTGTATGGAACTGGGCACTGTAATGTGCTACCAACTCCTGTTAAGTCTCCTTCCTAAATGTGTCCCCTGAAGCCCCTGCCCACCTCTCTCCTTGGCTTGCTCCTGGGGCTGGGTGGAGAGCCCCTTCTAACTCCAGCTCCTCCCTCGACCACCTCTGTCTTTGTGCCTGTCACATGGTTCTGAAATTGCTGACCCATCGATTTCAAACATCCCAGACTCAGCTGAGAGTGCTTTGGGGGCAGGAGCTGTAACTTTCAGGTGTATGGCCTCAGGACATGGCTGTTAAATTCATGCATATGAATGATAAGAAACAGATAAACTGTGGGGCTCAGGTAATTTCGCTTAGGGTTCCCTGCTCCCCCAGGGACCCACTAAGGTTAAAAACTCCAAATGAGGAAGATGCCCACTCTATGCTCAGATTGAGGGTGGAGATGTGGCAGAGTTTCCCAAAGTCCCAGAACTCCACTAAGGATAGGAAAGATAGCCAAGTGTGTCCAGATAGGAAGAGAGGAGAGGAGAGGACCGCCTGCCCTCTTAGGTAACAGCTCCAGGCAGGGGCTGGTGGCTCGCCTTCCTGAGACTCACCCAAACATGGCTGCCGTCTGCCGGGTGTTCTGCTGGGGCGGGGTAGAGGTGCTCGTGGACAGGAGGGCATCGGTGCCTGCCTTCTCCCAGTCAAAGGCCTCATTCTCGGCAATGCCCCTCTCCTTCATGCTGTTCTCAAACACTGACATGATCAACTGCAGGGGGTGAGGGTGATGGGAGGACAGAGAGGTGATCCGGGGGCTAGCCAGGAGGAAGGGGCAGTTGCTGGGATCATAGGAGGAAGACAGGGACTTTCCAGGACAGGAATGGGCCTGGAGGGGGCATTGGAAGGAGAACGGCACATTGATTTTAAATGAAAACATGCACATGATATGCAAATCAACATGCAAATTATCATCTTGGATTAAGCCCCACTGACTGGACATGAACCCTCTGAGATCTGTCCCCTGGTTACCATCTTCAAACCTCCTCTGCCATTTCCACCATGTCAGCAACCCTAAACCACTGGGAGTTTCCAAACCCATGCATGGGGTGCTGCCTCTGCACAGACTGCCCCTCTGCTGGGGCGCCCCTCCCACTCATCCTCTCCTCTCTGCAGCTTCCCTTCTCTTCACCGTAAATTCTCTCCACCATACAGCTGCCCTACAGGGCACAGTGCATCAGTTTGAATTGTCCACATGCCTATCTGTCAACTCTGCATCCCTAGCAGCCAGCACAGGGCCCCAGCCTGGGGGGTGCTCGCAGCTGTGTGGCTTTGGGGATCCCATGAGGCTAAGCCAAGATCAGGGGGCGTCTCTGCCAGGCCCTGGGTTCAGGAGGTGGCAGACAGCTATAGACCCTCTGAGGTCCCCAGAACACTCCACTTCTGGCTTGGCTGTCTCCAGAGCACAGGGCAGTTTCTCTCTGCTGAGAGGACCGGCTTAATTGAGTGCATCCTGTGTGCCTCAGGCTGTCTCTACTCCTACAGTATGCAGCATCGTGCCTGGCGTGTAGTGGATCCCAGGCAGAACACTGCTGATGTTTCCCCCATTCTCTGATCAGGGTCAGTGGGTCCCATGGGGTGTGGTGATGGACGCTTGGAAAGAGCCCTGGACTCGGAGTCAGAAGATGTGCCTGAGCCCAGCCCTGCTCCTAACCACTATATTGGGCCTCAGTTCCCTCATCTATGAAATGGGCATGATCATCCCACTTGCCTCCCGCAGAGTTTTCATGTAAAGTACTTAAAAGCATTTGGCTTCATTAATTGTTTTTGTTTATTTGTTTGTTTGAGATGGAGTCTTGCTCTGTCACCCAGGCGGGAGTGCTGTGGTTTAATCTTAGCTCACTGCAACCTCCACCTCCCAAGTTCAAGCGATTCTTACACTTTAGCCTACTGAGTAGCTGGGATTACAGGTACCCACCACCACACCCGGCTAATTTTTGTATTTTTAGTAGAAACAGGGTTTCACCATGCTGGCCAGGCTGGTCTTGAACTCCTGACCTCAAGTGATCTGCCCACCTCGGCCTCCCAAAGTGCTGGGATTACAGGTGTGAGCCACCGCACCGGCCAGCTTCATTAATTGTTAAGAGCTGGGGCTGGGCACAGTGGCTCACACCTGTAATCCCGGCACCTTGGGAGGCCGAGGCAGGTGGATCAAAAGGTCAGGAGCTTGAGTTCACCTGGCCAACATGGTGAAACCCCATCTCAAATAAAAATACACAAATTAGCCGGGCATGGTGGCACGTGCCTGTAGTCCCAGCTACTCGGGAGGCTGAGGCAGAAGAATTGCTTGAACCCAGGAGGCAGAGGTTGCAGTGAACAGAGATCACGCCACTGCACTCCAGCCTGGGTGACAGAGCAAGATTATGTCTAAAAAAAAAAAAAGAGCTGGAATAATAATATAAGGAGCATTCATCATCATCAAAGGCTTGCTTGGAAGCTTAAATGAGTGAATGCATGAAAAGCACTGAGAACAGGGTAAGCTCTTGATAAATCTTGGCTGTGACTAGTTTACAAGAGCATACATGCCTTTAGTGCAGTTAGAAGACCAAGGGGAGAGGCTTGGGGACAAGGCAGGGCTGTGGAGCCTCAGCAGGAGCGAGGTCTGCTGGGGGACAGTCACTCACAGAGTGGTGTCGAGGGAGCGGGGGCAGGGTAGCAGGCTCCCACCTGGTAGTCGGGCTTGGTGAAGTAGTCGAGGCTGGCAATGTGGTCCAGGAAGAGGTGGAACTCTGACGGCATGTGCTTCAGCAGCATCCGGTGCTCATACTTCTCCTTGATCATCCCTACCTGTTCCTGGAGGCAAGAGGCCACAGGGAGATGGAGTCCCAGCTGCCCTGACACTCCTTCTGCCACCTCAGACCCAGCTGCCTGGGGCTCACCTTGTCCTTGATCTTCCTCCAGGGCAGCTGGCCCACTGCAAACTCCACCAGCATGTAGAAGAGGGACCACAGGTCGTCGTGGCGGCCCATCTCCTGGAGGTGGGGGGAGGGAGTCACCTGCAGCTCTCAGGTCCTTCCCTGGGAATGGGCGGCTGACCCTTCTCTGAGGGGCATCTGTCAGGGAGGCCTGACACCCAGGCCCCTAAGGACAGAACTGGGGTCTCCCTGAGGCCACAGCTCCATCCCCAACCCTCCAACACCCACAGAGTCCCACAGCCAAAACTACCGTGTGTGCTTCCTCACCGGACAGGGGTCTGTAGTGAGAACAGAGAGGATGGGGTTTCCGAAACAAATGAGGAAGGGGACACTGAGTCTGCCACAGAGGGGCCTTCCTCCAGCCCAGGGTCTCTGGGGTGGCAGATTGCAGCCCCTGCCCCACTCTCCTCTCCCCACCCCTCCCCAGCAGCACACTGCACCCCGACCTTGCCCCTCCCACCTCCACATCCTGCATCCCGGGCTTTGCCACTCACCCGGTTCTTGTGGGCATTGACTGAGGCATAGCGAACCGTTCCTCGAAACCCGGCCACATTCCGAGGCTGCAGAAGGGAGACCACCAAGAACGTCACCCACCATGCCCTCACCTCAGCCACCTCTCAACCCTGCCACCAAGTCTAACTCTTCACCCTGACCACCTCCCCTGGCTGGGGAGGTGGGCCTGCTCTCTGACCTTCCAGTCCTAAACCCGCCTGCTGACCCTGCTCCCTGCCCAGAGTGGGGAGGAAAATCGCAAGGTATGGATGTGGCATCCCCCAAGAGTACAGGCTAACGGCGAGAGGGGACAGGCCGAGTGTGGACACCCAGAGCTGGGTGGCGCTGATACTGAACACAAGGCCAGGCCAGCTTAGGCAGCTGTAAGAAAAGTGGGTGAAGGGTCCCCAGATCTGGGAGTAGGGGGGAGTCCTCCACTGTCCTCCCCGCCCCGACGGTACTCACGGGCCGCACATCCCCCGTGGTGTTGGTGTACTGCCGGGCCAGCCCGAAGTCCAGCATATAGCACTTCCTGTAGGTGGAGGGCAGCCTGCCCATGGCAAAGTTTGACTGGGGGAGACAGCAGCTGTGAGCTCTGGGGGCCCCAACCCCAGCTGGGCCACCTCAAGGGGCACCAAGAAACAGCTCTGCAGCTGGTGAAGGGCTTTCAGCCCCACATTCACTCGCCCGCAAGGAAACGTCAGTATTCACATGTGTGCATCAGGTCACAGCCTCTCATCTGAGGGGTGGGTGTGATCATCCCCATTTTAGAGATGAGGAAACTAAAGGTCAAAGAGCTTAGGAAGCATCTCTGAGATTACACAGCAAGTGGTGACTCAGCCACGTCTGTACAGCTCCACATTTTTGGGACTCCCCAGCAAGGCAATGTGATTTGGTGTAACTGGTGTGGCTGCCTAAGGCAGCAGGCCTGCTGGGTGGCCTTGAACCTTTCAACTAACCTTTCTGGGCCTCAGTTTTCATCTCTTTAAGTTGGAGATTTTTTTCCTAGCACAAATATTCAAGATGCCACAAAATCAGCTACTTGGAACTCCTTGCCAAGCCCCAGCCCCTCAGTCCCCTTCCCTCGATCCCTCCATCCTTTCCCAGCCCCTTCACCTTCCTAGGTTCCAGAACTGTCAGGTCAGGGGCAAGGGATAAGGAACAGAAGGGAAGAACAGAGGAGAGGCCTGGCCATGGCCGAGGGGCAGGCAGGGGTGCATGCTCCTGGGGAGCACGGGAGAGGAAGAGATGGGGCCTGGGAAGGAGAGCAGGAGGGGCTTGGGGAGAAGAGGCTGTCCCATCACAAGTCCCAACCATGGTTGCAGAGGAGAAACCAGGAGACCCAGGGAAAGAATTAGGGGTGTGTTCTGGAGGAGGGAACAGAGAGGCGTGTGGGGGCAGTACTCACAGGCTTGATGTCACGGTGCAGGAAGCCCACAGAGTGGATGGCCTCGATGGACTCCAAGATCTGCTTGCCCAGCCGCAATGTGGTGCTCAGCGTGAAGGTGCCTCGCGGCTGGCTACGGCGCAGGTCGGCCAGGTTCCGGCCCTGCATGGGGGTGGAGGTGGGGGGTAGACTCACCCTCAGCCATCATCCCAGACACCATCATTGTGATACTCTTCCCAGCCTCACCCCAAAGGGTTGTGCCCACTGCCCTTTCCCAGGGCCACAGTCTACCTTCCCTTCCCCTACCCTGGAGTCACAGCCCAAGCTCTTAGAGAGGGGAGCGAGGATGGGC
Organism: Homo sapiens; assembly: GCF_000001405.40. Taxonomy (NCBI): domain Eukaryota; kingdom Metazoa; phylum Chordata; class Mammalia; order Primates; family Hominidae; genus Homo; species Homo sapiens. Next base: position 43,253,377 of record NC_000006.12, on the reverse strand, counting down.
CACGGGGACTCACCTGGAGCTGCATCACTACATAGTTAAACTTCTCGTTCCTGCCACAGCCAATGAACCTGCACACATGGTCCTTCCCTGAGGGGCACAGACATAGGTCTTCCAGCTCTTACTCTTTCTTCCTCATTTCCAACCCTAAGATGGGTTCCTAGTGCACTCTTGATTCCTGGTCCCTCCAGTGCTGGCCCTGTGAGCACCTGTCTTGCCACCTCCCTGGCCCTAGCCTCATCATGTCTCCTAGACTCCAGCTCGATTACTTCCTTGATCACCAACCCGGCCTCCTGCCCCATCACTGTCTTAGACCCCGGTCCCATCTCTCCTAGACTCTGGCTCCGTCACCTCCCCCTTAGCTCCTGGCTCCATCCCCTTTTCCCTCTACCACACGACATCTCCTCCCTCACCCCAGCTTCTGATCTTATCACCTCTCTTAGCCCCTGGCTTCATCATCTCTTCCTTCCCATCCCCCTGCCCGAGGCCCGAACCTTGCAACTTCTTGAGCACGGCCACCTCCATCTTGAGGACCTGCTTGGGCTGCTGGGCTGACTCCACCTTGAGGGCCACATTCTCCCTGGTCAGCAGGTCCATGGCCTCGTAGATCTCACCAAAGCCCCCGCCCCCGATCTTTTTCAGCTATGAAGATGAGGGGATAGGGGGTGCTCAGGGATCAGGCTGAACAGCTCCTCATCCCACCTGCTGCTTGGTTGCATCCTTCATTGGTGGGGAAGGGGGGTATCTTTTTTTTTTTTTGAGATGGAGTCTCACTTTGTCGCCCAGGCTGGAGTGCAGTGGTGCAATCTCGGCTCACTGCAACCTCCGCCTTCCGTGTTCAAACAAACGTCTCACTCTCCTGAGTAGCTGGGACTACAGGTGCACACCACCATGCCCTCCTAATTTTTTGTATTTTTAGTAGAGACAGGGTTTCACCATGTTGGCCAGGCTGGTCTCAAACTCCTGACCTCAGGTGATCCAGCTGCCTCGGCCTCCCAAAGTGCTGGGATTACAGGCATGAGCCACTGTGCCCGGCCAGAAGGGGGTATCTTTGAAGGGGCGAACCTCATGTCTCTCTTCTTTGCCCCACCCCATCAGCACCCCACCTCCTCTCCTAGTGCCCTGGGACAGACAGCTCAGCTCCTGAGCAACCATACACACACACACACACACACACACACACACACACACACACACAGAGCCAGATGTCAGGAAAGGGTAAAAGACCTGTGACCCCGTATAGACATGGAGAAAGCCTAATGTAGGATTCTGAGGAGACACTGGGCCGCCCTTGACCTTTTCTTCTCTAGAAGGACAACAAATATCATGTTCCCCCATCCCCTGTGTAGACTGAGCGACCCCTATCCAGAAGGAAAACCAATTGCCAGACCTCCCAGTCTCAGGGCGGATTGATCCCCTGGGGAAGCCGGCACTTCCTGGGATTGGCAACCACCCAAGAGTCACAAGAAGGAGAGAGTATGTGGGCAAAAGGGGATTCAGCAAAGGATGTTCGCGGCCCATGCTCACTGCCGAAGTTCACGTCACATCACTCCCTAGGTCCCTGTTCAGATGCCCACAACCAGGATGAGCCTCCTCTCCAGGGCAGGGGGCACTGTGAGAGCGTGGTGGGACCGGCGCCTGGAGGGAATGGAGCAGCGGTCTGACCCTCTCGTCTCCCCCCTCCAGCCTCCCAAAGCAGGCGTGAGAAAGGCGGGGAGGAGAACCGCAATAAAGTGAAGGAAGAGCTGGCAGGGAGCCAAGCAAAGCTGAGTTCTGGGGAGGGGCTCAAAATCATTTCAGCTCAGAGGCCCGGGGGTCCTGGAGGGTGAGGGCTTTGCTGGCAGGCATGGGGAGCAGGGAGACGGTGCCGAGTTCCAAGCTGAGACTGGTTTGGTTTTAGAAAGATGTACATGATCTCAGAGGAGGTCCACTGAAAAAAGAAAAAGAAAGAAGGATGGAGAGCTTGATGCTCACCCCCTCGGGGAGCTGCCTCACTGGGGGCCTGTCCGCTCTGTGCACCTTCCCAAACCCTCATTCTGTCCTGCTGGCTTGCGACTCTGATCAACCAGCAGACTCTGGCCGCTCAGCCTCCTGCATCTCTGAACCCGCCCCGAACGTCTGTTCAGTACCCAGATGACTTGTGATTGTTTAGTGGTGATTGACACTGCGGGATGGAGGGAGGAAGACCAGGCGGAGCTGGAGGGCTGGGAGTTCCCAGGTTACCATTGAACTCACTCCAGAAAGAGACAGGAGCAGGAAGGGAAGATATGGAAAAGAAGCAGAATGCTGGGTGGGAACTTCAAGGTGCTTGTGTCTGGGAAGGAGACAGGGAAAGAGGAAGGAGGAAGAACAGTGAGAAACCAGAATTCCTTTCTCTTAGAGATGAAATTTAAAGGCAGGATCTCAGAGCCAGGAGGGGACAGACTCAGACTAACTGGAAACAACGGCATGTCTGCCTCTGGGGTACTTTAAACTCTGGGGAGATGCGAATATCTTCTAGATTCCTTTAAGGTTTGCTTGTGCGAGAACAGAGGAAAGGGCAAAGGGGAGGGGAAAACCGCATCTTGGTCTCACAAATGTCATCTCAGTTAATCCCCAAAGGCTCCTGGCAACACAGGTGAGGAAGGTCATGTGATTCCCCATTTTGCACAGAAGGAGAACTGAGGCATGGGAAATGCAATACCTTGCCCCACATCACACTGCTAGTTAATAGCAAAGCCAGGTCCAGGCGCGGTGGCTCCCGCCTGTAATCTCAGCACTTTGGGAGGCTGAAGTGGGTGGATCACCTGAGGCCAGGAGTTTGAGCCCAGCTTGGCCAACATGGCGAAACCCTGTCTCTATTTAAAACTACAAAACATTAGTGGGGCGTGGTGGCGGGCACCTGTAATCCCAGCTACCTGGGATGCTGAGGCAGGAGAATCACTTGAACCCGGGAGGCGGAGGCTGCAGTGAGCTGAGATCACGCCATTGCACTCCAGCCTGGGCAACAAGAGAGAAACTCCGTCTTAAAAAAAAAAAAAAAAAAAAAAAAAGCAAAGCCAGGCAGTTTTCATTTAAACCCAGGCAATCAAATGCAGAATCCATAATGTTACAGAAACTGTGGACCCATCAACATTAAAAGTGTGAGTGCTGAGATTCAAGCCCAGATCTGCCAGGCTCCGAAATCATTGCTAGAGATAAGTCAGGAAGGCTCGGGACAGCCAAGACATTTATGACACCTACTTCCCAATTTCCCAGGGTGCCCTAGGGTATTTCTCTACCACCTTCATTTCCCAGCAGAACCTATTTCTCCTTCTTTACACCCCTTCTTCCCCACCCACCCCCCACCCATTATGGAACCTCCATAAGACAGGGAACTGGGTATCTTCACCACCCACTCCACCAACAACCCTTCTCCCTTGCACCACAGCTAGGGCTGACTTATCCATGAGACACAGTGACTAGGCCCCGATACCTTTAGGGGGTCCATGAAAATGTTTTAATTTCTTTTAAAATCATAAGGGAGGCCAGGCATGGTGCCTCACGCCTGTAATCCCAGTACTTTGGGAGGCTGAGGTGGGTGGATGACTTGAGGTCGGGAGTTTGAGATCAGCCTGGCCAACATGGTGAAACCCCATCTCTACTAAAAATACAAAAATTAGCCAGGTGTGGTGGCGGGTGCCTGTAATCCCAACTACTCAAGAGGCTGAGGCATAAGAATTGCTTGAATCTGGGAGGCAGAGGTTGCAGTGAGCCGAGATCTCATCACTGCACTCGAGCCTGGGCGACAGAGTGAGACCCTGTCTCAAAAAAATAAAATTAAAAAAAAAATCATCAGGGGAAAAAAATGAACCTTTAGGTCAAAGAGAACAATCTAGTATATAATATTAATATATTCCTCTTTATACCAATGCAGTCATAAAATACAATTTTAAGTACTTTCTTATGGAGGAAGGGGCCCATGAAAGTCACAATGTGGCCCTGCCCATAGTCCAGTAATAGGAATATTCTCTCAGTCTCCCTTTTCTCCACTCCTGCTAAATTTTACATGATCTCAGCCCCTGCTGAAGGACCTCCCTAAACTAGAGGAGAAATATGACACAATAGGATCGGCACTGGTCCTTGGGAGGAAGGAGACCTGGTTTCTTGGCCAGCTCTGGGTGACCTGGGGTGAGTTTCTTAAACTCTCTGAGCCTCCACTCTTCCTCCTCTGTGAAATGAATAGAGTTGGACTAGAATTGGTCACAAAGGTTTCTTCAGCTCAGTGGTCCTGATTCTTGGATGGGCTGATTCTTGTCAGACAGACCTGACAAGAATCAGCCCATGACACCTACTAGTCATGGAAATTTGGCAAATTAGCTAAGCAATTTCCTCAGTTTCCACACCTGTGAAATGGGATTAATAAATGGGAATACAAATCTACTTGGTAAGTTCTTGAGATAATGCACATGAGGCATTTTGCACAATGCCTGGCAACAGTGAATGCTCAAAACAAATACTAAGTCATTATTACTATTATTGTTTGCTATTCTGATTCTGAGAAGCACCCCTCAAGATGAATAAGATGTTATTATTTTATGTTTTTAGAGACAGGTTGACCAAGCTGGATTTGAACTCCTGGGCTCAAGCGATCCTCCTGCCTCAGCCTGCCAAGTATTGAGGATTTATTTATTTATTTAGAGGAGGAGTCTTGCTCTGTCGCCCAGGCTGGGGTGCAATGGCATGATCTCAGTTCACTGCAACCTCTGCCTTCCAGGTTCAAGTGATTCTCCTGCCTCAGCCTCCCAGGTAGCTGGGATTACAGGCGCCCACTGCCACACCCGGCTAATTTTTGTATTTTTAGTAGAGATGAGGTTTCACCGTGTTGGCCAGCCTGGTCTCGAACTCGTGACCCCAAGTGATCCTCCCACCTCAACCTCCCAAAGTGCTGGGATTACAGGTATGGGCCACCATGCCTGGTCCACGTATTTATTTTTAAATGCCACATCTAGTGCCACTGACCCCCTTTTTCTTCTGGCCACCAAGATCTATGGGCAGTTTGCCTTGGTTCTTGAGCTCTGCCTCCCACCTCAGTGCCATCCTCACTTGGAACAGGCTGAAGGGAAGCATGTGGCCCCTCACCCTCTCTAACACTCCAGGGGTGGGGGTCGGAGGTGAGGAGAGGTTGCCATGCTTGCCCTCCCCCCAGCTCCCTGCTCCATTTCGCTCCCCACTCATCTTCTACTCCTTCCCTCAGAAATCACAAAAAAGTTCCAGCCTAAACTCAACATGTGTGTAAAAACTGTCTTTTCCTCACCACTTCAGTGCAAATGTCATTCTGCCTCCAATCCGCCAGAAACTAAGCTCCGGTGCCAGGGGCCCCGAGGTTTCAGAGGAACACTCCTGTCTTCGCCAGACCCTCGTTCCTTTTATTACTGCCCTGGCTCTTCCTCCCCCGATTTCTGTACTCTCCCTCTCAGGAAGTCCCCCTCTGGGACATAAACAGCCCCTTTCCTCATCCCTTGGGGACCCCTAGAAGTCTCCTCCTCTTCATCCCTTCCACTCCCAACCCCCAGTCCCAGAGACATCTCTGAAAACGTCGCCACCGTTGCCTCTTTCTAGGTTTCTAGGGGACTTGCACGGCCGGTGGCTGTTGCCGTGGAGACCCGCCTGCACCCGGGCCTCACCCTCCTCTCCAACCCCGCACTCCCGTGAACTGAGCCTCCCCACTAAAGCACGCGGGTGCGCACACGCGCCAAGCACACACGCACACACACACGACTCAGAGGTCAGGAGTGTACCTGACCTCTGTTGTTCTCCCTCCCCTCCCCCTGGCTCCCCACTCCGGTGCAGTCCCACAGGCTCACACACGGGTTTCCCCACACTGCCGCCCACAGTCTGCCCCACATTATCCTGCCCCCACAATAATAAGAGGACACCAGAGCGCTATTAAGTGACGGAAAAAGGGAGGTGATTTACAGTAGGTCTCGCTCCCCAAATACTATCATTCCCCCAGCCCTCACGCCCCCGCTCCGAGGCAGGCCCGGCTCCCGAGGAGGCTGAGACTACAACTCCCAGCAGGCCGAGCAGCCCGAAGCCCCGGGCTGGAGGAGCAGGGCACGCCGGGAGATGGAGTCTCGCCGTGCTGCACCTGCCGCAGGACCCGGCGAGGGGAGGAGGCTGGATGGAGAAGATGGAGTGCGGGTGCGGCGGGAGCAGCCTGCAGGGCCTCTTTCCCCAAACCCAAGCCTTTCCGTCCTCTGCGGAAGCGGAGGGACACATGCTCGTCCACTGCCCTTCTCCAAGGTCCGTCAGAGAAAAAGCTCCCTCCCCCACCCCTCTTCCTCCTCCGCCACACTGGCCTCTGCAGCTCCTGCCCAGACATCCAACCAGGAGTTGTTCCGGGCTTGGCCTGACCAACGTGACCTAGCGGGAAGAGGGGTGAGAGAGGGCGGGGCTCGAGAGAGGGCACTGGGAGAAAGCTATTGTCCACACGTGTTGGCAAAAATAATGACATGCAAGCAGTATGCAAATGAGCTTAGAGGCACCTCCCTCTTAGGGTAGGGGAGCGGAGGGCACCGGTTTTAACAAGTCTCCAGGTCCTCGCCTCCCTCCCCGCTACCCTCCCTCTGTCCCGCCGGGTCACTCACTCACCACCTTCCAGCGATCCTTGACCACGTAGTTGGCCGGCAGGATGTCGGCCTGCTCCCCTCCCCCACTCATGTTGGTTTCGTCCTTAAGGGCGGCCGCTAGGCACTGCATCCGCCAGCCAGAGGGAGGGGTGTCCGCCGGGCCTGCCCTGAGGGGGCCATCTACCTAGGGGAGTGAGGAGGGCCTGTGAGGGCGGGCTGCGGACCCAGGACCACCTGGCAGATATGGAGGAGAGGAGCTCCACTCCTGCTCTGCATTCTTCCTGGCCCCACTGGACAGATGCTCCAGGAGTTACCAGGGGAAAGATTGTATAAAGGCCAGTGCAAGGGAGATACAGACTACAAACTAGAGATGTTTAAAATCAGCAACAGGACACACATGTTGACCAATGAAGAAGAGGAAAATGACAGTGAACAGGCCGAGGGGAGAGAGACATACTCTAACTGATGCCAGGAAGACTTGCTGACCAAGGGGGCATACCAGACTGGGACCCTTTCCCTTGTAGGGGAGGCCTGGGCTTTGGCTCCCCCTTAGGGGAGTCCCTGTGCCACAAAATGTCCATGGAGCTGTGCAACAGAGGCTTAGTGAAAAGGGAAGACCTGCTACCCAAGGGGTGACCCATGGGACACCCACACCAAAGTGACCTGCTAATCAGCCCTGGGAGATGTGGTAATCAAGAAAATGAGGGGAGGCACTAAAGCCCCTTGAGGGTGGTGTTAACTGAGGGGGATGGATGTGCTGAGAGTCATACACCTTTCTCAGGGTGAGCTGAACCCACTGACACAGCCATGGGGTTGGGAGGTCAGGATATAAGAGATGGGGTGAACACAGGTGATGGACTCAAGACATGGATTTCAGATAGACAGCAACCTTGTGGCCACTCCAGAGGGACAGAAGTGGGCTGAACTGGGGAGGACAGGAAAATGGAAGGGGCCTAGCAGGAGGCAGGAGAAGTGAAAGAGAACAGCAGGTCTGGGTGGGCATGGGGTGAGAAAGCCTCTGACCACACCTTTCTGTGTCTGCTTAGGAATCGACAAGAAAGAACACATCTCTCCTCGAATTAGGACAGGTAGAATTTAGATATCAGGGAGAGTTTCCCAACGGCGGGGGTTGGGAAAGACAGGCACATGTTACCGGAGAAATGCCCATGTGTGCGTGTGTGTATGTCTGTGTGTGTATCTGTGCATGTATCCTTCTGTGTGTGTATGTTTCTTTGTGTGTCTTTCTTTGTCTATCTTTTCTGTGTGTCTGTGTGCTTTTCTACATGTATCTCTGTATCTGTGTGTTCTTGTGTGTGTTTTGTGTCTGTGTGTGATATGCATGTGTGTAGGCAAGGGGCCAGAAGACATGACTTTCTGAGATTTCTGCCAACCCAGGACAGGATTTGGAACCAGGATATTTTCCTCTTCTCTTTCCCTCACACTTTTTAGAAGCACACTACCGTGCCCTCACAACGACCCTGGAGAGTCACAAATAGAGAAAGAGGGAAGTTACTTAGGCTGGGGTTTGGGGGTTGCGGGTCGGGGGAGGAAGGTGGCTAAAGAGATGTATAGATGGGGTAGAAACTACATAAACCCACCTTTCCTTGGGATGAAATAACTTCCCAGGGCTCTTGCATCTAGACATCCTGCCATAGGGGACAGGGTGGGACGTGGAGGTGTGGAAACCACCTTCTAATTCATGATGGGCCATGGTGGACATATGGAGAAGGGATCTTCATGGGGAGGGACGCTGCCACTCCTTTTCTCTTTCTTCAAGTGACTAAGCTGAGCTGTTTCCTCCAATCCTTACAACTTCAGAGCATCAGGACTTCCCTCTTTCTGCCAAAGTGGGATATGGGGCATCAGGAATTTGAAGGGCAGTGAGGGCAGTGGCAGGATGAAGGGAGAGGTAGGGATGGGGGTTCTAGAATAAAGGTGGAGGAGACAGGTTGAGGACAAGACTGAAGAAGCAATTGAACTGGTGGGAGGGGGCCTTCAGAAGCTAAACTGGGTGAACTCTGGTGGGCTTTCCAGTCCTGGGACAGTGGATCTGTTAGGTTGATAAGGAAAATTTGTGTCCTGCTCTCATTTTATAGATGAGCAAACCAAAAAGAAACAGATGAGGCAAGAGAAGGAAGAGTGGAGCCAGGAAGATAAATGAGGGTTACCTGCTTCTCCCTCTCCACCCTCCTTCTCTCTGTGTCTGAGGACTATGCTCAGCTGAGACTGGGTTGGATGATACAAACATGGGACACTTGGCTGCCCCGTTACTGCCGCCTCAGACCCCTATGTGCACATGGGCGCATGGTGAAGGCGAGGGCTTATGCAGGAGTTTGTATGAATATCTGTCAGAGAGTGCAGATAGGAGCATGTGGGGCCAGTGATGGTACACAGGGGTACGTGGAACTGGTGGGAGCTCATCATGGCCTGTGAATACAAGTGTTGATGTGTAACTCTGCAAGGTGTCAGCAGGTGTGTGTGAGAATCTGGGAGCCCAGGTAAGGAGAGGTGATGGAGACTAGCGAGGGGTGATGGGAACAGGTGAAAGAGGTGTGGAGGGAGGCAGAGGGGAATGGCAGGGATGAGGAGCGACAGGATCAGAGGAGAGGGGTGGGTAGGATAGAGACCCGTGAGAGATAATGATGACAGGCAAGGAAGAGATAGGACCATGGGAGGGATCTCTGGGCACAGTTGAGGGGGTGAGGAAGTAGGTAAGAAGGCAGGTGGGAGGCATGGAGGGACTGAGGACAGGGAGGGAGGTTACGGAGACAGCCGAATGATTCGTCAGGGATGACAGGAGAGCCAGGGGTGAAGCCATGGGGACAGGGGACGGAGGTGAGTGGGGAGGAGCAAAGTGCCCGGAGGACGGGTTGGGGAGGGAGGTCTGTGTGCTGGGGACAGGGAGCGGCTCCAGGCCTCGGCGCGGCCCAGGCGGTGTAGGCCAGCGTCCCAGCCCAGCGGGCGGCGACAGCAGCGCGGAGGGGAGCCCAAGAAGGCTGCGCTGGGAGGCGAGCCAGGCGGAGCCCCCTGAGCCCACGAAGGAGCCCCCGCCCCGACCCCGGCCCGCCCCGCCCCGCCTCACCTGCTCTGTGCCCGCTGCGGCTGCGGCTGCGGCGGCGGCGGAGGCAGCAGCTCGGGGCGGCGCATCCCCCGGGGCCGGGGCGGGGCGGGGGCGGCTCAGTGCGGCGTTGGGTGACCCGCTCCCTCCGGCGGCGGCGGCCTTCCGACCCGGATCATCCCGGCCCGGCCCGGCCCCGATCCTCCTTGGGCGACGGCGGCGGCAGCGGCAGAGCGGGGAGCTGCCCACAATGCACCGCGCCGCCAGCATCAGCACCAGCCCTGACATCACCGCCCGCCGCCCGCTCTGACATCACGGCTCCTCCTCTGACATCACGTTCCGACGGCCCCGCTCCGCTCTCCTCCAGCCCTGGGACTCTCTGGCTGTCCCGCTCCAGCTCTCAGGTTCTCCTTACAGCTCTCTGCCACCCGCTTGACTCCATCTCCCAGCACAGCCCCATCACTCCTTACCTGTTCCCATAAAACTCACCTGTCTCCATCACCCTTTATCTTCCCCACTCCTAGCATGTCTAAAATTCCTCATCTGACCCATCAGTCTCGCCTGATTCCCCACTCCATCCTCTACATGTTTATATCGCCTTCCTCTCAACTCATCCCCCTCTCCTGTACCCATCCTCCCATACGTCCCCATCACCCACCACTTCTGGGACCATCCCACACTCGCACCCACCACCCGTCATGTGCAATTCTCACCTCACCACCTATATGCTTTATCTTTTGGCTCAATCTGTGTCTCTCTTTCTTTGGCCCTTTCTTTCATTTGTGGACAAACTCTGCCATTGGTTTTTACTGCTTACCAAATAAGATGGACACTCTTTACTGTAACATCAAAACATCTTCCCAACATGGACCCATTAGGCCATTACTCCCCTTCTGACATGTTGGGTTACTCAACAACTCAACATTCCAACATTCCTTGAACAACACATTCTGCATGCCGCCTGTCTCTTTCAGTTTCTTCCTTCTTTTTTTTTTTTTTTTTTTTTGAAACAGGGTCTCACTCTGCTGCCCAGGCTGGAGTGCAGTGGCACAGTCTCAGTTTATTGCAACCTCTGCTTCCTGGACTTAAGCGAGTCTCCAGCCTCAGCCTCCCAAATATTTGAGACTACAGGCATGAGCCACTATCCCCGGCTAATTTTTGTATTTTTTGTAGAGACGGGGTTTCACCATGTTCCCCACGCTGGTCTTGAATTCCTGAGCTCAAAGCCATCTGCCCACCTTGGCCTCCCAAATTTCTGGGATTACAGGCATGAGCCATTGTGCCCAGCCAGTTCTTTCCTTCCTTAATGCCTTCAACAAATGCATCAGAGCAACTTGAATAATAATAACAACAACAATGGGCCAAGTGCAATGGCTCATGCCTATAATCCCAACACTTTGGGGGACCAAGGCAGCAGGATCGCTTGAGCCCGGGAGTTCAAGACCGGCCTGGGCAACATAGTGAGACCTCATCTGTACAAAAAATTTAAAAATTAGTTGGGTGTGGTGGTGTGCACCTGCAGTCCCAGCTACTCGGGAGGCTGAGGGGGGAGGATTTCTTGAGCCCAGGAGGTCAACACTGCAGTGAGCCGTGATTATGCTACTGCATGCCAGCCTGGATGACAGAGCGAGACTCTGTCTCAATAATAACAACAACAACAACAACAATTGCAGCAGTTATTTACTTCTGCCAGATACTACTCTAACTTTACATATGTTAATTGCTTTAATCCTGATGACAACCCTATGAAGTAAGAGTACTATTGTTATCCCTTGTTTTATAGATGAGGAAACTAAGATACAGACAGGTTAAGTAATATGCATTGGGTTACACAGCTAGAAAGTGGCAGAGCTGGAATTCAGTCCCTGGCTCTGGAGTCCATGGTTCTAATCACCACATTGGGAGGAAGGATCATTGAGCCTGCAAGAGTAGTCAGGGAAGGCTTCTTGGAGGAGGTACATTCAACTGTAATTTGAGGAATTAGTAGAATTAGTAGAAGTTTGCCAACAGACAAGTGGGGCCAGGGCAGAGCATGAAAGAGACTTCCAGGCTGAGAAGACAGCATGAGATGAGGCTGGGGCGGGCGTGTGCAAGATCATGAAGGACCTTGTGTGCAGTGCTAAGAAGATTAGATTTTATCCATTTGGTTTTTGGAACTGTAGTGGATACTGTGGAGAGCCATTCAGATCTCCCTCCAGAATGTAGGTGCTTATTCTCCCAGATATGAGATGTTGAAGGCTGACTGCTTTCAGCTGACCTGTTCTCTGGGAATTGCCCTTGGCCAAGGGAGCTGCCTCATCCAAGATCATACCCCCTTCCTGGGACATCCCACATCCAGTTGATGAGTATAAAGGCCTGACCCCCTTGCTTCAACTGGGGACAGCTCTGAAGGGATATCCTATTTTCAAAATTAATAGGGACAGCTGAGGCTTCTATTGAGACTATATCAGAGCTCAACTTCCCCTTCCATGCAACCTTGCCTTCTTCAGTCCTCCACAGAGGTTGATCACCAGAGCACTTCCCAATAAACTTACTGTGCGATCATCTCTGTCTCAGAGGCAGTGTCCTGGAGAGCCTGATTTTCAGATAGGAAACCACTGAGGAGTTTTGTGCAAAGATGAGACATGGTCTGATGTGAGTGTTGGGTTAGAATTCTAGTTTCTTTTTTGCTTTTGTTTTCAGTACTTTAAAAATGTTGCTCTATTGTCTTCTAACTTGCATTGTTTCTGATCAGAAATTTGCAATTATCCTATCTCTGTTCCTTTGTATGAAATACATGTCTTTTATGCATCTGTTTTTTGCTTTGTTTTGTTTTGTTTTGTCTTTTGAGACAGAGTCTGTCTCTGTCACCCAGACTGCTGGAGTGCAGTGACACTATCTAGGTTCACTGCAACCTCCACCTCCCGGGTTCAAGTGATTCTCCTGTCTCAGCCTCCCGAGTAGCTGAGATTACAGGCATGCACTACCATACCCAGCAATTTTTTGTATTTTTAGTAAAGACAGCGTTTCACCATGTTGGTCAAGCTGGTCTCAAACTCCTGACCTCAAATGATCTGTGCGCCTCAGCCTCCCAAAGTGCTAGGATTATAGGCATGAGCCACCGCGCCCAGCCCAATGCCTCTGGTTTCTTTTAAGATTTTCTCTTTGTCACTGGATTTAGCTATGTAAGCTATTTTATGATGTGTCTTTTTTACATAGTTCATGTTTTGTAGGGAAAAGAGAGATCAGACTGTTACTGTGTCTATATAGAAAGGGAAGACATAAGAGACTCCATTTTGAAAAAGACCTGTACTTTAAACAATTGCTTTGCTGAGATGTTGTTAATTTGTAGCTTTGCCCCAGCCACTTTGCCCCAGCCACTTTGACCCAGCCACTTTGACTCAGCCTGGAGCTTACAAAACATGTGTTGTATAAAATAAAGGTTTAAGGGCTGTGCAGGACATGCCTTGTTAACAAAATGTTTACAAGCAGTATACTTGGTAAAGGTTGTCACCATTCTCTAGTCTCAATAAACCAGGGGCACAATGTACTGCGGAAAGCCACAGGGACCTCTGCCCTTGAAAGCGGGGTATTTTCCAAGGTTTCTCCCCATGTGATAGTCTGAAATATGGCCTCGTGGGATGAGAAAGACCTGACCGTCCCCCAGCCCGACACTCGTAAAGGGTCTGTGCTGAGGTGGATTAGTAAAAGAGGAAAGCCTCTTGCAGTTGAGATAGATAGTGGAAGGCGACTGTCTCCTGCCTGCCCCTGGGAACTGAATGTCTCGATATAAAACCCGATTGTACATTTGTTCAATTCTGAGATAGGAGAAAAACTGCCCTATGGTGGGAGGCGAGATATGTTTACAGTAATGCTGCCTTATTATTCTTTACTCTGCTGAGATGTTTGGGTGGAGAGAAACATAAATCTGGCCTATGTGCACATCCAGGCATAGTACCTTCCCTTGAACTTAATTATGACATAGATTCTTTTGCTCACATGTTTTTTGCTGACCTTCTCCTTATTATCACCCTGGTCTCCTACTACATTCCTTTTTGCTGAAATAATGAAAATAATAATCAATAAAAACTGAGGGAACTCAGAGGCCGGTGCCAGTGCAGGTCCTTGGTGTGCTGAGTGCCAGTCTCCTGGGCCCACTGTTGTTTCTCTATACTTTGTCTCTGTGTCTTATTTCTTTTTTCAGTCTCTCGTCCCACCTGACTAGAAATACCCACAGGTGTGGAGGGGCAGGCCACCCCTTCATGTTTCTTGTGCTTGGGTTTGAGATTCTTGTATCTGTGCATTTATAGTTTTCATCAAGTTGAGAAATTTTTCAGCCATTATTTTCTTAAATATTTTTTCTGCCCTCCCCTTTCCTTCAAGGACTCCAATTACCTTGTGTATTAGGCCACTTGAAGTTGTCCCACAACTCAGTGATGCTTCACTTTTTCCCAGCCGTTTTTCTCACTGTGTTTCATTTTGGATAGTTTCTATTGCTGTGTATTCAAGTTCACTAATCTTTTCTCTTACAGCATCTAATCTAATATTAATTCCATCCAATGTATTATTTTTCATTGTTGTTTACAATTCTGGAAGTTCGATCTGGGTCTTTTAAAATCTTCCATATCTCAGTTTTTTCTTCTAACTTCTTAAACATATGGAATAATTATAATGACTACTTTAATATATTTTCTACTAATTTTATCTAAACAATTTCTGGATTAGTTTCAACAGATTTTTATTCTTACTATGGGTCATATTTTCTGCTTCTTTCCATATCTACTAATTTTTTACTGGATGCCAAATACTGTGAATTTTACCTTGCTGAGCCCTGTATATTTTTATATTTCAGTGAATATTATTCAGCTTTCTTCTGGACTGCAGTTAATTTTTAAGAAGCAAAAACAGGCCGGGCATGGTGGCTTATGCCTGTAAATCTCAACATTTTGGGAGGCAGATGCAAGAGGATTGCTTCAGCCCAGGAGCTCAAGACCAGCATGGGCAACATGGAGAGACCCTGTCTCAAAAAAAAAAAAAAAAAATCAAAAATCACCCAGGCATGGTAGCATGCATCTGTGGTCCCAGCTACTTGGGAGGCTGAGGTGGGAGGATCGCTTGAGTCCAGGATGTCAAGGCTGCAGTGAGCCATCATCATACCACTATACTCCAGCCTGGGTGAAAGAGCAAAATGCTGTCTCAGAAAAAGAAAAGAGAGAGACAGAGACAGACAGACAAAGAGAGAGAGAGAGAGAGAGAGAGAGAGAGAGAGAGAGAGAGAAAAGCCAGTTTGATCCTTTCAAAGTTTACTTTAAAGTTTTATTAGCTTAGACCAGAGCAGCGTCCAGTCTAGGGTTAATATTTCTCTGCCACTAAGGCAAAACCTATTTTTTTTTTTGCCACCAAGGCAAAGCCCTATGAATTTTCCGTATGAGCCAGTAGGAACAGGCACTAGTTCCATCCCTGTATGAGCTCAAAAATTGTTAACTCTGTGGCTTTCAGATGTTTTTCCCTACCACGGATAGTTCCCTCATACACATGTGTTGATCAGTCCTCAGCTATCTATTCATGGAACCCTCTGAACCTCTCCAGAGCTCTCTCTCCTGTCCTGTACGCTCTCCTGCAAACTAGTGGCCTTGGCCTCCCTGGACTCCCAGCTCTATCTCCTCGATCAAAGAGACAGCCAGGCTCAGCCTGGGTTCCTCCATCCTGCAGCCTGGTAACCTTGTAGGCAATAAGCTGGGGCAAATATAAAGCTCGTCTACTTTTTTTCAGTCTTTCAGGGATTACAGTACTGTTCTGTGCTGCCTGATGGCCAGTGTTCAAACATTATTGCTCTATATTCATATATTCTGTCCAGTTTTTTAGTTGTTAAAGATGGGAGGGTAAATCTAGGTCTTCTGCTTCTTGGCCAGAAGAAGACATTTGATCTGGGTGTTACACGGCAGGAGTGTGAGGATAGACTGGAAGAGCTTCCCCAGATGCTTGATTTCTGCCTTCTTTGAGTCACTCAGTCCTTTGCACATTAATGCATGGCGTTAGCCTGATTTCTCCTATTCTTGAGCTAAGGCTGGCTCCTCCCAAAGCCAAATGGAGTCAAAAATCTCAGATGCTCTTCTTTACTCCTTTCTGTAGCTCTGTTAGTGCCCATTGAATGTCTCACACAAAATAAATGCTTTTAAAGTGTGTCGCCAACCTGTACATTAAAAGGGATTTAAGGCCGGGCACAGGGGCTTGTGCCAGTAATCCTAGCATTTTGGGAGGCTGAGGCAGGAGGATTATTTGAGCCCAGGAGATCCAGACAAGCCTGGGCAACCTGGTGAGACCTCGTCTCGTCTCTCTGGAAAATAAAAAATGAATTTAACAAAAATTAGCCAGGTGTGGTGGCGTGCTCCTGTGGCCCCAGCTACTCAGGAAGCTGAGGTGAGAGGATCGCTTGAGCCTAGGAGGTCGAGGCTACAGTGAGCCATGATCATGCCACTGCATGCCAGCGTGACAGAGCAAGATCCTGTCTCAAAAAAATAAATAAAGGGGACTTAAAAGATAAATAAAAATAGGTAAGGTTAAACTATACTGTCTAGAAATGCACATTTGGGTGATAAAACCATAATGAAACTTAAGGGGCCGGGTGCGGTGGCTCACGCCTGTAATCCCAGCACTTTGGGAGGCCGAGGCGGGCGGATCACGAGGTCAGGAGATCGAGACCATCCTGGCTAACACGGTGAAACCCCATCTCTACTAAAAATACAAAAAAATTAGCCGGGCCTGATGGCAGGTGTCTGTAGTCCCAGCTACTCGGGAGGCTGAGGCAGGAGAATGGCGTGAACCTGGGAGGTGGAGCTTGCAGTGAGCCGAGATCGCGCCACTGCACTCCAGCCTGGGCGACAGAGCGAGACCCCGTCTCAAAAAAAAAAAAAAAAAGAAAGAAACTTAAGGACCTTTAATGAGTTTTTGTCCTCACTATAAAAGTAAGGGCAGTGGTTACTTTTGGAGGGAGAAAGGTGGCTGTTTGGGATGGTGCACATGGAAACTTCTGGGTATTTGAAGATCTATTTTGAGATGATATGGGTGCAAGAGTGTTTGTCTTATAATAATTCATTTGTTTAGGTGGTTTTCTGTAGCTGGGTTTGATTTTATAATAAAAGTATAATTTTATTGGTATACCCCCGCATGAATGAATGAATGGTGAATGATTAATACATCTGGGCATTGAGTATCAATGGTTGCTCACATCAAAACAGAGAGACATCCAGATGCTATGTGCCCATGTTGGGATTACACACCACCCCTTGTGAAATAGTGTTGCCCAAATTCAACCTGAATCTGACTAACCCTCTACATCCAACTCCAATGTACAGGAAATAAGGAATATAGAGGAACATGTCCAAAGACATCACAGGGATATAATTGGCAAACTTCAGACTGAAGGAAACTGCAGGATGAGAGAGAGAAAGATAGAATATACGGGGGAAATGTATATATTAAAATAGACTTAAAAGGCATGTCAACCAATCATAATATGCGGATCTTGATTTTAAATAAATTACAAACATTTATAACATTTGTAAGACAAGAAATTTGAACACTAATGGAATATTTGATGACATTAAGAAAATCTTGTTAAATTTTTCATCTATGATATGATAATAATATTTTAGTTCCTTTTTTTAATAAGATGGGGTCTCACTATGTTGGCCAGGTTCGTCTTCAACTCTTGGCCTCAAGCAATCCTCCCACCTCAGCCTCCCAAAGTGCTAGGATTACAGGCATGAGCCACCAAGCCCAGCCTTGGTTACATTTTTAGTAAAAAAGAGTTATCTTTTAGAGACATATATAAAAATATTTATAAATGAAAAATGTAATCTGAAATTTGCATCAAAATAGTACAGTGAGGAAATTTAGTATGAATACAGATGAAACAAGACTGGCCATAAATTGATAATTATTAAATCTGATACTATTTTCTCTACTTCATATTTTGCTTTGTTAAAAAGTTTTACTGTTGCAAATGGCAGGATTTCCTTCTTTTTAAAGACTGTTTAATATTCCGTTATACACACACACACACACACACACACACACACACACACACGTATTGCCACCACATCTGGCTAATCTTTTAAATTTTTTGTAGAGGCGGGGTCTTGCTTGTTGCCCAGGCTGGTCTCAAACTCCTGGATTCCATCAATCCTCCCACCTCAGCCTCCCAAAGTGCTGTGATTATAAGCATGAGCCACAGTGCCTAGCCTACTGTAGCTTCATAATATATTTTGAAATCAGACATGAATGAACATGGAGGGCATTATAGGGAAATAAGCCTGTCACAGAGGGACAAATAATGCCTAAATTCAACTCATATGAAGGATGTATAATGGGCAAACTCATAGAAGCAGGCCAAGCCTGCTAACAAAAATTGGCCAGGTATGGTGGCACCTGCCTGTAGTCCCAGCTACTTCGGAGGCTGAGGTGGGAGGATCACTTGAGGGGTCGAGGCTGTAGTGAGCTGTGATGCCGTGATGGTGCCACTGCACTCTAGCCTGGGTGACAGAGTGAAACCCTGTCTCAAAAAAAAAAAAAAGAACCTTTCTGTCACTCCCAAAATGTTTTCTTGTGCCCTCTGCAGGCAATTCCTGCTCCCACCCCCAGCCTTAGGCAACCCCCAGCATTTGGTCTGCTTTCTGTCTCACCAAATATGCCTTTTCTGGACATGTCAAATAGAATCATATGATATGTAGTCTTTCGTTATTCTCTGTATCAGCATATAAATTTGACATTTTCCATAATAAATATAATTTTTGTTTAATTGAACAATGACTTACATATGTATAGCACTTTATTTTTAAATGGACTTTATTTTTTAGAGCAGTTTTAGGTTCACAGCAATACTGAGCAGAAGGTACAGAGAGTTCCCACACACCTCTGCCCCCACAAATGCACAGCCTCCGCCATTATCAACATCCCTACTGGAGCGGTACGTTTGTTACGATCGATGAACCTACATTGACCATCATTATCACGCAAAGTCCATAGACTACATTAGGGTTCACTCTTCGTGTTGTACACTCTATGGGTTTGGATAAATGTATAATGACATGTATCCACCATTATAGGATCAAACAGGGTAATTTCACCGCCCTAAAAACCTCCTGAGCACTTTGTGTGTGTGTGTGTGTGTGTGTTTTGTTTTGTTTTGTTTTGTTTTTTGAGACGGAGTTTAGCTCTGTCGCCCAGGCTGGAGTGCAGTGGCGCGATCTCGGCTCACTGAAAGCTGCGCCTCCTGGGTTCACGCCATTCTCCTGCCTCAGCCTCCCGAGTAGCTGGGACTACAGGCGCCCGCCACCATGCCCGGCTAATTTTTTGTATTTTTAGCAGAGACGGGGTTTCACCGTGTTAGCCAGGATGGTCTCGATCTCCTGACCTCGTGATCCGCCCACCTTGGCCTCCCAAAGTGCTGGGATTATAGGCGTGAGCCACCACGCCCGGCCTTTTTTTTTTTTTTTTTTTTTTTTTTCAGACGCAGTTTCACTCTTGTCACCCAGGCTGGAGTGCAGTGGCACGATCTCACTCACTCCGCCTGCCTCGGCCTCCCAGAGTGCTGGGATTACAGGTGTGAGCCACTGTGCCTAGCCTATATTTTGTAATGTGCCTTCACATACTTCACTGCACCATGCTCAAACCAGGTGAGTAGGGCAGGATAACATTTCTTACCAATTTTATAGATGAGGGAACAGGCTTGGAGAGTTTAAAGGACCTGACCAAGGTCACAGAGATAGTAATGGAATCAAGATTGGCCTCCTGGGGCCGGGCACAGTGGCTTATGCCTGTAATCCCAGCACTTTGGGTGAAACCACATCTCTACTAAAAATACAAAAATTAGCTGGGCGTGGCGGCGGGCACCTGTAGTCCCAGCCACTTGGGAGGCTGAGACAGGAGAATCGCTTGAACCTGGGAGGTGGAGGTTGCAGTGAGCCGAGATCACACTACTGCATCCAGCTGGGGCGACAGAGCAAGACTCTGTCTCACAAAAAAAAAAAAAAGAAAGAAAGAAAAAGAAGACTGGCCTCCTGTCACCTGGTGAGATATTTTCCCTGTCAAGCTGCCTCGCTAGGCTCCCCACTGCCCTCATTCCTCCATCCCATCACTTAGTACCCTGTTCCTCCAACTCGGGCCTCTCTGCATTGAGCCAGAAGGTCTGAGCTGCAAGTCATGGCTTGCTCTGAGTCCTCACCCAACTGACAGTGGATTAGAACCAGTCTCAATGCCTTGTTTCCCAACTGGAGAAACACAAAATGTCCCTTCTACACTTTTACTCTTCTATTCAAAATATCCCTTCAGCCTGAGGTAGAAAGGAGATCCCAGCCAGAGCAGAGGTGTGGCCCCCAAAGAGATGGGGGCTGGCTGGTTTATGTATTGATTTATTTACTTATAAGATACAGAGGCCACTTTAGGAGGCCGAGGCTGGCAGATCACCGGAGGTCGGGAGTTCAAGACCAGCCTGATCAACATGGTGAAACCCCATCTCTACTAAAAATACAAAATAAGCCGGGCGTGATGACACATGCCCCGTAATCCCAGCTACTCGGGCAGCTGAGGCAGGAGAATTGCTTGAACCCAGGAGGCGGAGGTTGCTGTGAGCCGAGATCTCACCATTGTACTCCAGCCTGGGCAACAAGAGGGAAACCCTCTCTCAAAAAAATAAATAAATAAATAAAAAGATACTGAGGAACAAGATGGTGTGTGTGTGTGTGTCTGTGAATGTGTGTTCCTTGTCTTTGGGGGGGAATGGAGGGAAGGTGTGAGCGAGGATAAGGAGTGTTGGGGAGATTGCCTGTCAAGTCTGCTGGCACATGAGGCCTCCTTCCTAATCTGTGTATGCATGTTTGTGTGTGTGTGAGAGAGGGCACCCGGAGGTGGAGGGACAGGTGTGCAGCTGTGTCTTCATGTTTGCCCCATGGTCCGTGTATACCTAGCTGGGCCCAGCAGAGCAGTGGGCAGAAATACTCTGAAATCTCTATCTCCCTTTTGTATCTTAGCATTAAAAATATACATATTGTTGCATCTTCTCTGCACTCGCATACTTCAGTATTTTATCTTTCAGGAAGAATACGGAAGAAAACACTGATGGAGCTTTCCTCTGGGGAGTGGGGCTGGGGTCTCAGGACTTTCTTTCCACTGCATACTCTCTTGTTCCATTTGAAGGTTTTGTCATATATTTGTGATTGTCATAATAAAATGAGGATGAAATCAGTATTGGTGAACAATGAGTGCTTGCCTGTCTCCCTGAAGATACCGCCTCTATCAGCCTACTTACTACAGGGCTGAGCAGACTGTGAAGTGCTGTGAAATACATCCTCTCATTTAAACCACTCATTCATTCAACAAATATTTAATAAATGTTTCTTATGTGCCAGGCATAGTTCTAGAAACCAGGGATAGGCTAGGCACAGTGGCTCACACCTGTAATCCCAGTACTTTGGGAGGCTGAGGTGGGAGGATTGCTTGAGCCCAGGAGTTTAAGATAAGCCTGGGCAACATAGTGAGACCCCATTTCTATAAAAAATTAGCCAGGCATGGTGGCACTCGCCTGTAGTCCCAGCTATTCAGGAGGATGATGAGGGAGGATTGCTTGATCCTAAGAGTTTGAGGCTGCAGTGAGCTGTGACCATGACACTGCACTCCAGCCTGGGTGACAGAGCAAGACACCATCTCTTAAGAAAGAAAAGAAAGAAAGAGAAAAAAAGAGAAAGAAAGAAAGGGAGGAAGGAAGGGAGGGAGGAAGGGAAAGAAAGAAGAGAGAGAGAGGAAGGAAGGAAGGGGAAAGAAGGAAGAAAGAAGGAGAAAGAAAGAAAAAGAAAGAAAGAAAGAAGAAAGAAGGAGGAAGGAAGGAAGGAAAGGAAGGACGGGAGGGAGGAAGGAAGGAAAGAAAGAAAAAGAAAGAAAGAAGAAAGAAAGAGAAAGAAGGAAAGAAAGAAAAGAAAGAAAGCAGGAATACAGCAGTGAACGACCTTCTACTAGGTATAGAAAAACATGCAACAAAATTAATAAGTTATATGGTGTATGAGAAGGAGAAAAGGCAAGGTAGGGAAGGGTGATAGAGAGTACTGGGGGATGGAGGGCTGCCATATTGAATAGGGTGATCAGGGAAGGTGAAGTGTGAACAAAGACTTGAAGGAAATGAGGAGTGAGCCAGGAAGCTACCTGGGAGAACAGTGTTCCGGGCAGAGGGAACAGCAAATGCAAAGACTCTGAGGCAAGGGCATGGCTGACATGCTTAAGGAACAGCCAGGAAGCCAGTGAGGTGGCAGAGAAGTGAATGAAAGTAATAGAAGCTGGAGTTAGGGAAGTAAGAGGGTGACAGGATCATCTGGAGCCTTGTGAGCTACTGTGAGGTTTTCAGTTTTTACCCCAAGTGAGATGGGAACCACTGGAGGGTTTTGAGCAGAGGAGGGTCATGACCTAGATCACTCAAGCTGCTGAGTGGAGAGCAAACTGTAGCAGGGAAGGGCCAGGGGAGGTGTATAGAGAACCCTTGACATAAGTAATTCCATCTTAGAAAGACTCCATCACTGGGCACATTCGCTTATGCCTGTAATCCCAGCGCTTTGGGAGGCTGAGGTAGGGGGATTGCTTGGGTCTAGGAGTTTTGAGACCAGCCGTGGAAACATAGTGAGACCTCGTCTCTACAATTTTTTTTTTTTTGAGATGGAGTTTCACTCTGTTGCCTAGGCTGGAGTGCAGTGGCGTGATCTTGGCTCACTGCAACCTCTGCCTCCCGGGTTCAAGCGATTCTCCAGCCTCAGCCTCTGGAGTAGCTGGGACTACAGGAGTGTGCCACCACGCCTGGCTAACTTTTTGTATTTTTAGTAGAGACGGGGTTTCACCGCGTTAGCCAGGATGGTCTCGATCTCCTGACCTCGTGATCTGCCCACCTCGGCCTCCCAAAGTGCTGGGATTACAGACATGAGCCACCGAGCCCAGCCAATTTTTTTTTTATTAGCTCAGCATGGTGGCACGTGCCTGTAGTCCTAGCTACTCAGGAAGCTGAGGTGGGAGGATTCCTTGAACCCTCAAACTTGAGGCACGAGTTTGAGGCTGCAGTGAGCAATGATCGTGCCTCTGCACTCCAGTGTGGGCGACAGGGACCTTGTCACCAAAAATAATAAATAAATAAATAAATAAAGTTTTAAAAAACTTCATCTTACATTTCAAAAGGCATCAAGCCAACAGGGTCCAGATGTTCGCCTAACCAATGGAGACAACACCCAACCAGATAAGGGCATCACCCTTTACTATAAGTCCTCATCAGAGGACTCAAGGACCATAAAATGATCAGGACTTCAGCAGCTAGACACGGCCACCTTAACAGACCGAGTCTTGCTATCACTCGTGCCCAGCACCTGGTGTCTGCCTCTGAAGGCTCTGCCCAAATCAAGGACTCTTCCTTGCAAGCTCTTGATGACTATCCCCATCAGGCCGGGACTCTGTCCACAGCACTCTCCTTGGACTGGTTCGTTAACCCCTTTTCTCTTGATGTTAAATGTTCTTGTGTTTGATGTGAAATTTTAACCTGTAACATTTATATCCTTACATATAATACTATGGATGGTTTGCAATACAGTCTGACTTGTGGAGTGGCTCCAGCTTGCATGCCCGCGGCTCTGACTACCGAGTGAACAGGTGGTCCTAAGGAGAACTGACTTCTTGGGAACTCCGTGTGACGCCTAGCTTTTGTGATTGAAATAGCATCAGTAAAAACCTGATCTTGTGGACAGACACAAAGGTGGGTGGACCTGGTTCTGTCTGACCTTGAGCAGCTCACGACATGTGGACACCTGTTAGGAGGCTGTGGAGAGCCCAGAGGAGGCTTAGACCAGGGTGGTGGCCCTGTAGGCGGTCGTGAGATTTCAGATTTGGAAGGACGAATCCACACGAGTTGTCAATGGATGGGACGCAGAGTTTGAGAGAAAGGGAACGATCCAGATGACTCCGAGGGTCTTGGGCCTGAGCAGCTGGGAGGATGCAGCTGGGGAAGACGGCGGGGAGGAGGGGAGCAGAAGCGGGTGAGGTGGGGAAGCCCTCGAGTTCTGCCTGGACAAGGTCAAGTTAAGGTGCGTGTTAGGCATCCGAACGTCAAGTCCAGGAAGGGTGTGTTCCCGAAAGGGTCCCGGCTGGATCCTCCCAGTTCGTCGTCCCCATTCCACAGGTGTGGACTCAGCAGCCGGGCTCTGCGCTGGGCCGGGCGGGGTCACGTGGCCGCGGGCTGGCGCCCCCTGGCGCCGGAGAGCGCGGGCGGCTGGGGAATGGCTGCTGCCATGGTGCCGGGGCGCAGCGAGAGCTGGGAGCGCGGGGAGCCTGGCCGCCCGGCCCTGTACTTCTGCGGGAGCATTCGCGGCGGACGCGAGGACAGGACGCTGTACGAGCGGATCGTGTCTCGGCTGCGGCGATTCGGGACAGTGCTCACCGAGCACGTGGCGGCCGCCGAGCTGGGCGCGCGCGGTGAGGCCCTGGGGCCGCGGGACGCGGGGACGCGGGCGCGGACCTGGCTGGGGTGGCAGGGACCCGGCCTGTCCGCCCCCCCGACCCCCGGCAGCTGCGCTCCCGGCGCCCGGAGCCCGCCCTCCTACCCCGGTGCTCCATCCAGCGCCCCAGCCCGAGAAGGAAACGGGCCGGGGCTCGGGCTGCGTGGGTCCCAGCAAGCCTGCGGGTGTAAGGCAGACTCAGCATTATCTTGACCTTTGGTTCCTTCTTGGAGAACTCTGTCTTCAGCTGCTTTCAGAGCGTTTGTAGGGTGCAACAGAAAGAAGGTAGATTGGGCTGCTTTGCTTGGGCTCAGTTCCCACCTCACCCGCTGGAATCTTTTCCACCACCCAACACGAAAGGTATCCTCCTGCCTCCCCACCAACTTTTTTTGTTTTGTTTTGTTTTGTTTTTGAAACGGAATCTCACTCTGTCGCCCAGGCTGGAGTGCAGTTGCGTGATCTCGGCTCACTGCAACCTCGACCTCCCGGGTTCAAGTGATTCTCTTGCCTCAGCCTCCCGAGTAGCTGGGACTACAGGCACGCGTCACCACACCCGGCTACTTTTTGTATTTTTAGTAGAGACGGTGTTTCACCATATTGGTCAGGCTGGTTTCGAACTCCTGACCTCAGGTGATCTGCCCGCCTCGGCCTCCCAAAGTGCTGGGATTACAGACAGGAGCCACCGCCCAGGGCCTGCCTCCCCTTTTTCTGTGAAGACATCAGCACTCTTTTAGACCTGGCTGACCCCAGTTCTCACTATTACCCTCTCTCACATTTTTGTTTTGTTGATACAAGGGCCTCTCTGTCGCCCAGGCTGGAGTGCAGTGGTGCGATCATAGCTCACTGCAGCCTCGGCTTCCTAAACTCATGATCCTCCAGCCTCAGCCTCCTATTAGCAAGGACTGCAGGGGCACGACACCATGCCTGGCTCAAAATTTTTCTGTAGAGATTGGGAGTCTCACTATGTTGCCCAGTCTGGTCCCGACCTCCTAGCCTCAAGTGATCCTCCCGCCTCAGGCCTCCCGAAGTGCTGGGACTATAGATGTGAGCCCCCATGCTGGCCTCATATTCTCTTTCAGGCCATTATTGTGTTCTGCTCCTGGCTGCTGGGTTTTTCTTTCTCTTTCTATTTATTTAGTTATTTATTTGGAAACAGTCTTGTTCTATTACCCATGCTGGAGTGCAGTGGCAAAATCTCAGCTCACTGCTAACCTCTGCCTCCCGGGCTTGAGCAATCCTCCCACCTCAGCCTCCCAAGTAGCTGGGACTACAGGTGTGTGCCGCCATACCTGGTTAAGTTTTGTATTTTTTATAGGGACGGGATTTTGCCATGTTGGCCAGGCTGGTCTTGAACTCCTGAGCCCAAGTGATCTGCCTGCCTCAGCCTCCCAAAGTGTTGGGATTACAGACATGAGCCGCTGAGTCTGGCTGGATTTCTCTAAAGCATATTTGATGTGCTGGTCTGGAATCTTGCAGATCCTTCCAGTTTGAAAATTGTATCTTGAATGCTTGTGCTTCTGCTCAGAAAACCTTAAGTGGTTTCCACTTATCCTACCCAAGAGCAGACCCACAATTTGTGGGACCTCATGCAATTCTGGGAGACCTCTTTAAAAAGACAAAAATCACAATACAAAGTTGCTGATGGTTTGGAAAGGGCCTGTGCAAGTGGAGGACCCTGAAGCTTACAGCTCATTAGTTCATGGTATATCCAGACTGCCTGGTGGCTCTCCAGGTCTTTAGTGTCATCTGAGGGAGCCTGTTAAAAATGCAGGTTCTGATCATCTGGGATAAAGCCTTCGAATATGTACTTTTTTTTTTCCCCCAAGACAGAGTCTTGCTCTGTCGCCCAGGGTGGAGTGCAGTGGAGTGATCTCCGCTCATTGCAACCTCCTCCTCCCAGGTTCAAGCAATTTTCCTGCCTCAGCCTCCCGAGTAGCTGGGATTACAGGCGCCTGCTACCACGCCTGGCTAATTTTTTAATTTTTAGTGGAGATGGGGTTCCACCATGTTGGCCAGACTGGTCTCAAACTCCTGACCTCGTGATCCTACCGCCTTGGCCTCCCAAAGTGCTGGGATTACAGGCGTGAGCCACCGCGCCTGGCCCGAATCTGTACTTTTTCTTGTTTTTTTTAAGATGGAGTTTTGCTCTGTTGCCCAGGCTGGAGTGCAGTGGTGCGATCTCAGCTCACTGCAACTTCCGCCTCCTGGGTTCAAGTGATTCTCCTGCTTCAGCCTCCCAAGTTGCTGGGATTACAGGTGTGCACCACCACACCCAGCTAATTTTTGTATTTTTAGTAAAGATGGGGTTTCACCATGTTGGCCAGGCTGGTTTTGAACTCCTGACCTCAAGTGATCCACCCGCCCCAGCCTCCCAAAGTGCTGGGATTACAGGCATGAGCCACCGCGCCTGGCCCTGGAATCTGTACTTCTAACAAGCTCCCCAGTGGTCCTACCCTGATGCGGTGGGCTGAGCCTCACTGTCCTGGAAGATAACATTTAATCAAGCTAAGACCCGAGATCCCTACCTTCTGGGCCTAGGATGCCTCTCCTACTTTTGGCTAAGTGCCCATGCACCTTTCCCTAATCAATGTCATCCACAGTTAGTGCTGCTGATGTTCCTCATTCGGCCCTAATCACATGTCCCACCTTGCATAGGGTTGAATTTTTCTTTTTGTGGCTATTCCATTTCCTCGCTGCTTTGATGAGATTGTCATGTTTGGTCAGGTCATCTGGCACAAGGCTCCCACCCTCCCTGAGCAGGGTGGGTATGGACATACAAGGGCATAGGAGTTACTGGGAGCCAGCATGAGGCATGTCCTTGACCAGCTTTCCCTCAACACAGGGGAAGAGGCTGCTGGGGGTGACAGGCTCATCCATGAGCAGGACCTGGAGTGGCTGCAGCAGGCGGACGGTGAGTGGCGCTCCCTCCTTCCAGCACCTAACTCCTCTGGAGTGCTGGGTTCCCCTGGACATCCCAGCCTCCACACCTAGAAGGGACTCCCAGAGTTCCCTCCTCACCACAGCCACACCGTCGTCTTCCTTATGAACCTCAAGTGCCCCCAATGCTGAGGCTTCCTCTCATCTTTCCTCCCAGTGGTCGTGGCAGAAGTGACACAGCCATCCTTGGGTGTAGGCTATGAGCTGGGCCGGGCCGTGGCCTTTAACAAGCGGATCCTGTGCCTGTTCCGCCCGCAGTCTGGCCGCGGTGAGCACCCCAAGCCTCCCTCCTGGCTTTCTATGGACCCAGCCCTCAGCTCCTTCCCTGGTGGGCTCTGAGCACCGCGCCTCTCCCAAGGGGTAAGGGAGCTGTGAGGGTGTGGATGGGAGGCAGCTTCACCTTTCCCTGCCCTTTCCAGTGCTTTCGGCCATGATCCGGGGAGCAGCAGATGGCTCTCGGTTCCAGGTGTGGGACTATGAGGAGGGAGAGGTGGAGGCCCTGCTGGATCGATACTTCGAGGCTGATCCTCCAGGGCAGGTGGCTGCCTCCCCTGACCCAACCACTTGACTTAATCTCACTTTCTTAAATTCTTCTATTCTCAGACACTGCTCTAGTACCATTCCTTCCTCTTAGCCCCAGGAGCAAATTAAAAGGTACAGTTAAAATCCTAACTTTCTGTCTTGTGTGAGTCATGGGGGTGGGGCAGGTCCTCAGTAATACCCTTTCCTGCCACACTTCACTTCAAGATAGATGCTTTAGAAATCTCTAGGCCGAGAGGAGGACAACTCCTAATGCCCTCAAGCCCCCTCCTCCCCAGGAACACTTGGGAGGAGGGCCGGGCGCGGTGGCTCACACCTGTAATCCCAGCACTTTGGGAGGCCGAGATGGGCGGATCACGAGGTCAGGAGATCGAGACAATCCTGGCTAAAACGGTGAAACCCCGTCTCTACTAAAAATGCAAAAAATTAGCCGGGCGAGGTGGTGAGCGCCTGTAGTCCCAGCTACTCAGGAGGCTGAGGCAAGAGAATAGCGTGAACCCGGGAGGTGGAGCTTGCAGTGAGCCCAGATCACGCCACTGCACTCCAGCCTGGGCAACAGAGCGAGACTCCCTCTCAGAAAAAAAAAAAAAAAAAAAGAGTTGGGAGGAAGGGCTGGGCACAGTGGCTCACGCCTGTAATCCCAGCACTTTCAGAGGCTGAGGCGGGCGGATCACCTGAGCTCAGGAGTTCGAGACCAGCCTGGCCAATGTGGGAAACCCTGTCTCTACTAAAAATATAAAAATTAGCTGGGCATGGTGGTGCATGCCTGTAATCCCAGCTACTCAGGAGGCTGAGGCAGGAGAATCGCTTGAACCCATCAGGCAGAGGTTGCAGTGAGCCGAGATCACACCATTGCACTCCAGCCTGGGGGACAAAAGTGAAACTCCATCTCAGAAAAAAAAAAAGAGTTGGGAGGATGGTTGCTCCTGTGGGTGGCCATCCCTCTCTCTGTCTCCTCTGAACTGGGCTGGGGCTGCACGTGGCCCTTTCCATGCCAACCTTCACTTCCCTTTATCAGCTTAAGTCAAATGAATCTGCTCTGAGCCTTCTCGGAGGATAGAAGAGTCCGGAGGTCTAAAGGAAACATAAAGATGAGGGGTGTGGGTAGATATGAGGCCAGGGCAGTGGCAACTTGGCTGGCCCCTGGTGAAGCTGTCAGCCTGCTCCCAGAGATGTGTGTGAGAAAGAGACCTTTATTCAGCAAACAGGAAGCACTACAGACGCTGGGAATCCCCCTCCCTATGACAGGGGCAGCTCCCGCCCCCTCAGCCCCGTGACTCTGGGGCTGCTCTAGGTGTTTCCTGCATCTGCCCCCTCAGTCATAGGCCTCATCTTCATCCTCTTCCTCATCACCAAAGAAGAAAGTCTCTTGGTCCAGGTTCTCAGACTCATCGTAGGAGAAGCTGTCATTGTCCAGCTCCTCATCAAACTCATCCTGCTGCCACTCGGGCACATCATCCTCATCGTCTTCCTCCTCCTCTTCTGCCTCTGGCCCTGAGGAGGCCTGGGGCCTAGGGAGAGCCACCACACTCAGCCCAGAGGAGGCTGCCATGTCCCACTGCCTCCTCCATGGCTCTGCCCACCCCACTTACTGACTGCCAGGCATGTTGGGTCCTTTTGCCTCCCAGGCCTCTACTGATGGACTCTGAAGACCAACCCGGAAATCCTGGTGAGCAGACAGAAGGATTTGAGAAGGAGGTAGAGGGCATGGGGCCTTTGGACCCAGCATTCCTTCCACTGATGCTCTGGGAGGGCCAAGCTCCTGCTAGGACTGCTCCCCTCCCAGCACAGCACTTCATGAAACACTGCCTTTGTGAGTTCACCCACAGATGGTCTCCAGGGATACGGGGTACCAGGTGAGGCACACGACCCTGTGCTTAAAGAGCTTACAGAATCTATGTCTTTTCTGCCCATGTGACTTACCAGTCAGTAAGCAACCTGAGGACAGGACTCACAGTTTAGACTCAGCATCAGTGCATTAGAGCTGGAGAGAGCCTGGGAGAGCCCTTGCTCCAGTGACCCCAATCCCCTGATGCCCACTCTTAGGATTTCAAATCCCTATCTGGGAAGTACAGTCTGGAAAAGTTCCCCAAGTGATTCTGATAGGCACCTGACCAAATACCCTTGATGTGGGCTAGCCAACCCCTTTATTTTGTAGGAATCCCCAGGAGGTGAAGTGATAGGGTCCAGCAGCATCAGGCAGGTTGGCCCAAAAGCCGGGATGTGCGCCCAGGTCTAACATCCATTCACCCGCTTTGCTGCCTTTCCTTCTGGACTCGCCCCAGGGCAGGGGCTGTGCTGGGACAGGAGGACCTCAACTCCCGCAGAATGCAGGAGCAGAAGGGGTCTGGGCCGGGCAGTACCTGGGCAGAATGCTGCAGGATGGCAAGCAGCCTCTCCTGGATCCGCCGGAGCAGCTCCATGCCCGTGCTGAGGCAGTCGGCCCGCAGGAGGCGCAGGGAGGAGGCCAGGTCTCTGCACCGCAGCAGGGTTTCCTCTGCAGAGGGGGCAGGCACAGAGGCTCCCTCCCTTCTCATTCTCATCCATTCCTTCCTCCAACAAACACCTATGGAACGTCTACCAAGCACCAGGTGCAGCTCTAGACATTCTCATGAAGCTCCCTAGGGGAGCAGGGTAAAGACCAGAAACCAAGAAACATCCACGAACATCTGCGCCCTTGGGCACCTTACAATGTAGGCTTTCGACCTGAGCTTTAACAGCCAGGCAGTGAGAAGGCCATGAAGAATGAAGAGGAAGAGGAGAGAGGGAAGGTAAGGGTGCCGCTTGACCTGTCTGGGAGGGGCCGGGCTGTGCAACAGAGGGGAGGAGGCAGGAGGAGGGCCTGGCTGGCAGGGGTGGCTCACCCAGGAGGATCTGCAGGGCATTGGTGTGCAGCTCCAGGTTCTCTGTCTGCTGCTCCACCACATCCATGTACTCTGCGTCCTGGCTGTAGAAGCTGTACACGCAGGCGTAGGCCAGCACCTGCAGGGGCTCCCATCAGCTCTCCCGCCTGCCCTCTCCTCATTCCCTTCACCCAGGCAAGTCCGATGAAAGCAGCCAAGCCCCCCAGACCCATTTGGCACACCCCTCCCCTGCTCTCTTCCCCCACCCGCTACCACCTTCCGAGCCTGCTCCAGTCCCTGGCAGGCATCATTGAGGAAGGTGAAGGATCTGGGCGGGGGCACTTCATGGATGGCAGACACCCGGTTCCGCAAGTTCACAGCAAACTCCTGTGTGGAGGAAGGTGTATCAGTACCAGCACAGGTGGCGCAGCACCACCTGCCCGGTCAGACCTTCAGCCCACCCCCCTCCACCCCACCACCCCAACCTGCTTCTGCAGGCATCTACCCGCTGTTTCCTCCCGACTCACCCGCGCCTGGTGATGGAAAGTGCACCTCTCATTATAGTCCTGAAACCGCTTCTCCTGGCGAGCTGCCTTGCTTACCTAGCAAGGATACGTTGGGAGGGCTATTGGGTGTTTTGTTTGGACAGGAGGGAGTTAATAAGTGGAAAAGCCAACATTCACGGAGGCCTTTCTACACCTCCCCCGATTATCTTCATTCAGTCCTCATGACTGTGTGGAGTAGGTCATATTATTCACCCCTTTTGCAGAGGCTGTTGAGGCTTGGAGAAGTAAATGAACTTGCTCAAAGCCACATGCTAAGCAGCAGAGCCAGGCTCTAAATGCAGGGTCCCTGCTCTTTCCTGCTCTGCCCTGCTGCCTTCTGAGAGTGCCCAGCCCTCCCCAGCCTTTCTGTAGCCACCTCGGTATGAGAAGTCCTGTTCTGGAGCTGAAGGTCCCTGTGAACAGACTTTCCAGCATCTGCAGGCCCAGGTGGCTCTGTCTTCCCCACAGTGAGCCTCTATCCCAACAGCTAGAATGCTGCACTGCACAAGGAGCCCTGTCTGCCCAGGACCTGGTAGCAGCACCCCTCCCCGACGGCTCTGGGCCTCTGCCCTCCCCTAGTGCCCAGCGCCTTACCATGGCAGAGCAGTTGTAATAGTCTTTGTGATTTGGCTTCCAGGACTTGAGGCAGCGCCAGCAGAATCCATGGTTACATTTGGCACAGGTCATGCTATGGAGGAAGCTGGCTGGTCAGGGACTCCTGCCTCTGGGCAGGGGTGTGCCAGGAATGCCAAGGGCCCAGATGTACCGCTGTTGATGCTGTGGCCTCTGCTCCTGCCCTGATAGTCTCCTTAGTCATACCCAGCCCTGCTGAATGCACCTCTGCTTTTGAACTCCCCCAGTCAGTGTGGACTTACGAGTGGGAGAAGGAACATTAAGATCCAGGAAGTCACCGTGGAGGCTGCCACGTGAGGGGCGGCTGAGGAACCACCCTCTTTTGCTGAGCTTTACACTAAGCCCGTTCCCCCCTCCTTCTGCCAGGCCTCCTCCCCCCTCCTTGCCCTCTGGCTCCCCACAGTACCCCCCTTCTTACTGCAGGCACCCCTCGTTCTTCTCGATGGGAGCCTGACAGCTGGGACAGCGCTTGGAGATGAGCTTGGCCAGGTGCTTGCTCTGCGCCTCCACGCTCATGCCGTCATAGTAGCCACCGTCGTCGACCCACTGAGACATATGGCCACAGCTAGCAGGGTAGTGTGCCTAAGGCAAGAGGGCATGGTGGGGACACAGCTGAGCCGTGAGGGCAGCATGGCTGGTGTGCACAGGAGAGAGGGGAGCAGGCACAGATCACATTTGGAGGGCTCCAGGAAGAGGAACAGAGCTCAACTGGGTGGCAGAGGCTGAGGAAGGACAAGTCACAGTCTGTGTGTGTGGCGGGGTGGGGATATTAAGCAGGGAAGGAGTGTGAATCCTTGCTCAGGGTCAGGGCCAGTGTGGGGCTCCCACCTCAGGGAAGCTACAGTTGAAGCAAGAGGCCCAGCCACACTTGGAGCAGGTGGTCCCACAGCCCAGGCCCTGGCGGCACAGGATGCGGTCGCAGCCCTGGGGGTTGGTGCACCAGGTCAGGTTGGAGCAGCTCTCCACATAGCCACGCAGGAGCGCCTTCTCATACTGTGGAGACGCAGGTGCCACGAGGTGAGGGTATGGCTCTCCAGGATGCCACACCTCCAGGCCCCCAGCACCCCATAGCTCAGCCCACTCCCTGGGGCACACTCCTTTGGCTCTGCACTGGAGCCTCTCTCAGACGAGAGGGGATACCTTGGAGATGACCTCTGGCGAGGAGACGATGGCACGAATGAAGGCTCCGGTGGGCTGGGCGGGGCAGTCGGCAATGGGGCAGGTGCAATTCAAAACAAGGTTCTGCTCGATCCGAGTTGTCAGGTACTCATTCCAGCAAGACTGGGAGGGACAAAAGGAGGGGCTGCTCACAGACAGTGTGGGAGCAGCACAGGGGGAGTGTCCTGGTAACTAAGCTAGCGTCCCTCCTTCCCTTCCCCTCCACTACAACGTGGAAGGCCAGAAACAAGCCTGCCTCTAGATCAACCAATGCTGACTCCTCTCTCCAGCTTTGCTGAGACTGGCCCAAATTACAGTTGTCTTTGAGGATGGGGTGGGCTGTGTATTTGCCTAATCATAATTACTGTTGGGATGGACAAGGAGGGAATGGGTAAAAATAATTAAGAAAAAGGAGAACGATTCAAATTCTCAGAAAGATATGCAGAGAGCAGGAAGGTCCGAGAGAAAGGAGGCCTGGGAAATGGGTTGCCTGGGTGGCTGACAACACAGCTCTGGTCTCTCCTCCCAGCTCCAGTGGCTTATCTCCAATGACCGTCCGGATGCTCCTGTCTCTGACTTATGCCTCCAACAGACCCAGCCTCTTCTCTACAAAACTGACTTGCCCATTGCGTCCCCCAAACCCTGATCAACTTGCACCACTGTCCCCCTCGTCACCAGTGTTGGAACTTTCATATCGTTCTCTTGCTCCCATGTCACTCCCCCATCCTAAATCAGGCCATTATCCCCTCATCCCTAAACCACTGTGAGAGCCTGATCCATGGTCTCCTCTCCCGGTCTCTCCCTACACCATCCATTTGGTCTATGCACGAGCAGCCGTTGCAGCCGTCTGAGCCTCCTACAATACTCCATGAGTGACCCCTGCCTCTCACACTGCCTATGGCCATGCCTTCCAAAATGATGGGTCTAAACCCTCAGGAGACCGTGTGTCTGTGATATCAAAGCTGCAGCATAAATTTGAAGCACCTGACTAGGTCATTTTTACTCAAAGTACCAGACCAAAGTAAACAAAACCCTTTCTGCATTGAAACAAACCCAAAGTTGGGAAATTGAATGCAAATTCTTACATTTTTGAGATAGAACAGGGAAAATTTTCTCTGAATTCAGACCCTATTCTTACAGGCACACCAGTGCCTCAGGGTCCCCCTCTGCCCTGGCATCTCAGTCTGGGGACTCCCAGCTGCTCTCATGACTACTGTCCAACCCAAGTGGTGGGGCTCACCCTGGGAGCTGTCCGGCTGCTTCTCTTGCATTGCTGTTGTGCCACTCAGCTGTGACCAATGCTGCACAGGCTCCTCCTTGCAGGGGCTTTTCAATCAGCCTGTTCATCTGCCTGGTTTTCAGGCCCCTTGTCTCTCTCTCTCTCTCTCTCTTTTAAACAAAGTCTCGCTTTGTCACCCACACTGGAGGGTAATGGCACAATCATGGTTCACCGCAGCCTCAATCTCCTGGACTCAAGCAATCCTCCCACCTCAACCTCCTGAGTAGGCAGGACTATAGGTGTGCACCACCATGCCTGGGTAAAGTTTTTTTCTATTTTTTGTAGCTATGGGGTCTTGCTGTGTTGTCTAGGCTGGTCTCAAACTCCTGAGACCCCCCGTCTCTGTATCTTTACAGGCTTGGTTCCCTGGGTCTGCTTCTTTCTCCTTGGGTAAGGCCTGCCAGGCCTCTCTGCTTCATTCCAAATTCAAAAATCCACTGTCTACCTGCCAGTTCCACACAGGTGTCCAACAAGCAGCTCAAACTTCACAGGGCCACAACAGAGTAAAGATGACACATGCCATCCACCCAGGTGCTCAGGTCAAAGCACAGGAACCATCCTTGATTCCCCTGTCTGAAGCCCCTACATTTAACCCACCAACTCCCGTCAGCTCCACTTCCAAATGTGTCCCAATCCACCCTCTCTCATCGCCACTGCCCCAGTCCAAACTACCACCATCTCTTGTCTCTCGTACAACAGTCACCAAATGGGCCTTCCTGCTTCCACTCTTGCTCCCTCCAAGCCTTTTCTCCACACAACGGCAGAAGCGATCTTTTAAAAAATGTAGGGCCGGGCGCAGTGGCTCACGCCTGTAATTCCAGCACTTTGGGAGGCTGAGGTGGGTGGATCACGAGGTCAGGAGATCGAGACCATCCTGGCTAACACAGTGAAACCCCGTCTCTACTAAAAATGCAAAAAATTAGCCGGGCGCGGTGGCGGGCGCCTATAGTCCCAGCTACTCGGGAGGCTGAGGCAGAAGAATCGCTTGAACCCGGGAGATGGAGGTTGCAATGAGCCGAGATCGCGCCACTGCACTGCAGCCTGGGTGACAGAGTGAGACTCCATCTCAAAAAATAATAATAATAAAATAAAAATAAATAAATAATATAATAAAAATAAAAAATGTAAACCAGATAATATCAATATTCTGCTTAAACCCACCATGGCTTCTCATAAAATAAAATCCACTGTCAGGCTGGGTGTGGTGGCTTATGCCTATAATTCCAGCACTTTGGGAGGTCAAGGCGGGAGGATTGCCTGAGACTGCCAAAATTCAAATCCTGACCTTTGGCAAATTACTTCACCTCTGAGTGTCTCCCTCTGTCATGTAAAATGGGAATAACAAAAATACCTACCTCATAGAACTAGTATGAGAATTAAGTAAAATAATGCATGTAAACAGCACAATGCCTGGCTCAGAGTGAGCTCCCATCAATATTATTAGCTCTCTGGTCATTTCTTGCTGGGATTTTTTTCAATACCTCATTTAGCACCCAGTGCTATGCACATAAATCCATGAGAAATATTTGTTGAATGAAAAAATGAAAGTGTAAAGGAAATAATTAAGAACCTGGGGAAAAGGGAGCATAAGCAACTATGTGAGAGGAGAAGCCAGAAGCACAGCCAAAGGGAAAGAGAAAAAGAGAATACACACGCATGCACGTGCACACAAGCACATGCAGACACGTCTATCACCCACTACTGGGGAAACGCTGTTGGCAGAAGCAGCTGGAATTCATGGCAACCAGGAGTGCCCCTCCTGCTAAACTGAAGTGTTTGGGCTTGGCACCAGTTCTAAAGAGCTGTGAGGCAGGAATATCGGACTCAGTGCTCCAGGTTCTCTGTACCTCAGCCCCACATTTTTTATTTTTGAAGATGACTCACTCCCCAAATGCAAGCTTCTGTGTCCACTATATAGAAGCAAGCCTATAGAGCAAGAAGACCCTGAGGCAGGGTCTCACTCTGTCCTTCAGGCTGAAGTGCAGTGGCGAGATACTGGCTCACTGCAGCCTCCGCCTCCCAGGCTCAGGTGATCCTCCCACTTCAGCCTCCCAAGTAGCTGGGACTATAGGTGTGCACCACCATGCCCATCTTATTTTTGTATTTTTTTGTAGAGACGGGGTCTTGCCATGTTGCCCAGGCTGGTCTCGAACTCCTGGGCTCAAGCAATCTGCCTACATCAGCCTCCCAAAGTGCTGGGATTATAGGCATGCACACTACCTCACCAGGCCTATTTTTAAAAATTTTTGTATTAAATGAGAGTATATGATAAAAGCAGTGATAGTGCACTGAGATGTGGGGACTTAAATGGTAATAAGGGCAACCACAAACTAGAGTCATCACCAATCTACTAACACTTTTGCAAACACTTCACAAAGTGTCTTGACATCTATTTTACACGTATATCTCTTAGTTCTAACTTGGCTGATAATGGGAATCCCGTGAGGAGGCTTTAAAACTTCCTGTAGATTTCTCACCTCCAGAGATTCTGGTTTAATTAGTCTGAGGTATCGTCTGGGCATTAACACTTATAAAAGCTTCCAGTGATTATAATATGAAGGTCAGCTGGAGCACCATTGGTATATATCGCTGGATCCCAACCACCACCCTTTAGAGTGTCAAGGCAGGTGGTACCACTTACAGATGACAAAACTAGTTTAAGAAGGACTAAGAGACTAAATCCACTATTGCCCAGGTGATGAAAATGGCAGTGCTGGGCTAGAACCCAAGAATTCCCAAGGAATTTTGTTAGGGTAGGGCAGAAAGCCAGGGGCAGGAGCAATGCTGGTGGGGCCTCACCTTACAGCAATAGTGCATGCAGCAGAGAGAGGGCAGGTCGTCGTCACACCCCAGGGGGCTCACACAGACGGGGCAGTGGTCAGGCCGTACGGGTACAGCCTGAGCCTGGTGTACGCACAGCCCAGCTGCCAGCAGCAGTGGCTCAGGGTCCTCACTGTAGCTCTGCAGCAGCTGTTCAGCGCCCCAGTGGGAATGAGCCAAAAGGTGCTGAGCGACATCTGGCTCTAAGTTCAGCGTCTCCTGCACCTGACGCACCGTCTGCTTCATCAACCCTTCTACTTCCTGGGGGCTCATGGTGCGGCCTGCAGGCAGCTGTAGAGATGCCAGGGTAGCCACAGCTTCTGGGCTTGTGGGGAGGGAAGAGACAGAAGTCAGTATTCCTGCCCTGCTATCCAGCCTACTAACTGAACCCCACCTGGCCCCCAGCTCCCTCTTTGAGCATACTTGCTCGCTTGCCTAAGCAGCCTCAGGATAACCACCCAAACCAACCGTCAGAGCAGATCCTCCACAGAAGCACCTGTAAATGTCAGGGTGGGGCTGGCTGTTGCAATGACTGGGGACAAAATAGGTATCTAGGGGTCAGGGTGCTAAGAGACCAATAGCTGATGGGACAGTCCCACTGTAGGTCTCACCCCAAATGGTGGCAGCACCTGTAGTGAGAACAGGAGTCTCCATCCTTACTGCTCAAGTGTGGTCTGTGGACCAGCAGCACAGGCAGCACAGAGAGCTCTGCTGTTAAATCTGCATTTTAACACTGGCGCCATGTTGAGGTTTGAGAAAGATTACTCGCGATAATTCACTTTACACATGATGCAAACAGCAGGCATGAAAAGCAGGGCCATAACAGCTTCCAATGAACATTAAAAAGCTTTAGGGGTGCTGGTTGATTAGAGAAATCCTATGGCAAATTCCTCTGTAGAACAAACTTCCTGAAAGTTTGTATATTTAACTGAGTAGAGTACATAGTTAGCACTCAATACATATTTGCAGGCCTCTGATTGGAAAGGGGTGGTGGTGCTGGGAGGGTCAATAAAAACTACCAAAGTCAGGGAAATAACAGGGATAGGGAAAAGGGGATCAGACAAAGAAAGAAGGGAAGTGTTTCTCCACAAGGGATCTTGGCTTTGGCATGACCACCTCTCCCGCCTCACTGCAAGGGGTCAGGTGCAGTGGCTACCTGGGCTTGGAGGTTTCGCTCTGGCTGCCACAGAAAGGGACATCTGCCTGACCCCGGCAGGGCCCCATGGGCTCTGGAGCGGCATACATCAGGATCTGGGGCCGGTCATCACGCCGTTTCACGTAGCCCTGGCCTAAGAGGTGCAGGATGCAAGAGAGGACATCTGTACTGGTACAGGCCACACCCCCAGCAACAGTGTGGCCCAGGGTTCCAGGAGGATTTGGACCCTTCTGCCAGGCCTCCAGCACCTGGATAGGAGGAAAGAAACAAGAAGTCCACTTTTATGTAGGGAGCAGGCTGCTGGGCTCAATGCCCAGCTCTGCCACTTATTTTTCCCCCCCTTTTTTTTTAAGAGACAGTCTTGCTCTGTCACCCAGGCCAGAGTGCAGTGGCCTGATCACAGCTCACTGCACCCTCAAACTCCTGGACTCAAGTAATCCTCCTGCATGAGCCATGGTGTCTGGCAGCTCTGCCACTTACTAGCTGTGTGATTGTGGATTAGTTACTAAGTTTCTCTCTTTTTTTTTTTTCCCAACAGTCTCACTCTATTGCCCAGGCTGGAGTGCAGTGGCACCATCTCTCACTGCAATCTCTGCCTCCTGGGTTCAAGTGATTCTACCGCCTCAGCCTCCCAAGTAACTGGGACTACAAGTGTGCACCACCACGCCTGGCTAATTTTTGTATTTTTAGTAGAGATGGGGTTTCATCATATTGGCCAGGCTGGTCACGAATTCCTGACCTCAAGTGATCCACCCACCTCAGCCTCCCAAAGTGCTAGGATTACAGGCATGAGCCACCGCGCCCGGCCACTACTAAGTTTCTCATACTTCACTGTTCTTATCTGTCAAATGAAATAAAATAACATTTCTAGGATTGTTGTGAAGATTAAATGATGACTTTTTTTCTTTTTGAGACAGAGTCTTGCTCTGTTGCCCAGGCTGGGGTACAGTGGCAGTCTTGGCTCACTGTAACCTCCGCCTCCTGGGTCAAGCAATTCTCATGCCTCGGCCTCCCAAGTAGCTGGGATTACAGGCATGTGCCACCATGCCCAGCTAATTTTTATATTTTTGGTAGACACAGGGTTTCGCCATGTTGGCCAGGCTGGTATCAAACTCCTGGCCTCAAGTGATCCGCCTGCCTTGGCCTCCCAAAGTGCTAGGATCACAGATATGAGCCACTGTACCTGGCTGGATTAAATGACTTAATCATGCAAACTCTTAGCATAGGGCCTGGTTCATGGTAAACACTCATGCCTTATCTTTATCTGCTGTCTATCTGCTCTGTCAGGAACAGAAAACCCAGATGGAAATGTCACCCTACAGAAGTCTTATATTGAAAGAGTTCACTGTGTTCATCCCCAATCCCAAGCATGACTCCCTCCCTCCGCCAACTTCATGGTCCCCTCTCTGCCTACCAGACAAACCAGCTGATCAATGTGGAGGCCCTTTTCCCCATGGGCTTTGAGAATACGAACAAGAAGACAGCTCAAGAGATTCCTCTTCTGTTCCAGGGTTCGGCCTTCATCCTTCTCTACGTTCAGGTATGCCTGGGGAGGTATCAGCCACAGGGCCTCCCCACTGCGCTGGGGCCCAGGCTCATGAAGCCGCAGCACACCTGGAACCCGCTCCCGGTCAGGTACCAGAGGAGGCAGAGGGACAGATGAATGGGGACTAAGATGACCCCATTCTCACAGTCCCCCCATCTTGAGGGCGACCCCCCGACCAGCAGCAGAGGCTCAGCCCGGCCCCCAATGACCTACCCCCGTGTGGAAAGTCCTGGCCCTCATGCAGGGTCAAAGGGCCATTCCCTGAGGTGAGGGGCACGAGTGCCTGGAGCAGCAGCTCTGGGGAGAGGTCAGAATCCTTCAGCAAGGTCTCTACTGACACCTCCTGATGAGCAGAAACGCCCAGTCAGGAGTCAAAGGAAAGAAAAGGAAGAGGGGAGTAAGGATGAAGGAGGAACAGGGTTTAGGAGGAGAACAGCGACAGATAAGGTAGCAGAGAAGGCAGAGAGAGGCTAAGGGCTGAAGCACCTCTGTCTGATTGAATTTCAGCAGCAGCCACATCTGCACGGTGGACACATGCAGTATCTGCTTCCCAAACTGCAGCTCAGCCCGGCCCAGCCACGTCCACTGCAGTCGCCGATGTGGTCCCATGTCCAGGACTGGATGGTTCTGACCTAGGCAAGTGTCAAGGAGAAGGGTGGAGACACAGAATGGGCGAAACAAGGGGTTTAGGGG
This sequence comes from Homo sapiens, assembly GCF_000001405.40. Taxonomy (NCBI): domain Eukaryota; kingdom Metazoa; phylum Chordata; class Mammalia; order Primates; family Hominidae; genus Homo; species Homo sapiens. Next base: position 43,213,087 of record NC_000006.12, on the reverse strand, counting down.
TTGAGGTGTCAAGCTTTGCTCCTACTAGTCCCTATGGGGAGGAGGGCCCCAGCATTTTCAGACAGAGAGATACCTTGTCAAGCTTCCAGATCTCAGCCTTCCCTGCGCCTGCCTCCCTGATGAGCCACGGGTATCTAGGAGCCCATCCCTAGACCCAGCGCCTAGCCCTGAGCCAGGCAGGTTCCATGCAAAAACACCAGAGAGAAAACACTTGCATTTTGCCCTCAAGGAGCTCACAGTTTTAAAGACCCACTGGGCTGGATCTCTTCCTCCTCCTGTTTCACAGCTCAGGCAAGGTGAGCCTGAGACATCTGTTCATACTGGAAAGCAAGGAAGCTGTCAAAGGGAGAGTATTAAAGGGACTAGGAGCCTGCCTGAGAGATGCTGTCTTACCAAAGATGGGACAATTTGAGAATCCAAAAAAAAAAAAATCCACCTGCAATGTGTGATGGAACCACACAAAATATTTTAAAATCTGTGAGTTCATAATGATATATTTTTAAAAGACCTCATTGGTTTTATTTAAAAGTTACTAGAGAACCACCATATTATTTTTAAAATGAGTTAAAAATAATTGGAAGTGGAAACAATCAAGCCTTTCCTGTATAAACCGGACTTCAGGGTAGATAAACAGTTAGTGAAAGGGTTTCTCTTGAAAGCATTCCAGCTAATACATGAAGAAGGAGTGACAGAACTAGATATAACTATTTCAAAACCCCTAATGAAATGATAGACCTAAGCAATGGTAGAAATGCCTGCCTGGTGAAAAGCTGATGGAAAATTACATGTAATGTATAGACAAGACTGACACACTGAAATCCATTGATCCATCTCAACATCACAAAGGGAGACAGGCTGAACCTGCCTCCTGGTGGAAGGACACATACCACCAATGAAGTGTTCTTGCCTGAGAAATCAAACCCAAATCTGAATAAGCCTCTACACCTACAAATCAGTTTTCAGGAAATAAAGGAGACAGAGGAATTATGCTTGAGGACACCACGTGAATGCAATCAGGAAAATCCAGCCTGTGAATGAATAACCCACTTTCCTCCAGAAATAATTGCAAGGAGGATAAAATGGGAGGTGGAAACCTATAGAGTAAGGGAGATGTAAGATAATGCAACCAAATGCAATGCGTGGACCTTGTTTGGATCCTCACTAAACAAAATAACTAACCAAAAAACCCCAAGGCAATCAGGGAAATATGAGCAATGACTGTATACTTCATACAAGGAACTGCAAATTTCTAAATACTTGATAACTGTAGTATCCTTTTTTTTTAAACAAAGAGTACTTATCTTTTAAATTTTGGGGGTGGGGAATAGATGGGGGTACAGATTGAAGCAAGATTGGCCATGAGCTGATATATGTTGGAGTTTAGTCTGTCTACATTTGTATATGCTTGAAATTTACAATAAAAAGACTTTTTAAATGAGGGTGAAAATAACCCTTCTCAGACAAATAAAAAAACTGGTAGGGTTTTCCACCAAACTCCTCAATGAAGACACTTTTTTTTTATTTGTTTTTGAGATGGAGTCTCACTCTGTCCCCCAGGCTGGAGTGCAGTGGCACGATCCCGGCTCACTGCAACCTCCACCTCCCAGGTTCAAGCAATTCTCCTGCCTCAGCCTCCCAAGTGGCTGGGATTACAGGCGTGCACCACCAGGCCTGGCTAATTTTTGTATTTTGAGTAGAGACAGGGTTTCGCCATCTTGGCCAGGCTGCTCTGAAACTCCTGACCTCAGGTGCTCTGTCCGCCTCAGCCTCCCAAAGTGCTGGGATTACAGGCATGAGCCACCGTGGCTGGCCTGAAGATACTTCTAACAGATGTATTTTAAAAAGAAGAAGGACCAAGAGGCAAAGGAAACGGTGACTAAAGCAATTGGCATGGTGGCAAATGTAAATATCCCTGAATAAATAATAATAATGACAATGTTGGAAGTTAAAAAAAGATAATTCTAAAATATGGAACAACAGTAATAACTAATATGGGAGTTAGAGCTGGAGTTAAGATTTTCTAAGGTCCTTTTATTGTTCAGAAAGGTAGGAAGTGATATTAGCCAATCAATGATGCAGGTTAAAAATACAAGGGTATTCAGTTATAGAAATAGAATGCCTAAGTTCTAAAACTGATATAGACAAAAAAGAAATGTTTTAAAAACAATCAATCAATCCAAAAGAAGAAAGAAAAAGATAGCACAAAAACCCAGGGTAGAATCATATGTATATAGGTGTTAAATTTATTCTTCTTTAAATATAAGAAGGGTAAACAAAAACACAAAATAAGAAGTTAGAAACAGTCAATTAATTAATAATAAATTAATTCATTGAGTTTATTATTTATGAATTTATTATGAATTTGTTATTCATAATAAATAGGCTAAAATTGACATCTTAAAAAGAGATTGTCAGGTTGAACAAAAAACAAATTCTAGGTTTTTATAAGACATGTGCCTAAAACATTAAGGGTATGGCAAAGTTAAAAGCAAAACAATCCCAGGGGAAATTCTAACAAAATTAGAATACTGGCATGATTTTAAAGTATCTCCCCCGACAGACTGCTTATTAATTGTAGCAAGGAGAAAAAATATTAACTATATGAGTGGAGAAAGCAAACAATCTCTTGGCTAGGTTGACAAAATTAACAGATAAAGAAGGGGCAGATGAAAACTGTGTGCTCCAGGGTGTAAAGCCTTGGGAAGTACATGCCTGCCACATACTTAGTATTTTGCCTGGGAATGCATAACCTGAATCTAATCACAAGGAAATATCATACAAACTTAAAACAAGGAACCATTTTAAAAATGTCGGCCAGGCATGGTGGCTCACGCCTGTAGTCCCAGACTTTGGCAGGCCAAGGTGGGCAGTTCACAAGGTCAGGAGTTCGAGACCAGACTGGCCAACATGGTGAAACCCCATCTCTACTAAAAATACAAAAATTAGCCAGGCATGGTGGTGGGCACCTGTAATCCCAGCTACTCGGGAGGCTGAGGCAGGAGAATTGGCTTGAGCCTGGGAGGCGGAGGTTGCAGTGAGCTGAGATCGCACCATTGCACACCAGCCTGGGCAACAGAGCAAGCCTCCATCTCAAAAAAATAAATAAAAAATAAAAACAAAATAAAATAAAAAGTACAAAAGGGTCCGGATGCGGTGGCTCATGCCTGTAATCCCAGCACTTTGGGAGGCTGAGGCAGACAGATCACAAGGTCAGGAGTTTGAGAACAGCCTGGCCAATATGGTAAAACCTTGTCTCTACTAAAAATACAAAAAAATTAGCCAGGTGTGGTGGCACACGCCTATGGTCCCAGTTGCTCTGGAGGCTGAGGCAGGAGAATCACTTGAACCCAGGAGGCAGAGGTTGCAGTGAGCTGGGATTGAGCCACTGCACTCCAGTCTGGGCGACAGTGCAAGGCTCTGTCTCAAAAAAAAGAAAGAAAGAAAAGAAAAGGACCGTATTCTCCAGAAATCTCAATGTCATAAAAGACAAAGAAAGAAAGGATGGGGAACTGTTCCAGATTAAAGGAGACTAAAGAGACATGCCAACTAAATGTTAACAGGTGATCCTAGACTGATCCTGTCCTGGACAAAAAAATGAAGTCATAGAAAACATTATGGGTCAGTTGAAAAAATTAGAATGGCCGGGCACGGTGGCTCACGCCTGTAATCCCAGCACTTCAGGAGGCTGAGGCAGGCAAATCACGAGGTCAGGAGATCGAGACCATCCTGGCTAACATGGTGAAACCCTGTCTCTACTAAAAATACAAAAACAAAATTAGCCAGGCGTGGTGGCAGGTACCTGTAGTCCCAGCTACTTGGGAGACTGAGGCGGGAGAATGGTGTGAACCCGGGAGGCAGAGCTTGCAGTGAGCTGAGATCACGCCACTACACTCCAGCCTGGGCGACACAGTGAGACTCCGTTTCCAAAAAAAAAAAAAAAGAAAGAAAGAAAGAAAAAATTAGAATATGGAGGCTGGGCACAGTGGCTCATGTCTGTAATCCCAGCACTTTGGGAGGCTGAGGCAGGAGTTCGAGAACAGCCTGGCCAACATAGTGAAACTCTGTTTCTACAAAAATTAGCTGGGAGTGGTGGTGCACACCTATAGTCCCAGCTACTTGGGAGACTGAGATGGGAGGATCACTTGAGCCTGGGAGGCGGAGGTTGCAGCTAGCCACCTGAGATCGTGACACTGCACTCCAGCCTGGATGACAGAGTGACACCCCCTCTCAAAAAATACAAGTAAAAGGACAAATTGTATACTTTGAATGGTTAAAATGGCAAATGTTACGCTAGATATATTTTACCATAATTTAAAAAAAGGTATGCAAAAGATTAAGAACTTCTCTCCATGCAAAAACAAAAAGCTAAAGATAGAAAAATATAAACTGGAAAGCCAGTAACCAAAGAAAGCTGGTATACTATTAATACCAGAGAAAAACAGACTTCTAGAGAAAAAGCTTTATTAGAAAGAAAGAATGTCACTTCATAATAATGTTTCATTGACTCTGGAATTTCTAAACCTGCATGGTCCATCATAGTAGCCATTAGCCACATGTAACTATTTAAATTTAAACTGATTACAGCCGAGCACAGTGGCTCACGCCTATAATCCCAGCAATTTGAGAGGCCAAGGCAGCTGGACCACCTGAGGCCAGGAGTTTGAGACTAGCCTGGCCAACATGGTGAAACCTCGTCTTTACTAAAAATACAAAAATTAGCCAGGCATAGTGGTGCACACCTGTAATCCCAGCTAATCGGGAGGCTGAGTGAGGCAGGAGAATTGCTTGAACCCAGGAGGCGGAGGTTGCAGTGAGCCAAGATCAAGCCACTGTACTCCAGCCTGGGTGACAGAGTGAGACTCTGTCTCAAAAAAATTAAAATAAAATAATAAACTGATTACAATTAAATTATTTAGTTCCTCAGTTATATTAGCCACATTCCAAGTACTTAATTGCCACCAATGACTATCATACTGAACGGTGCAGAAAAGAATTTTTCAATCATTGCAGAAAGTTCTACTGGATAGCACTGTTAAACTATTTTAACCTTCTAACAAAATAGCCAAAAAATATATATACAGTTAAACCAGTATGATTAGCGGTTTTAAAAAATTCACCATCATAGTGGTAGATTTTAGCACACCTCTCTCAGTAGTAGATCAAGTAGACAAAAACTAGTAACTTTACAGAAGATGTGAACAAAACAATTAACAAGGTCAATTTGGTGAAATATGTAGAATCCAGTTAAGAATACACATTCTTCTTAATCATACATGAAACAGGTAAAATATGACCATCTACCAGGCCATAACGAAGTCTCAATAAACTGCAAAGATTCAGAATCATAGAAACCATGCTCTTTGGCCACAGGGGAATGAGGTTAGAAATATAAAACAAAAAAAAATTAAACAAAGAAAAACTTGTTTGGAAATTAAAATATATATTCTTCTGAAAAACAAAATAAAGAAATAATAATAGAAATTTAACAATTCTTAGAACTAAACAATAATAAAAATAATACGTAATAAAAACTTACAGAACATCCCAAATGCCCATAAACAGCAGAAAGGGTAAATACATCCATACAATGGAATATGACTCAGCAAAATAAATGAATAAACTAATGATACCCTTGACAACCTGAATAACCCTCACAGACAGTATGTTTCGTGAAAGACATCAGACACAGCAGAATACTGTATGATTCCATTTATATGATGTTCAAATACAGGCACAAATCTATGGTGATAAAGGTTAAAAATAATGATTTCTCCTGGAAGAAGACATTGACTGGAAAGGGGGCATGAAGGAGACAGCCTTCTACGATGCTGGAAATGTTCTGTATCTTGATGGGGGTATGAGGGAGGTAGATACATGGGTGTATATGAATATAATAATTCATGAAGCCTTATAATTAAGACGTGTGCACTTTACTGAATACTAGTTATATCCCAATCTAAAAAATCTTTTTGGCCGGGCACAGTGGCTCACTGAGGCGGGTGGATCACCTGAGGTCAGGAGTTTGAGACCAGCCTGGTTAACATGGTGAAACCCCGTCACTACTAAAAATACACAATTAGCCGGGTGTGGTGGCATACGCCTGTAGTCCCAGCTACTTGGGAGGCTGAGACAGGAGAATCGCTTGAACCCGGGAGGTAGAGGCTGCAGTGAGCAGAGATTACACCACTGCACTCTGGTCTGGGTGACAGAGTGAGACTCCATGTCAAAAAAATAAAGAAAAAAAATCTTTTAAAACTTTATAGGATGCCACTAAAGCAGTATTGAGAGGGAAATGAATAGTCTTAAACACTTTTATTTGGAAAAAAGTCTGAAAAGACTAAAAATCAAATAAGCACCTCACTTGAAGTTAGAAAAAGAAAACAGAACAAATTCATAGAAAGTTGAAGAAACTGATGAGAGCAGAAATTAATGAAACTACAACCCATGCTTTCTCATCCCTCGCTAGGAGCTGATATTTTTCTTCACATCTATATCCTGTCCAAAGGTCCTCTCCTCTTCCTCTCTTGCCACCCCGAATCTCACCCCGATCTCCAATTTCCTCTCCCTAGTTCCTCACTCTGGCTGTAGAAACTGGAGAAACGGTCAAGGGCATCACAGAATTCTGTGGGAAGGCACTTTCTGGGATGGTACAGGTAGCAGAGTGGGGAGACGGGCCAGCAGCGTGGTGACAGGACCAGTATAGAAATGGCTGGACTTGGATCTTCGATAAATAATTCTTTCTCAGCTTCCTCTTCCTCCTCTTCCTCCTGAGGGACAGAAGGATTTCAAGGGCCCTTGGGCTCCCTTCCTTGGTCTAGTCTTCTCTCACTCTCCTATTCTCCCTGCTCTTACCTCCTCTTCCTCTAGTCTCTTTTCCTCCTCATCTTCCTGCTCCAAGAACAACTTGTCGAGCCGCTGGAGCTGGAAGAGGTGGAACTGGCGCTGCAGCTCCTCAGAGGTGCTCAGGCTCTGCAGCATCAGCTGTGGGAGGCGGTTGGGAAAACAGAGGCCAATCTGCTCTAGCACAGCCCCCTCCAGCCAGCTCGAACCAAAGCTCAGGAGACGGTCCGCCATATAATGCCTGCAGCACACACAGCCCGGGCCAAGCCTCAGTGTGGGTGCCAGCGTGGCCCAGCCTCCCCCTCGAGAATGTAGGTCCCTCTGTCCCTCTGCCTGAGTCACATACCCTACCTCACCTCTTCTTTCCCACTCCCTTTCCACCAATGCATGACCACCTCCACTTTTTTTTTTTTTTTTTGAGACGGAGTCTTGCTCTTGTCACCCAGGCTGAAGTGCAATGACGTGGTCTTGGCTCACTGCAACCTCTGCCTCCCGGGTTCAAGAGATTCACCTGCCTCACCCTCCCGAATAGCTGGGATTACAGGTGCCTGCCACCACGCCACCACACCTGGCTAATTTTTGTATTTTTAGTAGAGAAAGGGTTTCACCATGTTGGTCAGGCTGGTCTTGAACTCCTGACCTCAGGTGATCTGCCTGCCAGAATGCTGGGATTACATGCGTGAGCCACCGCGCCTGGCCAGCCATCTCCACATCTTAATCTCTCCTCTACACAGCCTCTTTTCTCATCTCCCCTATAAGACTCAAATCTTTCCACTCTCTAGATCTAGGCCTCCCATCCCCTATGCCTCCAGACCTGCACTCACTGATAGAAGTGCTCAAAAGTTGTGGCCAGTTCCAGACCAGAAAGGACCATAATGGGTTCCAGGTGCCGCTGAAGCTGCCCCAGCATTTCCACTCCAGGGGCTCCACCAATCAGGCCACCCTGGATCTGTTGGTCAATGTACCTGGCAAACTGCTCACTCATCTGGGGGCAGGGGAAAGGGCATGAGCAAACCATGAATGAGGGAGTGGAGTAGGAGACTGGGGAGCGAAAGGAGGTGAAAGGGCAGAGCAGAAAGAGATGAACTTGGAACACAAGCTTATAGCCCTGTGGGGAGCTGGTGGGACTCACGTGAGCAGCAGTGAGGAAGGACTGCTGCAGCAAGGCGCCAGAGAAGCCACTGCGCAGAGCCAGCATGAAGGCTGCCCGAGGCCCAAACAGCTCGGAGCCTGCTCTCTGCAAGTGCTCATAGAGTTTACAGTAACGAGGCACAAAGTCTGGGGCCCTCCAAGCTGCAGCCAGGAATCTGCTGACCTGAGGAGAAAGGCAAGAAATGACATAAAAGGAGCAGCCCCTCCCCTCTGCAGACTTCTGCTTGCTTCTGCCCACCTGCTCCTGCACCACGCTCAGCCAGCACTGGGTTATGTTCCTCAGGCTGCTGCTTGGAAGCACTGGCGAAGGCGCCGGGCTCCGGTCCCGACCCTTGCTGTTCTTGCTGACTGTAGAGACAGAGGGAGAAGGAAGGGGTTTCATCTCAGCCTCTGGGTGAGTACACCGGTCTTGGGTAGTGATCTCCTGGAAAGGCCAGTAGGTCTCAGGGGCCTGGAAAGGCCGGTAGCAAAGCAGCAAGAGTAAGACCCAGGGAGGAGGGAGCCAGATACACCACTGTCCGCAGAGTCAGCTCCACTGGCCACAGCTGGGACTTACAGGGCCGAGTGGATGGCTCAGGAGAAGGCCCAGGAGGAGGTTCCACATGCACCAGCAAGTGGCAAAGGCGACGAACTCGAGAAGCAAAGGACGCTGCTCGACTCAAGGGGTTCCGAGAGGTCTCTCTCTGTTCTAAGTACTGATCCAGCAGCCATCCCAGGGCACTCACGCCTTCCGCATCTGAAAGAAGACAGGTCAGGAACAGGTCTCCATGGGAGATGGGAGAACAGACAGCTCAGGGCAGAGGAGGGAGAAAGATCAATTGTACAAAAAGGCTTGAGGGGTAGTGGGGCCCTAGTCCTCCCCTCACCAAGGTTTGTTTCAGCTGGAGTCAGGGGAAATGTTAACAGGGTGGGGATGGGGTAGTGGGAAAGATTCAAATACCAGAGTCTCAGGGAGCAGTGCCTGGGGCAGGAAGGAGAGAGGAACACTGAGGTGACAGGCCTTCAGGGATAAAGACAGGAACCAAAAGAACCAAGAGCATTAACTCAGGTGATCCCTGGGAATAAGGACAAGGAACTGGTTAGTGGGGCCAGGTGTCAGCATGGTTACCGGGAGAGGTGATGTTCTGCACCAGGGGGCTGACCAGGGCCTCCCAGCAGGTCTTGCCCAGTGCCTGGGCGGCCTCATCATCAGGGAGGAAGCGGTCAGCAAAATTCTGCTCGTGGCGCAAAACCCTGTTCAGTCTGGGAACAAACAGTGCATGGCGGAGGATTAATGGCACCGATTTCCCAGAGGCCTCCATTCAAGTGCAGATCAGCTCCCAATCACCCCTGTTCGGTCCCTGACCCAACTTTTCCCAATTAACACAAACTTCTCACCTACGTTCACCTTCCCCCTCATGTCCTGGCTGCAGCTTTCCCTTCCGGACTCCCACAGGAGCATCCCTCCTACTTCTCACAGTGTCCTGTTCCCTTACCCATCTTCCCTCCTCAGGCCCCACCCACCTGGGACAGAGCTGGAGGAGGCGCCGGTGGTCCTCTGCTATGTCCCGGCTCCAGGCTTGTGCCCGAATTGTGTAGAAGAGACATGTTCGGCGACACAGCTGCTCCCGGAACAGTGGCCAGAATGTGGGCTTAGGGCCCAGGACCTCCACACCCCGAACCCGGGTGTCAATGCCGCCCTGGAACATGCACAGACTTATCTGTCACCCAAGCCGCTTGAGCCACTAAGTACTACCAAAGCCAAGCCTCCTGCCCTGAGCTCCCTAGAACTGCTCAGGACATCCCCACATCTCTGGGACTCAACAGGTCCTGGGCCATCTCCCAAGCAGATCAAGGAGAAACTTGTGTGCCACCTCCTCCTCCTCAGCCCTGGCTGACACCCTAACACCACCTGCTGGCAGCGCTTTATGCGGATCTGGATGATGGGCCAGAAGCGGTTCAGGTTCTCCAAGAGGATCACCCGGCTGGCAGAGGGCATCACATTCACCTGGTAGGGCAGGGGAGAAGAGGGAGAGAACTGTCACCTCCAGAAACAAGGTTGGAAAAATTGTTGACAGTAACCAAGTCGGTCATGGTGTGTGCCCTTCACTTCTCCCGCAGAGCCTAGGGATGGACGTGGCTCTGCATCCCTAATCCCACTCTCACTGCTTACAAGGCAACACCTTCCCAAGGGGAAGGGATGTCACCATTCCCCAGGGACTAGGTCCTTCCCACAGGCACTGGGACAAAAAGAAGGATGTGGAGCAAGGTGAAGGTGGGCACAAGGGTCCCCACCGTGTTGAGCTCAGTGCCGATGCAGCTGGTGCTGTCACCCCCAAACACCACCACCCTGGCTGGCATGTAGCTTGAGTCCTCACTGGCCACCAGCAAAGTGAGCTGCCTGGGAAAGAAGAAAGGAAACAGTCAAAGCTGGGCCTCTGGACGTGGTGGCTCACATCTGTAATCCCAACACTTTGGGAGGCTGAGGTGGGAGGATCGCTTGAGGCTAGTTTAAGATCAACCTGGGCAACACTGCAAGACCCCACCTCTACGAAATAAAAATCAAAAGAAGGAAATAAAAAGGCCAGAGCCCTGGTTTCAGTTCAAAACTATTTCAAGCCACCACTTCTTTCTCAGGCTCCTGTTCCTCTGCTGGCTCCTGAGGCAGCTGTCCCCACTAGACCCTCTGCTCTTCCCTCTATATTCACCCAAAGTGACTTAATTTAAACCCACAGTTTCAACTGAAAATTAATACACAGAGGACTCCAAATACACATCTCTATCCCAGACCACTCTCCTGAGCTTTCATGCTGTGTCCCCAACAGGTATTTCCATGTCATGTCCCACAGGCACCTCAGAGTCATCATGCCCAAATGAAATGATCATCTGTCCACATAAACCTGTCCCGCTTCCTGTTTCTCTCCTGGGAAATAAAACTTCCGTGCACTCAGTACTCAACTAGAATACTGTCACTGAGGCCTTCACCTTCTCATGGCTTCCCTCACCCAAAGGCAAGTCTTGTGGACTCCATCTCTGAGGATTTCCCAGTCAGTTCCCACTCCTGCTGTCTAACTGAACACATGGATCCTTTCTCTACTAGAGCACTGCATACACCTTCCACCTCCTTCTTCTACCTCCAGCGCAAACTCCCATAGTTGCCAGAGTGAGCTTTCTCAATAAAAAATCTAGTTTTCTCTCCTCCCTTCTTAAAATCTTCCAATGGCTCTCCCAACTTTTGGAATAAAGTTCAAACTGCTTAGCTCACAAAACATTTTGTGATCTGCCTTTGCCTACTTTTCTGGCCTGTATCTTCCGCCACTTAGACATACACAGCTTTCGGCCGGGCGCAGTGGTTCACGCCTGTAATCCCAGCACTTTGGGAGGCCAAGGCGGGCGGATCACGAGGTCAGGAGATCGAGACCATCCTGACTAACACGGTGAAACCCCGTCTCTACTAAAAATACAAAAAATTAGCCAGGCGTGGTGGCAGGCGCCTGTAGTCCCAGCTACTCGGGAGGCTGAGACAGGAGAATGGGGTGAACCCGGGAGGCAGAAGTTGCAGTGAGCTGAGATCACACCACTGTACTCCAGCCTGGGCGGCAGAGCGAGACTCCATCTCAAAAAATATAAAAAAATAAAAATAAAGATATACACAGCTTTCAATTGTAACCAAATATGATGACTTAAAGTCCCTCCAAATATACTTTCTTACTTCCATTTTGCACATATGCTGTCCTTATGCCTAGAATATTGCCCCCTCTTTATCTACCTAATTTCAATGTCAAAACCCAGCTCAGTCACCCCCTCCTTCCAGAAGGAAGTCTGCTCTCATGCCTGTCAGTCTCAGGTCCACATGTGGACCACAATGCTTTTTCTTACTCTGTGCTCTTACTTGATTTTCTAGTGTAGCTCCCCAGCTGGAATGTAGGTACCATATCTTATTGTCCTTCTATTTCGAGACCCTTGCACAGTGCCTGACACAAATGCCTGGCATTAAGCAAATGCCCAAAGGAGAAATGGATAAGTGAGCTGTTTATCTCCCTCAACACTAAGCACAGGGCAGTGCCATCTGTACCTGTTGGAGTACAGATCACCAGACTCTGGGAGTGAGGGGATGTCTATACTCAGCAAAGGCAGGTCAATGTGTCTATGTGTTCACTGCACAAAATAGGTTTGAGTGTGTCCCTCAGGCATTGGGGTTATAGCTGGGGTTGTGTGTATCTGGGTGCTTTGGGGAAGTATCCTGGGGCACAGCAGAACATTCATATATGTGTGTTCACACCTAACAAGAACACCACGGTGCATGTGCAGGGTGATGTAGTGGGAGCCGGTGCTGCCGTTGGACTCCCAGTAGGTCTTGGGGTTGTGGTCCGTCAGCTTGCTGGCTCGGTGCGGGTTGGAGGACACCTCCACCTTCTCCCAGCACTTGTCCTCCTTCACTTCCACACTGGAGCCTGGGGGCAAGTGGGAAGGGGTGGCAGTCACAGCTAGGTTAGTTGAGAGGAAAAAGGAAAAGGTCTAAGGAGCAGGAAGGGAAGGGGAGAACAGACACTGGATGGGAGCCAGGAGAAAGCAGATGAGGGCACTAACCCTGGCAGAGATGCCTGAGGAACACATCAAAGAAGGGGATATTGATGGGTTGGTGGGTTCGTCTGTGGTCTTCGATCTGGCCCAGCACCATCTGCAGCCGGAACATCAGGGAGAATGAGGAAGAGGAGAGGGAGGAACACAGAGAAATGCCCAGAAACAGGTAGAGAGAAAAAGTCAAGGGTCAACGGTATACTCAACTCCTCTCTCCCCACATTTTGACAGAACCATGTGGAGTCAAGGTTAGGAAACAAGTGCCCCAGATTTGCTACAACCTGTGCCAAACAGGGATACCAAAGAGGAACACAGTGAATCCCCTTCTCCTGCTTCTGACTTGCATTCTCTCAGCTGCATACCCACAGCCGCTCCTCACCTGAATGCAGCCGGCCAGGATGCTGGAGGTGAGGTTGCTATAGAGCTGTGCGTACTTCTCACACTCTGTCACCAGGTCCCGAAGCTCACAGCCCAGCAGCAGCTGAGCTGAGTGCTTGTCCAGGACTTTGGAGAGGATCTCTTTTGCTCCCAGGCAGCAGAGCACCACAGCATAGTCCTTATGCATCGAGGCCAGGCGATGTAGGAAGCAGGTCAGCTCCTGAACAATCTGAGCCCAGAGCCACATAGATTAATTTACAGGAAACAAGAGGTAGGACATGTAAGGATTGAGGAGAGGGTTCAGTAAAGGAAGTGTCGTGGCTGAGATTGTGGAGACATGCCAACGCCCAGGGAAACAAGAGTACCAAATTCAGGGTGGAGTAAAATAGAGGAGTGCTGGGACTCCAGAGTGAGTTGGCAGAACAGAGCTTGGGCACAGCTTTCCAGGCTGCTTCCTGCCCAGGCCAAGCTATGTTAACCCTGGTGCCTGAGCCTTGCTCTCCAATGCACAAACCCGGAAGGGAGGACAGCTGTCTGGATTGGTGAATGTGGGCTTCTCCTTAGTCCAGAATCTAAACTCCAAATCTAAAATCATCTAAAAGGTTTATACTTCAAAGATTCCAGTTCTGGAGATTCTTAGATTACATTACCCTTCCTCCTCCTACACCCATCCCAGTGCCCCAAGATCCATTCAGAAAGGCTCTGCTGTGCCCTCCAGAGCCTCACAAGGAGTTGGTGCCCCAGATGCTGCCCTTCCCTCTCTTCTCCTTGCCAGGGTTCTGGTACCTCGGAGTCACTGCTAGGGCCACTCAGGCAGTTGAGGCAGGGCTCCAAGACCTCGTGCCAGGGGAGGACCATTGCCTCAGGGAAATCCAGCAGTCGGGTTATGACCCTGGTGAGGGGGTAGAAACGAGTGAAGTCAGGCCAGGCACAGTGGCTCATGCCTGTAATCCCAGCACTTTGGGAGGCCGAAGTGGGCGGATCACCTGAGGTCGGGAGTTCGAGACCAGCCTGACCAAAATGGAGAAACCCCATCTCTACTAAAAATACAAAATTAGCTGGGCATGGTGGCACATGCCTGCAATCCCAGCTACTCGGGAGGCTGAGGCAGGAGAACCACTTGAACCTGGGAGGTAGAGGTTGCAGTGAGCTGAGATCGTGCCATTGCACTCCAGCCTGGGCAACAAGAGTGAAACTCCAACTCAAAAAAAAAAAAAAGAAAACAGAAAAGAAACAAGTGAAGTCCCTGAAGTCTGCCAGTTTCCCTCGTCCCAATGCATGGTGCCTCAACAGGCCCCTCACCTCAGCACAGACAGCAGCAGAGTCTTGTTGGGCCCCGGAGCATCCAGAGTCCGCAGCAACAGGAGGAAAGGCTGGGTCTCCTGCTGGAGGCGCTTGAGGAGGGGCCTCACGGCACCTCCGGGGCTGCCCTCACGGCACAGCACACGCTCCAAGTCCAGGAGTAGTTCTGCAGATGGGCCCCCAACCAGGGATCGAATCAGTAGCTCAGGGGACCCATCCTGACCCTGGATGATGGGGGTCTCTAGTGCTGCAGCCAGACACACCAGAGGGAAAAATGTGGATGAAGAGTCTTACCAGTTTGTCAAACTGAGAACTGGGAAGGTCCAGAAAATCACCCCAAAATTTTCCTTCTATATTGAGGATGTCTATAGTTTTTAACCAAACTATGAGGGGTTTTCTTTCCTGACCCCAAATACAAACCTAATCAGATTTGAAAAAAAAACCTAGTATAGCAAACACTGTCGAGTTAAACACAAGACATTTTAAATCTCTTATAGTCCTATTATTAAATGTTAGTTATAGTAAATATTAACTATGATGATTATATCCCTGTACTACCTGCATGGTGGCTTTAGGTACACAGACTAAAAGATACATACATATTTCCTATTTTGTAGGAATACACAGAGCGCTGTCACCCAGGCTGGAGTGCAGTGGCATGATCTTGGCTCACTGTGACCTCCAACTCCTGGGCTCAAGTGATTCTCCTGCCTCAGCCTCCCAAGTAGCTGGGATTACAAGCACCTACCACCGTGCCCGGCTAATTTTTGTATTTTTAGTAAAGATGCGGTTTCACCATGTTGGCCGGGCTGGTCTCAAACTGCTGACCTCAAGTGATCTGCCTGCCTCAGCCTCCCAAAGTGCTGGGATTAAAGGCATGAGCTATTGCACCTGGCCACGTATTTCCTATTTCAATATCCCTCCACACTTCTAGGTTTTCACTTGTTTTTCAATCACAAAGGGTTTCTTCCCCAGTATCAATATCTAATGTTTCCAGGCACAAGTGTTCTGTACCATAAATTATAATTTCTCTTAAGAAGGCCTCCCTATTCTGTGAAGAGAAAGTTAAGCTTAGGCCAGGCACAGTGGCTCACGCCTCTAATCCCAGCACTTTGGGAGGCCAAGGCGGTCAGATCACGAGGTCAGGAGTTCAAAACCGGCCTGACCAACATGGTGAAACCCTGTCTCTACTAAATATACAAAAATTAGCTGGGTGTGGTGGTGCGCACCTGTAATCCCAGCTACTCAGGAGGCTGAGGCAGGAGAATTCCTTGAACCCGGGAGGCGGAGCTTGCAGTGAGCAGAGATCGTGCAACTGCATTCCAGCCTGGGCGACAGAGTGAGACTCCACCTCCAAAAAAAAACCAGTTAAGCTTAAAACAAAAAAAGAGAAAGGCTTCCCTAGATGTCATTTCAATGAGTCTTCTACTGTCCAATAATACTGGGCCAAACCTAGCCCAGATGGATATGAATCCACATATGTTTAAAGCCATTCAAGAAGGCAATTTCCAGCCAGGTGCAGTGGCTCACACCTGCAATCCCAGCACTTTGGGAGGCCGAGGCAGTGGATCTCCTGAGGTCAGGAGTTCCAGATCAGCCTGGCCAACATGGTGAAACCCTGTCTCTACTAAAAATACAAAAATTAGCCCGCTGTGGTGGCAGGTGCCTATAATCCCAGCTACACAGGAGGCTGAGGCATGAGAATTGCTTGAACCCAGGAAGCAGAGGTTACAGTGAGTCGAGATCGTGCCACTGCACTCTAGCCTGGGAAACAAGAGCAAAACTCCATCTCAAAAAAAAAAAAATGCAATTTCCTTGCACATATTCCACAGTCTCCCTCTTCTTGGTCGGGAAGTTCTACTTAAGACCTAACTTGAGCACAATGCTTGCTCATTTCCTGAAGTTTCCTTGTATCTTTCCAGTAAGGAGCTGATATGTAAACCTGGCTGGCACTGTGTGATTCCTCTGCAAAACCACCCCTCCACAATGGTACCTGCACGCTCAGGGCTGCCCGGCGGCTCTGAGTAGCGATTGAGAAGCATCATGAGGATGGTGCGTGTGGTAGGCATAGGTTCTGTTCTTGGTGCTATCCCTGAGTGCCTAAACAACGTGTCTCTCAGCTCTTGGGTTATAATCTGGTCTCCCAGAGTGTGGTGGTTGCACAAAAGTAGGTTGAGCAGGAGTAAGCCATTTCTCGCTGCAGAAGAGCACCTGGGAGGAGGGAGGTGACCAGGAAGAAACTGAGAGACCATGAATGCAATGGAAGCAGCAAAGCAAGCATAGAAGGCCGGGCAGCTAGGGAGCAAAGGGCTCCAGTGGGCCCTCTGAGCCAGGACATCTGATCCCCTGACCTTGGGCCACTCCTCCCAAACCCATAAAGGGAAGTCAGTGTGTCTCTGCCCTCTCTGGGAATCTCCCTATCCCCAATCCACTTGGGTTCTCCTCCAACAACAGTTGGCAGCGCCACCAATGCTTAATCCGGAGGTGACAGCGTGAGGGGAATTTCTGTGGAGTACATGAGCCTGGAGCACAGGAGTAGCAGGGTTTGGGACTAAGCAGGAGCCTGGAGTTGGGAAGGTAATGCCCTGACCCCTCAGTATTCAGCATCAGGATCACGGCTGCAGGGACAGTGAGGAGCAGGCTCTCAGAGCCCGGGCGTGTGGCTGAGTCGATGCTGGCGAAGATCTCTCTGGTCATCTGAGCATCAAACAAAGAGTGGATAGAATCTCGGCCAGTAACAAAAGTGGGGATCTCCGAGGAGCTGGCGACGGCCAGCATCTTCAGTGCCTGTGAGGGGGATGTGAAAGCAGAGTGAGGAGGGGGCAGAGTCACCATGAGGAAAGGTAGGCCTCATTCTAGACCTCAAACTTTGGGGCAGCTGAGCTGTTTGCAGATAGGTAGAGTAGGAGACAGAAATGGAAGAGGTAGTGATGGGACATCAAATACTACAAAGAGAGGGAAGGAGGGAGGGAGGAAGGAAAAGAAAAAAGGAAAGAAACTAAACAACAACAAAAAACTCTGAGACTGGATGGTAAAATCAGCCTTCCACTCCTCTTGGCCTCCAGGCTCGCAGCACCAAGGCTACCAGAGTGGGACAGCCGCCCCTCCTGTATCTTCCCTTCAGGATGGTGCCCCTCGCAGCATCTAGTTGTCTTCAGGGGCTTCTTACAGTTGTCTCCCATCTCACTTGCACTCCTTCCTTTGCAAAATCTCTCTTCCCTTGAGTTCCATGACTTCACATCCTCCTGGCTTTTCTCCTACCTCTCTGGTGTTCCTTTGCCCCAAGGAACTAAGGTTCCTTGTCCCCTTTCTCTGGACTCTGCACTCACCCACACTGAGGCAACCAGGTCCATTCACATTGCTTCAATTACCACCTATACACCAAGTCTCCAAAACCTGTGTCTCCTGGCCTTAGCCAGCATCCAGCCCTTCTAGATAAGACTTCTTGGTTGTCTCACAGGCAGTGGTTGGCATTATAGGAAAAATAATTGTAATGTGCAAACCTGTTTGCTGGGACTATAGAGAAAAATTAAATTAAAATAGACACTATACAATCAGAGTGGAGAATGTCTCTCCTGGTAAAAGGGTTGATTCTCTACAAGAAACCCATGAGAGATGGACTGGGCTAGAAATAATTCTCAGGACAATGCCTCTTGTAAGGCCTGGACCCTCCAAGCAACTTCTACTTCTCAATGAAGCTTTCTCCCTGTAGTTACACCACCCTCCCCTAGTTAGCTGAGTTCTGTAGACTTTAAGTTATTAACAAGATGATGTAATTTTATTTCAGGGCAAGATTTTTTTGAGATGAAGTCTCACTCTGTCGCCCAGGCTGGAGTGCAATGGCGCAATCTCAGCTCACAGCAACCTCCCGCTCCTGGGTTCAAGCGATTCTCCCGCCTCAGCCTCCCAAGTAGCTGGGATTACAAGCATGCACCACCACGCCCGGCTAATTTTGTGTTTTTAGTAGAGACAGGGTTTCACCATGTTGGCCAGGCTGGTCTCAAACTCCTCACCTCAGGTGATCCACCCGCCTTGGTCTCCCAAAGTGCTGGGATTACAGGCGTGAGCCACCACACTCAGCCATTTTTATTTTTATTTTTTTGTCATGATCTATAGTGGATGGCAATTGCTATGTTTTGGTCACGTAATTTGAGAGGATCAGGGAATTCTTTGAGCATGATGATCTGGACTATGAATGCCTGGCTGCTCTTGGTCCCATAAAGAAAAGCACCTCCCAGGCTGGGTGTGATGGCTCACACCTGTAATCCCAGCACTTTGGGAGACTGAGGCGGGCAGATCATGAGGTCAGGAGATTGAGACCATCCTGGCAAACATGGTGAAACCCCGTCTCTACTAAAAATACAAAAAATTAAGCTGGGCATGGTGGCACGTGCCTGTAATCCCAGCTACTCGGGAGGCTGAGGCGGGAGAATCGCTTGAACTCGGGAGGCAGAGGTTCCAGTGAGCCGAGATTGAGCCACTGCACTCCAGCCTGGGCTACAGAGCAAGACTCCGTCAAAGAAAAAGAAAAGAAAAGAAAAAAGAAAAAAGAAAAAAAAAGAGAAAAGAGAAGAGAAAAGAAAAGCGCCTCCTGGCCTCTCCCGGGACAGCCTGCTTTAAGAGGACACATGCTCCCGTTCATGCTGCTGCCATTATACTACTGGAATCCATTCTCAGAACTGCTCTGGCCGAAGCCTGCCTGTCTCCCTCAGGAACCCTCAGGCTACACAGAGCTCCTCTGCCCACACCACCCTACCAGCCAGCACTTCTGTCTGGAGTAACCAGGAAGCCAATTCTTCTGTAAGCTACTCTGGATAAGGGCCTTCCTTCCCGATTCTCTGGGCAATGGCAATGCTGGCTTTGTTTTACCCAAATCTAGTAACAGAGTATTTTCTATGTAAGGGTGCCACTTAGATAAAAGAGGAAAAAAAAATACTTTTGGTTTAATGGTCACATCTAGAAAATTAGCTTTTAACCAGACACCTAATAATAACTAAAAAGGCAGGAACACTCAATATACCTGAAAACTCAACTCCTGACCTTCACCCCATATCTCCTCCTCCTGCAACATTCTCTCTCTCTCAGTAAATGGGCACTTCATGCACCCTGCTCCTTAATTTTACACCCGGGAGTCATTCTTAACCCTGGCCTGGGCTGGGCACGGTGGCTCATGCCTGTAATCCCAGGAGGCTAAGGCAGGAGAATCACTTGAACCCAGGAGGTGGAGGTTGTAGTGACCCGAGATAGCGCCACTGCACTCCAGCCTAGGCAACAAGCGAGACTCCATCACAAACAAACAAACAAACAAACAAAAAACCTCCTGGCCTGGCACAGTGGCTTATGCCTGTAATCTCAGCACTTTGGGAGGCTGAGGTGGGAGGATCACGTGAGCCCAGGAGTTCAAGATCAGTCTGGGCAACATAGCAAGATCCTGTCTCCAACAAAAATAACCCCAAAACTCCCTTTTCCCTTTTTCCAAACACTTAATCCCGAAGAATGTCCAGATCAAACTCTTAAAACCATCTGCATCTTTCCATTCCAAAGTCTACTCACTGATCTGAAGCACCAAAGTACCCCCTCAAGATCAGTAGTCCCCAGTCTGCCTGTCTTGCCCATTGTTCTCTCCCGCCAGGCCCAATGTACTCACCGCCAGCCCAGCCTGCTGCACCAAGACAGAAGTCTTATATTCTTGCATGCAGACCAGCACAGCATAGATGCCACCCTCCCTGGCAAAGAGCGGCCGCCACTCGTGCTTGGTCATGAGCAGGTAAAGGAGGCGCAGGGCCTGCACGACCACCATCTTCTCTCCCACCTGGTTGGTCAGCAGCTCCACCAGCATCTTCACTAGCTTCTCTCTGACAAGAGAAGAGATATTGGGGCTCCCCATCCCAAGGAGTCTTGCCTGACCTCCCAGCCATGGCACCGTCGGACTCCCTGACCAATCCCATCCACCAAGATCTAGTCCATCCTCTCTGCCCCACCCAAACCTGCTCTCCTGGCTTCAGTCTCACCCCAATCCCCTCCCCTCTGCAGCCTAACTGCCTCTGGCTCCTCGGCTAATGAAGGAGGCATTAGAAAAAATGTTTATAAACTCTGGCTCACCTTTTCAAATAAATCTATAAATTCAAAGTGATACTAATCAAAATGCCTAAAAGGTGGTTTTGTTTGTCTTTTCGTTTTTGAGATGGAGTCTTGCTCTGTTGCCAGGCTGGAGTGCAATGGCGCGATCTCAGCTCACTGCAACCTCTGCCTCCTGGGTTTACGTGATTCTCAAGCCTCAGCCTCTTGAGTAGCTGGGACTACAGGTGCGTGCTACCACGCCCAGCTAATTTTTTGTATTGTTTTTCAGTAGAGACGGGGTTTCGCTATGTTTCCCAGACTGGTCTCGAACTCCTGGCCTCAAGCAGTGTACTTGCCTTGGCCTCGCAAAGTGCTGGCCTAAAAGGTTTTTAAAAACACCACAACAGGCAGATCCAAGCCTTGGAAATGTTGAGAAAAAAATAGTGGTAGTCAGGTGCAGCAGCTCATGCCTGTAATCCCAGCACTTTGAGAGGCTGAGGCAGGTAAATTGCTTGAGCCCATGGCTTTTGCCATGGGCAACATGGCAAAACCCCATCTCTACAAAAAATTATCTGGCATAGTGACCTGTGCCTGTAGTCTCAGGTACTTGGGAGGCTGAGGTGGGAGGATCATCTGAGCCTGGGAGGTCGAGGCAGCAGCAAGCTGTGATCATGCCACTGCACTCCAGCCTGGCTGACAGAGTGAGACCCTGTCTCAAAAAAAAAAAAAAAAAAAAGAGAAAAGGGGTAGGCTTGCCTATTATTATCAAAATATAAATATAAACTTGTAATAACTACAACCCTGGAACTGACATAGGGTAGCTAAATAGATCAATAGATGAGAAGAGAGATAAGGGTGGTGTATAAGCCAGCAAAAAAAAAAAAAGGAAGAACCATTTAAAATATAATGTTGTCTGGGCACAGTGACACACACCTGTAATCCCAGCACTTTGGGAGACTGAGGTAGGTGGATCACTTGAGGTCAGGAGTTCGAGACCAATGTGGCCAACATGGTAAAACCCCATCTCTACTAAAAATACAAAAATTAGCCAGGCGTGGTGGTGCAGGCCTGTAATCCCAGCTATTCAGGAGGCTGAGGCAGGAGAATCGCTTGAACCCAGGAGGCGGAGGTTGCAGTGAGCCGAGATTGCACTGCTGCACTCCAGCCTGGGCGACAAAGCAAGACTCTGTCTCAAAATTAATTAATTAATTATTGACTGAGGCCTTGCTTGAGGCCAAGAGTTTGAAACCAGCCTGGGCAACATAGTGAGACCCCATCTCTACAAAAAGTAAAAAAAAAAAAAAAAAAAAAAAATTAGCTGGGTGTGGTGGCTCATTCCTGTAGTCCCAGATACTTGGGAGGATAAGCAAGAAGGGTTGCTAGAGGCTAAGAGTTTGAGGCTGTAGTGAGCTATGTGATCTTGCTATTGCACTCCAGCCCGGTCAACAGACTGAGACCCTGTCTCTGAAAAACAAAAAAACAAACAAAAAAAAAAACAACACGCACACACACACACACACACACACACACACACACACACACAATGCAATTTAGAGACACCTGGCTATCCATATGAAAACACTGAAGCTGGAGCTCTATTTCACAACATTTGCAAAAATAAACTGCAAATGAATTTTTAAATAAATTTAAAAAAAACAAAATCATGGGTATTTTTGGAAAATATAGGAAAATATTTTTATAATTCTGGAACAGAATAGATCCTTTTAAGTAGGACACAAAATCTAGAAGCCATAAAAAAGCTGAAAAATGTAGCAACAAAAAGTCTGAAACTCTAGCATGATGAAAAAAACACTATACACAAAATTACGAGACAAGCGCAGGAGCTAGAGAAAGGGGCCAGTGGAAATGCTGATCTAAAAGAAGAGGAAGAAGTGCCTCTAGAGTCCCTAGATCACGGTGAGGGTCAGGAGAGAAAATAGCAGGTATTGACTCTTGCTTAACAGTGACAGTGAGGCCAACTGAGGAGGTGGCTCGGGAACTACGAGGGGAAAGAACACAGAAGGAGAACTTCTGGGAAAGTTCTGTTTTTAATCTATCTTTTCTAAGAAGTTTAATAATGACAACAGTGTGAATGAAATATGCTTGAAATACATATCCCCTTCCATGGCCATGATTTATTATATACCAGATAATATACATGGGTAATACATATGACTAGAGAAATAAGTAAGGATGTTTACCAACATGTTAATAGTGATTGTCTCTGTCTTAATGGCTTTCAGATTTTTTTTCTGTCAATCTCACTTGAATATGATCAGATAATTTTTATTTTAATAATTTTCTAACTTTTTTACCATATGTATTATTCTATAACCAAAAAATAGAGCTAAGATGATTTTTAAAAAGACAAGCAAAATATCTGGAACATAAATAACAAAGGAATAACCAAAATGCCTATAAATACATTAAAAAAGGCAAAGATCCAATTAAAAAGTGGGCAAAGGATAATAACAGAATATTTATAGAAAAAAAAAAACAGAACAAATGTATGCAAATGTGCCTAACTTTACCAGAACTAGGAAATTAAAACAAAGAGATACCAATCATTTAAAATGCTGCCAATTAGATAGATTAAAAAAGACGACAATATTCAGTGTTGGCAGACGTAAGGAAAAACAGACGCGTTAGAACACTGCACTTGAAACTGGAGATAACCACACTGCAGGGTCCCATGCAGCAGTAAAAATAATGAGGCAGCTCCACCCAGACTGATATGGAAAGCCCTCTAAGACACTGAGCGGGGGCAAAAAAAAAAAAGTTGTAGAAACATGTAGAATGTGATTACATAGACTAAAACAAAGACTCAGAAAATGCTCTATTTCCAAACACACAATTACAAATGCAAATCTGTAGGATATAGTAGACTGATAACAGTGGTGAGAAAGGACTTTGGCCCTCCTATGTCCTTTTACATTCTTCAGATCTTTTAAAATGAGAATGCGGCTGGGCATGGTGGCTCACACCTGTAATCCCAGCACTTTGGGAGACTGGATCATCTGAGGTTAGGAGTTCGAGACCAGCCTGGCCAACAGGGTGAAACCCCGTCTCTACTAAAATACAAAAATTAGCTGGGCCTGGTGGTGGGCACCTGTAATCCCAGCTACTTGGGAGGCTGAGACATAAGAACTGCTTGAACCCAGGAGGCGGAGGTTGCAGTGAGCCAAGATCACACTATTGCACTCTAGCCTGGGTGACAGAGTGAGACTCTGTCTCAAAAACAAGTAAATAAATAAAAATAAATAAATAGAATGAGAATAAGTTGTGTGTTATTTGTATAATTTAAAAGTAGAGGGCTGGACGCGGTGGCTCACGCCTGCAATCCCAGCACTTTGGGAGGCCGAGGCAGGCAGATCACGAGGTCAGAAGATCGAGACCATCCTGGCAAACATGATGAAACCCTGTCTCTACTAAAAGTACAAAAATTAGCTGGGTGTGGTGGTGCCTGTAATCCCAGCTACTTGGGAGGCTGAGGCGGGAGAATCCCTTGAACCCGGGAGGCAGAGGTTGCAGTGAGCCGAGATCGCGCCACTGCACTCCAGCATGACGACATAGCAAGACTGTCTCAAAAATAAATAAATAAAGGTAGAAAAAAATTTAAAATAAAGTAGGTTTTAAGGTCTAATGTGAAAAAAAAAAAGTACGTAGGGACAGAAAAAAAAGAAAAAGAAAGAGAAAAAACTCCAGTTCTAGAGCCAAAAAGACCTAGGTTTGAATCCTGGCTCTGCTATCTGTAAAACTCTAAGCAAGTTACTTAAATTCTCTAAGCTTCAGTTTCCTCACCCATATAGTAGGATAATAATATTACCAACGCTTCCTCAGGTGTTAGGTGGATTTAATGAGAGAATGCATGTAAAATACTAGCACAGTGCCTGGCATAACAGAAGTGCTCCAAGAATACGAGCCATTAAAACATCCAACCCTCCTGCTCGGCTGCTCCTCAGGCTGAGCCTTCCCTCACCCCAAGCTTTTCTAATTCGTGATCTCAAAGCTCCTTCCCCGCTACCACCATCCTTTGCCTACAGCTTCAACCAAAACCTCTTCCCTCCCCAGTATGCTAACCTCAGCGATCTGTCAGGACGGACCAGAGGGTGGTCCCGCTCAGTGACCTCCTCCACAGCCTGAGAGAGGGCAGAGAGCCCTGAAAGCTGCAGGTTTGTGTCCAAGCTGGATATCTGCACAGTGGCCACGACCGCTGCCACATGCTGATCCAGGGAGCTGCGAGGACCGGGACCCCGCAAGGCTCTGGCCATTTCTGAAATTGGTGGGAAAAGGCAATGGCTAAAAGAACTGTGGCACCTTGAAGTTAGAAGTCTTTAAAGTCAAGCCCAGTTATCCTACCAATATTTAAACACATTATCGGCTACTGCAGCTTGCAGAGTTTTCCAATTCTGTGTCAGGGATCTAATGATCAAACAAAGGAGATGAAGACACCCCAGAAAACGGATCCTCCTTTTCCAGAGATACTGAAGGAAGGGAGCGCTGGTTAATTAAATACAATCAAGGTCAAAAGGAAGAAGATGGACGCATGGTTCCAAGGCATTTTCCCCTGCAAAAATCACCTTCCTCCATGGCTTTCCTTCGATCCTGACTATCCATTTCTTCTACTGAGACTACCCAGGACTTGTTCCAATTGCTTCCTCCCAGAACCTGACTCACCACTGGCTGCCTCCTTCATCTCAGTGGGCAGGGTCATCCCCTCAGTCACCAGAAGCTGGTTAAACAGCTGAGAATCACTCTGTGCCATGGGGGTCTCGGTCCTTGTCTTGGTGGGCTCGGCCTCTGTCTTAGGGGCCTCGGCCTTTGCTTTGAGGGACTCAGTCTCTTCCTCTGAGAAGCTGGCCTCCGACTTGGACTCCTCTTCTGGATCTGGGGTACAGGAGTGATTTCGTGAAGTAGACGAGCTGCTTGGTTCATTAGACAGCAGCCCATACTTGGTGTAGATCTGGGAGTTGAGCAGGTCATTGAGAGTGCTGCCCTCAAATCGACTACTGAGAACCTGCAGCAGACTCTCGGCCATTTCCACGGACACAGAGATCTCACCTAGGGCCTTTTCACCCAGGGTCTGTCAACAGAAGGGGTATACGTTTAAGAGACAAGCAGACACAAAGGTCTTGGGGTCAGTAATGGGAAGGGTGATCACTCCCTACCATGCCCCCACACCTTCTACATACTAGACCCTCACAGCACTTGCCTCCAACCCCCAGCAGGACTCCTCCTAACTCTAATCTCTAGCTCCAGCCTCCCCCTAAGCGGTAACCCCTATCTGAAACTCCCTCTAGAGAATCCCACCTCTAACCCTACTAGAAAACCCCCAGGTATCTCAGACCTATAATACCTCATCCAGGTTCTTCCAAAGATTCTGGAAAATTGGCTGCTGCTCACACAAGTCCAACTTTTTGATAAAGAAAAGCAGCTCCCACCATTCAGCCTGGGTCAGATATCCCACTCTCTCATTCTTCTGAGGTTCGGGCTGGAGGTACGGCAAAGGGTACAGCCCATCCATAGGATTCCAGTCCCAGGAGGGAAATGCTGAGGACACAGGCATGGCGGGCATCAGCACCCCTCAGGAATGGGGTCTATTTCTGGACCCCTAGGGCTGCTCCTGGTCAGAAGTGGCTTCATCCCAGTCACTAATCCTCTGTTCAGAGACATGCTATCCATGTCCCCTCTTAGGCTCACCTGTGCCCAACACAGTAGCCCCTGCCCCCTTCTCCACAGCTGCTGAAGCCTTATCCTCAGTGGCTTCCTCAGGGCCCAGGATCTCCAGCATGTGCCAGTGCACCCAGTAAGTGCGGCCTGTCGACTGCCAGAAAACCTGGTATGAGGGAGGAAGAAAGAGAGCAGAATAGAGAAGGCTCAACCCTCTGAGCCTTGGCCTGTGAAGGCTTGAAAGGACATGCCCAAGCATAGATCTGGGGCGCACCCTCAGATACACACCTGGCTAAGCCTGGAAAAACCCCCATATGGCAAAAGGCTTCCTTCCCTTATCAGGAGTGGGCCCTGCCTCTTTTCTTAACCATGATTCTCTGCCTCGACATTCCTTCCTAGCCTCTTCCACTGGTGTTGGTGGGGAGGTATCTCCATTTATCAGTTCTGCTTCCTGGGTGAGTCTCCCATGAACTTACAGCCCACCCACACCCCTGCCAGATTTTCTCAGCCCTCCAAATGCACCCCGCACAAATGCCAACCCCCTTGTATCATTCCAATTCCCCAGGGGGGTTCTTCTTGGGTGGCCTGCAGGAGTCCTCCTTATGAAGTCCCAGCTACACCCCACCCCAAATAAACTCCCAACAGTGTCTCACCACCATGTGCTGCCCACCTGCACAGGGGGAATGCCGTTGTTGCTCTGCCGGAACTCGCCCTCGTCCCCAGCACTGATCTCCTCATAATCATCCAGCATCCGCACTCGCATCCCTGGCTGCAGTGTCTGCTGCACATATTCTCCATAGCCACTACGGCTGGAGAATTCAGAGCGCTGGCGGAAGACCCACCCTTGTCTTCTGGGGGTGGTGACAATGGTGGGGAGTAAAAGGCTGGGGCCTGAAATGTAGGGCTGAAAGATGGACCGGGTTGGCCGGGGAGGTGACATGCCCTGTTCGCTGAGGTTCCGGGCCCAGCCCATGCTCCGCACAAGCTCAGAGATGAGGTTGCCCACAGCCATGCTGAACTCCAGTTCCCGCTGTCCCCGGCTTTTCTCTCTTGTGGCACATGGGGAGCTTTGGTCTCCAGCTCCCAGCTCTGGACTGCTATTCAGCTGATCCAGGAGGGACGTGACACAAAGGTAGCGCTTCACCAAGGAGAAAAGCAGCTTTCCTGGGATCTGTAAGACACAATCCTTGGGACAGGTTCATCTCTTCCTGGCTTTAGCCTCTCCCCTTCCCTGAAGTATCCTCCTCTACAGAAAAATATAAAGGCCTTCTCCCCAGGCCTGTAGTTCTGAAACTTTGATTTGTGTAAGAAAGGCATAGGGAGTGTCTTAAAACACAGATTCCTGGGTTCTCATCTCAGAAATTCTGAATGGAGAGGGGCTGGGAGGGAGGACATGAACCTTCATGTTAACAAGTTCCCAGGTGGCTCTGGTGCTAACATTCAGTCCTGAACCACGTTTTCATAAATAATGTCTTAGCCCTTGTACACAGCATTTCCCTACAGCTGGCAGTGTACCTGAGGCAGATGAATGCCCTCAAAGGCCATGCAGTGTTCTTCAGAGGATGTGGTTTCTGCAAACAGCTCCAGCAATGTATAGCGACTGTCAAAATCCATGTGCTGCTCGATGCCATCTTGCTGGCTCAGTGATAGAAGGACGTGAGCCCGACTCCCTGTAATCCATACCCAATCCATATCTTCTCCTCAATCCCCAGTACTTTCTCCCTGCCTTTCCTAGATTCTATCTCCTACCCCAGACGCTTTCAAACTTTGTTACTAAGGCTCACAGAAAGAAATACATTTTACATGGTAACCTGTTACAAACATACATACATATAACTGAAACATATATTTTATGCTACAAAATTTACCCCTACTAAGTGCTACACACTAATGACTTAAGTTTTTAAAAAAATGTTGGTTGTAACCCACCAAATTGATTTCAAAACCAACTAATAAATCTCAATCCAGTTTCAAAAATACAGATAAGTCCTATTCTCTTCTCTGGTCAATGCACTGAGAATGAACAGATAAGCCAGAGGCTATCATTTTAGCCTCTTTATATACCTGAAATAGCCTATTAATCTATATTTTTTCCTTTGCATCAAATTGATATTCACCAAATACTAGGTGTTCTTACAGAGCTAGGAAATCTCTCCTCTTTCTTATTCCCTGTGGCCCCATTTTCTCCATTCCTTTCCTTCTTCCCTGGCTGTCTCTTACCAGCATCGTGGGCTGCCAGAGCCTGCAGCATTTTGCCTGCACTCCGGCGGATCTGAGGCTCAGGATTGCATAACATGTGCATGAGCAGGTCCAGGGCTCCTGTCTCCCTGAAGACACCAGTGAGGGGCCCGATGCTGGCGTAGGCACTGAGCACGTGGATGGTGTGAAGCACAGCGGCCGTGAGGCTTGGGGTCCCACTTTCTGCCAGCTGCCTGGCCGCCCTGCGTACCAGCGCCTGAACATCAGCCTCCATCTCTCCCATTGCCACTTCATCCAGGCCTCCTGGATCTCGAGGAAAGCTTCCTGAAACCCCAGCTGGTTCGTGCTGAAGTCCCTTAGATAGTGCCCGCTCACCTAACAGCCCAGGGCAGTTGGCGTAGACCTCAGGAGCCGACAGCCACATGAGGATGTGCTCTGCTTTGCCTTCTTCCACACCCACTTTGCCCACTTCCCCACACTTCAGGACACTCCATCGGATCAGGTATTCAGGATGCCCGTCATGCCCAGGCCTCTGTCGAATGAGTTCTTCAGGATATGCCTGCAGCCGAGGCCCTAAGGGCACCATGAGGTCCCCAGCATGCCGTTCCCCCACCATCCTGACCTCCTGGGATACACAAGGAGAAAGATAAGGCAGTATGAGAAAAGAAAAAAAATACATGGAGGGGGTGGAATCTTGAGACACAGAGAAGGTGGGTGGTGATCGGTAGGCTGCATGGTAGAATTTAGGAGGCCAAACAGAAAAGGCAAAAAATAGGATGGAATAAATAGCTGAACATACTTTGGGATTTATAACAGAAGGAGAATGGAGTGAAGACAGAGAGGGGATGAAGAAGGGGTTTAAGAAATGGAAGAGTTGGCTGCGCCCAGTGGCTCACGCCTGTAATCCCAGCACTTTAGGAGGCCAAGGTGGGCAGATCACGAGGTCAGGAATTCAAGTCCAGCCTGGTCAACATAGTGAAACCCCGTCTCTACTAAAAATACAAAAATTAGCCAGGTGTGGTGGCACATGCCCGTAGTCCCAGCTACTCAGGAGGCTGAGGCAGGAGAATCACTTGAACCCAGGAGGCGGAGGTTGCAGTGAGCCAAGACCGCGCCACTGTACTCCAGCCTGGGCAACAGAGTGAGATTCTGTCAAAAAAAAGAAAAAAAGAAAGAAAGAGAGAGAGAGGAAGGAAGGAAGGAAGGAAGGAAGGAAGGAAGAAAGGAAGGAAGGGGAGTTTACAAAAAGAGAATTAAAACAGTAATAGGCAAAGTAACAATAAACAGAGTGACAGTTAAGCAAGACAGTTTAGGCAGGATAGCAGGGTGGCTGAGGGTTACAGATTAGGACTTAGAAGAATGACATGGGTGGACAGGAAGGACAGCAGCATGTGAGGCAGTGGGATCAGAACATGTGAGGAAAAGTAGGATAGCGGAGGGGCAGGACAGGGAGCATAAATGACAGAGTAAAGCTGCAAGGTGGATGTAAAGGGTGGGCCATGGCAGATATAGAGAATGGAGATGACAAAAGGCTGGGATGTTGGGGCAAATGACTGGATAGGAAAAGTATATTCGAGTCTTGTGAAAGGGGGAGGGCCCTAGGGACCAGATAAAATTATGGGAAAGATGACCAGGTCCCACCCTGCCCTTATACTGCATGTATGGTAAGGATTTAAGTAAGTTAAGTAGATAAGATAGAGGTGGTAATCATGGGGTTAAAGGTAGGAAATGAGGTCAGGAGAGAAGCAATATTCAGAGACTTCAGTATCAGATAAATGTGACTCTGAATTCTGGCTTTCTGTCTCACTGTCTGCATAGTTTGGAACAAGTTACTTAACCTCTGAGCTTGTTTCCTCTTCTGCAAGATGGTAGTAATATTCATAGTTACTTCATGAATTTAGTAGGATCATGTATGTAAAGCACTTGGAACAGCATCTAGCACATAAAGAGTGTTCAGTAAACATAATCTGTTATTATTCTTAGATGGAGAAGGTAGGGGAGTCATCAAATAAATGCAAAGTTATTAAGACCGATTATAAATGGGAGTGGAATAATCAGGAAAGATATGCGTGATATGAAGCAGTGCAGGGGCAACAGGGAATAGTGAGAATAAGAATGGAAGAAGGTAAACCCAGATGAAGATATAGTGGTCAGGGCAGGGGTCATGTTGGGGTACAGGGACAGAAGATGAGAGTAGAGGTGAAGAGGAGGGAGAAAGATGGATGTGGACCTCAATGGAGGTAGGGGTCCACTTAGGATGGGGGGCAAGCCTGGATGGTAGCCAGCGATGTGCCAGCGGGCAACTGATTAGCAGCAGGGGGAAGTAAAAGAATCGGATAGGAGGAGGTAGGAGGTGTAACGTCGGCCTAGAAGAGCAACAATAAACTGAGGTGTGGGGGTGAGCTCTGGACGCATGGATGAGACCAGCAGATAGCAAGGTCAAGCCCAAGCTTGCAGAGCCGTGGGGAGGTGGAGGAGGCCAGCACCGCAGAGGGAACGGGTTTGGGGGGAGGGGGAAGGATGGTTGGGGGCGCGGTCCAAAAAAGCTGAAAAGATCCAGTGAATCTCAGAGAGCAAGACCTGGTTCCCTTCGTCAGCCCCATGGACAGTGGCTAAAGGACCGGGGAGGGGACAGGAGAAGGGGAGGGATTGGGTCGGCGCAGAACTCTCCTCTCACCTCCCACCGCCCGGCTCAGCCCTCGCTGGGACCCAGCGGCCGGTCCCGCCGTCCTGGCCCCGCCTCCTCAGAGCTCCCTTCCGGGTCACACGGCGAGTGCACGCACGGCCGGGCACCTACGGGTCCCACCGCGGCCCACGCCGAGCGTGGCGGAACAGCGCGCGAGTGGAGCATGCGTGCTACCGCGGGCGGCTGCACTGGAAGAGGGGCGTGGGGGCGCGCTACCGGAGGAGCCTGGGATCGAGGTCACGTTGCTCCTCTCTCAGCAGCAGGAAGAAGCCGTTTCCATCCAGTCAACTGTGAAGCCCCCTCCTCTTCACTGGGTCGGCCCTCCTAATCCTCCCTCTCCCATCACAGCGATCATGCTGACGAAACATGGTAACCCACATTCCCACCTTAAGGCTGCCCTTTTTGACTTTTCAGTAGGTCAGGTGCCCATGAGTTTCCCAAACCCTTCAGCAATGCTTTGGATTAGTTGTGTCACTTTTCCTGTTAATTAAAATTTGCTCCTCTGCGTTGGCCTTAACACCTAGCGAAGCCACGCACAGGGAGAAGGTCCTCGGCCCCGCAAAACTTTCCTTAAATTAAATCGTATAGAATTAAACAGCCCAAAGCACACCTTAGCATTACCGTTCTCATCAAGCAGCCCGGATCGCTACTCAGAGCAGCAATTTTAGGAGTTTGCCTCGCGTTCATACCCCCATCCCTCCCTAAGTAGAAAAACAGAACCAAAGACCCCACAGTCTGTGCACAAAAATGATACATTTATTGAAAGAGTATTTTTTTTTAATACAAAAGAAAGCTCTGTACATAGGACTGTGACCATGTCCACTATTCCTGGGTCAGCATCCCAGGGGAAGTAGAAACCACTGACATACACACTCACATTCAAGCACACACACTCACTCAGGCGCACACACCCACACACACATACCCCAGAGCCACCGAGGAAGGGAAACACCAAGGGTCGCTGCACATAAAAATATCACCTCAACTCATCCCTGACACACGCATGTCCTCCCAAGGCCACGCTCACACAACACACATTATAAGCACTTTGCCTGATTCACTCACTGGGTCTGTCTTTTGTGGGAAGGAGAGGAAGAATTCATCAAAGGTCTCCTCCCCATGGGTGGGGGAGTGGGGAGTGAGTGAGTGATGGTGGAGTGAAACAAGAGCAGAGAAAAGGGGCTGGGCAGTTACAGACCTGAGTCCCAAGCTCCCCTGCTCTCTGGCCCCTGATTTGCCATGCCCCAGCCTTGAAAGCCACCCATAAGCCCCAGCTATCTCCAGGAGAAAGCCCAGAAAGGTGACTTCCATCTTGGCACCCCAAACTGGGGCAAGACAGCAATGAGGGTTAGAGGTTAGGGGGTTCTCAAACATGTCGGCAAATCATCCCCTTGATAACTAGGCTGTGCATAAAATCTTCCCCCATCCCTTCACCTAATCACAGAAGCCAGCTTGTTCCTACTGAAGGCAGTCTTAGGGGTTAAGAAAATTTCACCCCACTGCTGCCCTGTTTCTGAAAAAGCTCCCCTTCTGGATATAGGTGGTGAAGGTAGGCTCTGACACAGGGTAAAAGACCCTCCCCCCTATGCTGGCCCACCCTCAAGGTCTACCCCAAAGGGGGAGGAGGGGGGTGGGGCATGGCCCCTGTACAAATTACATAAATACTGAGGTTACACTTAGAAAAATAAAGTCATTTTCTTCAAGGCTTTTTGTCTTAATTTAAAAAAGTTACAGTAGCTGCTCACTCCCTGGGAGAACTGCCCATTTCTGGCTCCCCTTTGGCTGCACTCAGCCCAAGAAGCTGCTCCCACTTCTTCTGACCCCCATTCCTGCCTCTCACCCCCTCCCAGACCCCACCCTGCTCACTGCAACTTGGGCCCCAGGCAGCTGCATGCCTGGGACAGCGCAAGGCTGCAATGCCCATGCGTGTGGCACAAATGAAGTCAGTTGCCTCTGCCTGACGCCCTCCCACCCCAACCCCGACATTTGGTCTCCCTCTTCCCTCTCCCTAGCAACAGCCCTAAAGGGCAAAAAGAGGCCCAGAGCTGTGGGTCACCCTCCCCACCCCGTTGGGGAATGGCCTGAGGGCCCCTCCCCCGGCTTTCTCCTGGAAACAACCCAGGACTGGGCAAACCCAGAATCTCCCCCACACACTGGTGGACCCCGAGCTCATGGGGTGGCTCTGTCCCCAGGGGCCCAGCCAGTTCTGGGGAGCCTGAGGGCTCCCCAGGGAAGGGGAGTTTGGGCAGGGAGGGGGACGAGAAAAACGCCATAAAAAAAAGTTAAATATTTTAAAAATATATATTTATAGATTTGTTTTCACTTCGTCTCCTCAAATAAAAAGTTCAAAATCAACTTTAAGTAAAGCAGCTGGGAGGAGAGGGGGGAAGACAAGGGGGAGAAGGGAACGCTGGTGGTTCCCTCCAACCCAGGAGCCCCTGGAGGTCCAAGGGGAGCGGCAAGGCAGGGCAGGCGGCCCCAGGAACCTGCCCAGTGCACAGGCCCAGCTACTCAGGAGCTGAAGGGGGAGAGGACAGCAGTGTGAGGAAGAAGCCCCCATCTCCCCAGCTGGCCCCCTGAGGGGCAGAGCCAGGGCTCTTTTGACCCAGCCTGTGACAGACACAGGGCTGACCTGGGGTCAGCAAGGAGGCTGGCAAGAGGGCCCCAACTGCTTCCTCAGAGGAGGACACGGTGCCCAGCCCCACAGAAGGCCTGTGTGTGGGGAGGTGGGGCACGGTCCCATTGGGTAAGCTAATACTCATGGCAAACATCGAGCCAAGCTGGCGAGGGGGTCCCAGGAAGGAGGACAGCCCCTCCAGCAACAGAAATGGGAGGTGGGGCGGGAAGAAGGGGAGGCTGAGGGAGGACGGGTGGAGGCAGGCAGGCCCATTTCTTTGGCTGGAGTGAGAGGGCTCAGTCCTGTGGCTGCCCGTTCCTCCTCCCCGCCTCCCTCCTGCGGCCCGTCAACGTGTGTGTAAAGAAAACGTGAAAAGGCAACAATAAATAAGTGGTGCCATCCCTTGGGCCATCTGTCCAGGGCGGCGGGCGGATCATTCACTCTTGGTGCTGTGGGCGGTGTCCAGGTTCACCACCTGTAGCTCGGTGAGGTTGCTGCTGCTCCCGGCCTGCTGCCCTATCACAGCCATCTGGAGGGAAGGGGATGTATGAGGAGGGGCAGGGACTGGCCAGCCAGTTCAGGCTCCCCTGGCTTCCCTGCCTGCCAACCACAGGCCTGAGCAGAAAAGCAGATGGGCTTCCAGGCTAGGGATTTTGGCTTTGATGAACTGGTAACAGGATCCCCTAAGGTCAAGACAAAGAAGTGGCTATCTGGGATGGGGTGAAAGATATCCCTACCTACCTGGTGGAGCTGAACTGCTGAAACAGGGATCTGCACTGTCCCAGATGATGCTGTCAGGAACACCTGGGGGACGCCACCTACATTGGAAAACCACAGGAGATACTCAAATTGTTTGTTGAAACTTCCAGATATTGGAGGAGTGGTGTCAAATGCACAAGTGACTGGGGCAGTCTCAGATGTAAGAGCCCAAGGGAAAGGGTGCCAGTGTGTCTGAGGGTGCATGCGGGTGTGAGTGTCCAAGTGGGGTGTCCAAATGTGTGTGTGAGCATCCAAGTCTGTGTTGTATTTGGGTAGAAATATTTGTAGGCATCAGTGCATATGTGTGTGTATGTGTGTGTGTGTGTGTGTATAAAGAAGGAAACGGTCCTCCTTTCCTTAGCCCTGCTCCTCTACTCACCTGGCTCCTGGACCTGGCTGTGTGACACCTGCATGGTGGATGGTGCCTGGGAGAAGGCATTCAGCACGGTGAGGCTGCCATCACCCAGGCCCGAGGTGGGGGCATACATCACCGCATGCGGGCTAGGGTACATCATGTGGCCACCCACAGTTGTGGGCACGGATGACGTCATGATGGTGGCGGGCAGCGTCACTGGCAAACACAGACATGTGTCAGCTCGGCACTGGTCCCCACTGATAACTCCCATTCCGTCCCTAGGAATTCCAGGCCCCCAGAGCCCTCTTGCCATTTCCCAGGTCAGAAGCTAGACACGACTATTCCTCAGCTCCATCATCAACTAAGAAAAGCCTATTTTTTCTTGAACACAACAGCATCAATCTTTAATTGTATCCTATCACATTGTACTATTTATTCAATTGTCTATCTACTGAATTCTCTAAGTCCTAAATCTTGGGAAAAACAAAGATTATGACTGACCTACTCTCAGAAAACTCAGATACTCCCCTTTTAGGAGCTCTAACATCTTATTTTTTATTTGTTCTCATTCTCCCTCCTTTTTTTTTTTTTTTTTGAGATGGAGTCTCACTCTGTCACCCAGGCTGGGGTGCAGTGGCGCGATCTTGGCTCACTGCAAGCTCCGCCTCCTGGGCTCATGCCATTCTCCTGCCTCAGCCTCCCGAGTAGCTGGGACTACAGATGCCTGCCATCAAGCCCGGCTAATTTTTTGAATTTTTAGTAGAGATGGAGTTTCACCGTGTTAGCCAGGATGATCTCAATCTCCTGACCTCGTGATCTGCCCCCCTCGGCCTCCCAAAGCGCTGGGATTACAGACGTGAGCCACCGCACCCGGCCTCTCTCTCCTTCTTAATGCACAGCTAACAAATTCATCTTTCAAACAAGCACTTCTCAAATGTTAACGTGCATTATATGGGAATCTTGTTAAAACACAGACTCTGGGCCGGGTGCGGTGGCTCAGGCCTGTAATCCCAGCACTTTGAGAGGCCGAGGTGGGCGGATCACGAGGTCAGGAGATCGAGACCATCCTGGCTAACAAGGTGAAACCCCGTCTCTACTAAAAATACAAAAAAATTAGCCAGGTGTGGTGGCGGGCACCTGTAGTCCCAGCTACTCGGGAGGCTGAGGCAGGAGAATAGCGTGAACCCGGGAGGCAGAGCTTGCAGTGAGCCGAGATGGTGCCACTGCACTCCAGCCTGGGCGACAGAGAGCGAGACTCCGTCTCAAAAAAAAAAAAAAAAACAGACTCCGATTCACTAGGTTTGGGGTGAGACTCAAGATTCTGTATTTCCAACAAGCTCCCAGGTAATGCTGGTGTTCCCAGTCCATAGGCCACACTTTGAGTAAAAAGGTTATAAATAATAAGAACTTAAAATTAACCTTACTTTGAGAGTATCTCATCATTTCTGAAATGTCTAGAGATACCTGAGGGTAACTGTGGCTACTCAAAACCTGTAAGACCCTCGCACAAAGAGAAAATTGCTCTCTAAGTCCTTCCTGATAATTAAGCAAATGTGTCTTTGAGCAAGTAACTTCTTATTTCTAGGCCTCAGGCTCCTCATCTGAATGAGGAGGTAGGTCAATGGTCCCCAATTTTCTTCTGGAATCCGCAGCCCACTGCAGGGCGGGATTCAAAACCCAGTCATCCTCACCTGACTTCCCCATAATTATTAGGCCCAAAGCCTCAATCTCCACTTTAAGAAATCCCCTGACTTTAGTTACAGGAGGGTTACTGTTGGGCACCTACTGCTAGGCCTCGTGGGGGAAGGCAGGGAGGGAGGGTGACAGGGCTGCGAGCTATACCTGTCCCGCTGGAGGAGGTCTGCGTGAGGTCTGTGCTGCTGTCACGGGAGGGAGACGCTTGCTGTGGGGCCTGGTGCACTTGAATGGCCTGCACTGGGACCTGCTGGGCCACTGCCCCACCTGCAAGACACAGAGTCTTATTTGTGCTCTGTCCCACCCAATTGCCACCTCCACCAAGTACCCATGGACACCCCAGTCCCAGGGTCTGGCACACTGGTCTCCAACTCCCATCACTATCTTTCCTGGAAGCCAAAGAGGCCCTTCAGGCCCAAGTATCCACTCTGGGGGCTTCCACGCTCTACTCTTGCCCATCCCTCCTCCTCCTGCCCTGGGCCTTGTCTCTCTTTTCTTCAGTTGACCCAAGAGCTGGCAATAACCCATCAAAGACATGATCTGCCTTCCAGTCAAGGCAGGAAGTGGTGAAACATCTACTGCCCTGTGGCAATGAGGGCACGGGGCTGGGGTAGCTAGACAGGGCCAGAATATATGGTTGAAACTTACTGACAAGGACAGCAGGGGTCTCAGTGGGCAGAGGTATGCCTGCCAACGGGATATAAGAGGCTTCGCTCAGGCTCTGGCCCCTATTCACCTTCCTTCTGAGCAGGGAAAGAGGTTCTCTTGGTGCCAGCCCTAAACACACTCTTAGCATGCTTGATTTGCCCCAGGAAGGACGAATCTCTCCCTGCCCCTCGTGACTCACCAGGCATGAGGGTGAAGCTGGTAGGCAGCTGCATAAGGCCCCCAGAGGAGACAGGGCCGCTGCCTGTACTCTTCAGCACAGTCCCATTGGCACTGCTGACAGCACTGGGGCTGACACTAGCAGACACTGGTGCCAGGTAGTTGGTGATGGGAAAGGAGGGGCCGCTGCTGACTTGCATGGTGGTAGAGGTGCTAGGTGCTGTTTGGATGGTGGAGGTTGTACCCGGCAGGTTGGTGACTGTGAACGCCGGCTTCAGTGTGTCCTATACCCAGAGTAAAGATGAAGCAATGAGCCCCTACCAGATCCTGCCTTTGCAGAAGCTTTGTGTGGACTGAGAACCCAGACTGAAACCAGTGAGCTTGGGTTCAAATCCCAACGCCACCATTTACCTGATGCCTGACTCTTAGGTAAGTTATTGATCTACTGAGCTACAGTTTTCTATCGGTAAAAGGAGGATAATACCTACCCCCTAGGTTGCTGTAAGGATTAAGTAGGTTAGCATATGTAAATCACTTAGAAAACACTACCTGGCACATAAAAAAACCAAAATAAATATTTGCTGCTCTTATGATAATTATTATCATTGTCATTATTATAATCCCCTGAGTTCTCTGCTCCAGCGGACTGTGGTAATCCCATTGGCTGGGGAGTCAGGACACCAAGGTCTGTTCCTAGCTCTGGTAATGACCATCTAAGTGACCCTGAAATAACCAGTCCCCTTTTCTGAACCTCGGTTTTCCTCTTCTATAAGCATGAGGGGGCTGGGCTACTACGTTTTCTTTCAAAGAGTTCTTCCAGCTCTAATTTGTCAGGCTTCTGAGATAGGAACTGAGTTTCTCAGGGAACTTAAGAGTTTGAGAGAGATCTTGAGAATCTGGCAATGACACACTATATGTCAAACACCCAAGATGTAAACTACCAAAAGAATGTACTCATCCAACAAAATTTCCTGGGAATAAATGAGCCCTACTGTTATAAAAGTTTAAAAATTATTACAGATGATATGCCACTAAGAGAGGAGGTAGCCTACAGCACTGACTCTCCCCTAAGGAAGACTTCGTTCTTAGAAGGGGAAGAAGGAAACTGAGAACCAAGCCACCAAGCCCAGACCCGAAATGAGTCAACCAGAGGCTCAAAGGCTGCGGGGTGGGTCAGCACGAGACGTTTGCAAAGCAGCTGGGCCCAAGACCCTTGATTGGCAGAGGCGTTGCTAAGGCAAACAGTGCCGCTTCCTCCCATTGGCCAGTCAGTTAAGTGCCACCCGGAAGGTGGAGCTCCCCAGACAGCAAGGGAGGAAGCCCCACCCCCTCTCCTTACCGGGAAAAGGAAGGGGG
Source organism: Homo sapiens (assembly GCF_000001405.40). Lineage (NCBI taxonomy): Eukaryota > Metazoa > Chordata > Mammalia > Primates > Hominidae > Homo > Homo sapiens. Next base: position 43,174,633 of record NC_000006.12, on the reverse strand, counting down.
AGGAGTAACAGCGCAGGCATCCCTAGCAGCAGGCAAATGCGCTCCCTAACTGCCCAGGCCCCCAACACCCTGAAAGGGCAGCGGCTGGCTTGTAAGGTAGTCCCCGGCCCAGTCAACCAGCCCGCCTGCCAAGAGTGCTGGATTCCCAGGACCCCGGGACCGGAGTGCTCCCTTTCTACTCCCTGGCGACCCAGCCCGGAGGGCCGGGCTAAACTACACCCCCGCCCCTAGCGGGGAGACAGCTGGCGGGAGGAATGCAAAGGCCCTGCCAGGCAGGCGGGCTGCGGGCGGGAGGCCGGCGTGGAGCCCAAGCCGGCCTTATATGGGCACGGAGGCCGCCCGCTTATCTAGGGGGGCGGTCTTCTATCAGGAAAGTGAGGATGGACACCTGTCCCCTAGGACGAGGGTCGTTAATCCGGCTCCACTCCACATCGGTGGGCACCTATCCACCTGTCCTGGGCCAGAAAGGGAGAGGGACCCCACTCCCTTCCCTCCTCTCACATAGGCAACCCAAACACACCTTGGTCTCCCCACTGCTGTCAGACTCCGACACCTGGTAGGTGAGATCTGTCTCTTCAAAGCCAGTGGCACTCATTCTCTGGTCTGTTGTGGGGTCTGAACGGGGTGGAGAGTCTGGCGAGTTGAGGCAGGTCTGAATCAGTGCCTTGCCGGTCTCACTGGTGATCATGGGCTGCAGTTTTCGGGTGGCAAAGGTATACACATGGCCTGTCTCACTGGCCACCAGCAACAGCACCTGTGTCCCTGTCAGCGTGGACAGCTCATAGGCCTGAGGGGTGAGGAGGGAGATGGGCAGGTCAGCAAACTTTTTATCTCTACCTTCCTTGAGAAGTTGGAAAAAGAATTATACAGTGATGTCATTCCCCCATTCCCATAATGACCTTCGTCTCTAATGACTCTGAGGGCAGGGTGTCCTATCAGGATCTCTGGAAGCAGCAAAACTACCCATGCTCCTCCTTTGAGGAGCAGCCCCATTGACCTGAAGATACCCCAAGCAAACAGTAACAGCCCCCAGTGATGGAACATATAACTTCAGGGGATACGAAGGACCCAGCTAGCTGCTCCCCAACACAGCTTAGTGCCTGGAATGTCCCAGAGCCTCACCCCTTCTCACTGTCACAGGGACCAGGATGGATCCCTACCTATCACACTGGAATTTGTACAAGACATTAGTGATAATGGACCATTTAAGCTCCAACTGTCCCATGTTTCTTTCCAGAAACTGCACAGGCTCCAACTTGTTGCCACAGCCTAGTTTCTCCTTTTGCCCTGTAATACTTTACTGCCCTTACTCCTTTGTCTTGGGAAGAAGGTTATGGAAGGAGAGAAGAGAGTTTTCCTTAATTACCTCCCCCCACAATCTTCTCCACTGATGATCAAGTGACAAGGGACACTGATACAACAGTGTCTGGAGTGATGGGAGACGAGACCTAGATTAGCACTAAACATCCTGCCATGAGCCCAGGAAGGGGACCTTCAAGGATGGCCCCATAGATGCCATACTCTCCCAACAAAGTTCTGCAAACCACCTTGGAAGCAGCTCTGGTTTCTACATGGGACAGAAATAAACACCAGCCAGTGTTCCCAAGGATCCAGCTCCTTGTCTCCCAGTTCCTCTGCTTTCATCTCTTCCCTTATCGTCTACACCCCAAAATGACTCCTTTCCTCAACACTTTTCACTGGCTGGCAGAAGAGGAATTCCTAGGTACCTCTGCAAGCCTCCCTGACTTCCCCCAAACCCCATCCAAGCATAGATTCTCCCTAGGGCTGGAAACCCCACTTGTCCTAACGGCAGGAGATTCTGCAGCGGGTCCTGCCAGGAGCATGTGGTTCCCAGTGGATGCCATGGAAGACTCACGGCCGGCGCAGGACTAGGTTCCTGCTGCTCAGGGCAGCACCAGTTCTCCTGCCCCGCTCCCTTACCTGGTCCCTAACCCTGCCTGTCCTTCCAACCAGCACTACTCTCGTGGTGCCCACTTCCTCCCACACATGTTCGCTCATTGTTGTCATGCAGCTCCAGCCTCCTCACCTCCATACCTTCTCGTTTGCTCCCTGCTTTTCCGGCGCCCTCGTCCGAACACCGGAGTGCACTGGACCTACTGATCCCGGGTTCTCATTATCCACCTCCCCGGCAGCCTCGTAGCCTCCCATCACCGCTCCTCACCCCTTCACTCAGCAAGGGCCCTCTTCCTCTCTGGCGCCGGTCACTCCCACCTCTGCGCCTTTCCCCACGGTTGCGAGCGTTCGCGGGATCTCCCCTCTCCCCACATTTCCCCGGCGGCCCCTCCCCTTCGGCCCTCCCCGGGCAGGAGCCATCCCCTCCCACACACCTCCTGCGGACTCGCAGCCTCTCACCTCCGCCTCGGCTCTGCGGTCCTCCCGGGCTCCCTTTGCACATCCCCACCCCAACCGGGCCCCGGGGCCGGCCAGCCCCCCGGCTTGGTACCTTCTTCATGATGCCCGTCTTCCTCTTGCTGAAGGTCGTGTAGCGCCGCAGCTTGTTGTCGATGAACTCCATCTTGATCTTCACGCGGCCCCGGGTCTTCTTACCCGGCTTGGCCCCGCTCACCGCGCCGCTCACCGGCCCGTAGCCCCCGGTGGCCGCTGCCGACGCCTCGGGCCCACCGACCACCATACCGATCTCCATCTCGCTCAGGCTCCGCTTCAGGCCGCGCCGCTCGGCGCCCAGCTCCTCCTCCTCGCCCGACTCCGAGTCGCCCTCGCTGCCGCTGTAGAGGGCCCCCGCGGTGGGCGCCGGGGTGGTTGCCGCCGCTGCCGCAGCCTCCCGCTCCAGGCGGCCGGGCCCGAGCCCCGCGCCATTCCCGGGGACCCGGCCCCCGTTAGCCCCGCGTGTCCCGCCGCCGCCGCCCGGCCGCCCCGTCGGGGTCCGGTTCAGGCTGCCCCCCAGGGCCGAGCCCCGGCCCAGAGCCGCCGCGGCCCCAGCTTGGGTCGGTAACATGGCGCTCGATGCAGGAGGGCGGACGGGCAGTCAGCGAGGAATCGGAGCCGCCGCAGCCGCCGCCATCGGCTTCCCGGCTCAACCCGGCACTCCCGCTGCTGCTAGTGCCGCTATCGCTGCCGCGGCCGCCGCTGCGAACCCGGGGCCCCTGCACGCCCGGGCCGACCTGGGCCCTCACTTTCCTGCCCCTGTGGCCCGGGTTGCCCCAGGCCGCGCGCAGCGCCCCCTGTCCGTCTGCTAGGGCGGCGCGCCGGGCGGCCGTCAGCGTCCCCCGGGGGGCAGGGGCTGCTGGCCGCGGCCGAGACGGCGGGTGGAGGGGGCCGGGACCACGCGCTGGCGGCGGAGGGATCCCCCGACCCTTCCCCCCATATAAAGAGATACAATGTTTCCTTTTATGGCGAGGCCGCTCCTTATATGGTGAGCCCCAGCGCCCCCGCCCCATTGGTCCGTGGTTCCGGCACCTCCGCTCCCCATTGGCCCACAAGAGGGCGCTTATTTGCATAGACATACCGAACTCGTTGCTGTCATCTCGCGTCAGACCGCGACTCTGAGAGGGGTGGAGCCGACGCCTCTTAAAGGAACCGGAGAGCAGGCACGATTCCGCCTCCCTGAACCCGAGAATGATAGAACGGTTTGGGAGGCACCCGCGGAGAAGGAGGCTGGGACTGGAGCGCAGTCTTGCGGAAGAGAGGGAGCAGCACTAGTAAATGGGCACCGGGACCGCTGGAGGCAAACACTGGGGAAACCCCTGGGTGGATTGTGGGGTTTGCAGTAAATAAAAAAATACAGCCCAAATTCCAAGGGAGGAGTGCAGGGATTGATTGGAGCATTTCCTCACGCCTTCCTAAGGGAGGCACAGTTATTGGCTGAGCGGAGAGAGCTTGGGTCCCCGCCCGGTGTCCAGACTCGTCGCGCCCCAGCCTCTCAGCTCTAACTTTTCCCCTACCCCCAACTTCCCTTCCCTTTCCCTCGCTTTTGTAGGCGACGAAACTTTCCCACCGGGCTGGCTCGAGGATCTTCATTCATCATCCTCTGCACTGGGGGGTCTTTGGCAGACATACATCTGGAAAAGGCTGGTGGAGGGGAGGGCGAGAGAGAGAGATCGGCCTCCCAGTCCTGAGGCGGGCAGGGAGGAGAGACGGAGATCAGGGAGGAGAGATGGAGATCAGTGAAGACTTCCAGCTGCAGGCTGGACTTGGGGAGGAGGACGTCCCGAGGATAAAGCCCACCCTACAGCCAGTGCAAAGACTTGGGAAAGTGTGGCCCGACAGAAAGTTTAAGCCCAAGCAAGCACGCTCGCGCACACACACGCACATACACACACTTCTCTGGAAAGCCCGTTGGAGAAAAAAAAAAAAGTTTCACACAGGGTATCGCTCTGTCGCCCAACCTGGAGTGCAGTGGCGGGATCTGAGCTCATTGCAACCTCTGCCTCCCGGGTTCAAGCGATTCTCCCACCTCCGCCTCTCACGTAGCTGGAACTACAGGTGCGCGCCACCACTCTGGCCTAATTTTTGTATTTTTTGTAGAGATGGGGTTTTGCCATGTTGCCCAGACTGGTTTCGAACTCCTGGCCTCAAGCGATCCTTCCCCCTCGGCTTCCCAAAGTGCTGGGATTATAGGCATGAACCACCGTGCCCAGCAGAAAAAAAAAAAAAAAAAAAAAAAAACTTAAAAGATTAGAACTGGGGTGCTGCAAAGTGAGGTTCAAGCTCTGGGTCTGGGTCTTTTCTCCAAAGCAGTGAAAATAGCTTGGACTTTGCTGTTACAGAATTATTTAAATCTGGAATCTGCCTCTTGGTAAGCCCTGTGCCTGGAAACAAGTGACAAGTGATCTGATCTCTCCAGACGCAATATTCATCAATGCTGCTATCCATTCCCTGAGTTTTTTTTTTTTTTTTTTTTGAGACAGAGTCTCGCTCTGTCGCCCAGGCTGGAGTGCACTGGCACGATCTCGACTCACTGCAACCTCTGCCTCCCCAGTTCAAGCGATTCTCCTGCTGCCTCAGCTTCCCAAATAGCTGGGATTACAGGTGCCCACCACCACACCTGGCTAGTTATTTTGTGTTTTTAGTAGAGATGGGGTTTCGCCATGTTGTCCAGGCTGGTCTCGAACTGCTGACCTCAAGTGATCCTCCCACCTCGGTCTCCCAAGGTGCTGGGATTACAGGCATGAGCCACCATGCCGGGCCTATTCCATGAAATTCTTAATGCAGATTTAATGACATAAAGACTAAAGGGCAGAGTAATTGGTCAGTGGTTAGGCAATAGGAGTTACCTGGAGTAAGTCACCTCATCCTAGGGATAAAGCATCTTGGCATGTTTAAGGGGATGGGAGGCAGTGATTATTCCTGCCCGAAAAATTATGGAGATTAAATAAAGCAGTTGATTGTAACCTAGTCATTACTGGTAGTGGTAGTGATATCAATTCAGTATACTACAATCAACATTTAAAAGAATAAATTAATGGGTATCACAAAAAGCAAGGGCAAATATTGTTGCATAAAATGTTTGTTTGCATTATATATAGGTTGAACCCTACAAAATTGCCATTTTATAGGTCAAGAAGGTGGGATATTGTCAATTTCTCATAATTCAGTGTATGTGTGTAATGGATGACAATATTAACTGCATTTCTTACTGTGAGTCACAATCCAAAAGCTTGAAAAATACTGAAATAAAATATGTGCAAGTGATCAGTAAAATATAGTGTGTATTTTGTGTGTATAGTGAATAAAATATAGTGTGTATTTTTTGTCATATAGAGATAAGGTCTCCCTATGTTGCCCAGGCTGGTCTCAAACTTCTGGGCTCAAGCGATTCTCTCACCTCGGCCTCCCAAAGTGCTGGGATTAAAGGCCTGAGCCACTGCACCCAGCCCCCAATAGTTTTAAAGAGGTCTCCCCTCCCTCCACTAATTTACTCTTTACAACAGGTACTTAAACATATGGAACGTGTTAGCCCAAGAGGAAGAACAGGTCAAACAGATAAATAGGTTCCAGAAGGGTTTTAGGGACCACAAATGATGCCTGGGGTCATGTTTTGTCTGAGCACCATAATATTACAGCCAAAGCTCTGGGATTTCATTCCCACCTGCCCTCTAAAGACCCTTTCATTTGCGCCCCCTAGTTTAGACACATGCAGGGGTGACATCCCTCAGCAGGGACAACTGCTCTCTGTCACATCTATAGGGGAGGGTGTCTGGGAAGAACGCAGTCCTTAGCTTCCCTTCAAATAGGCTGCCCTCTCTTCAACTTCTCCCAACTCCTGGGTCATTGCACACCAGTGTTAGTGTCACAGCTTCTCTGTCTGCTTGGGATGGCCCATCTTCATGTCCTTTGTCACCACAGGGAGTCAGGAGGAGACCTCTACCCACACTATTGGATTACTGCAGGTTCCAGAGCCAAAAGTATTGCTAGGGATAAAGTCAAAATCAAAAACTGTCTCATAGAGGTGTTTTATTTGGACCTTATAACATTTAAAAATCATAAGAGTTTACATAAAAATCTGAATGTCTGGCCGGGCGTGGTGGCTCATGTCTGTAATCCCAGCACTTTGGGAAGCTAAGGTGGATGGATCACTTGAGGTCAGGAGTTCAAGACCAGCCTGGCCAACATGGTGAAACGCCATCTCTACTAAAAAAATAAAAAAGTAGCCGGGCATAGTGGCACACATCTGTAATCCCAGCTACACGAGAGGCTGAGGCAGGAGAATCACTTGAACCTGGGAGGCAGAGGTTGCAGTGAGCCTAAATGGGGCCACTGTACTCCGGCCTGAGCTACGGAGTGAGACTCCTTTTCAAAAAAAAAAAAAAATCTGAATATCTGACCTCTCTCAAAAAAATCAGAATTTTTGGTAACACTGGGCCTAGGTACCCACAAAAGCATTATAACCTGGAGCTGATGGTGGCCATAGAAGAGGCTCTCCACTTTACCATAGACTCCACGCAGCCTACTGAGCCTAGGTAAGCTCCTGCCTGGCTGCTCTGAAATGTGAAGTTGAAATGTTCCTCCGAAAAGGCCTGATCAGAGTAGCACCTTGCAACAGATGGGAGCTCATGTCCACCCCAGACCATGAAGGGCCTCTGTAAGTGCATGGGAATTTCAGCCAGATCCCTCACACCACACAGATTCCACCCTGACCTTTCTTTCTTTCTTCTGATTTTTATCACCTAACTAATAACAAACAAAAATTAAGGATTGCTTTTAAAAATTACTGTCATGGCTGGGTGCAGTGATTCACACCTAAAATCCCAGCACTTTTTGAGGTCAAGGTGGGAGGATAATTTGAGTCCGGGAGTTTTGACACCAGCCTGGACAACACAATGAGACCCCATCTCTTAAAAAAAAAAAACACAGGCAGGCAAGGTGGGTCATGCCTGTAATCCTAGCACTTTGGGAGGCCTAGGAGGGTGGATCACCTGAGGTCAGGAGTTCAAGACCAGCCTGGCCAACATGGCAAAAATCCCACCTCTCCTAAAAATACAAAAATTAGCCGGGCCTGGTGGTGTATGCCTATAATCCCAGCTACTCAGGAGGCTGAGGCAGGAGAATCACTTGAATCTGGAGGGGAGAGATTGCAGTGAGCCAAGATCGTGCCACTTCATTCCAGCCTGGGTGAAAGAGTGAAACTTCATCTCAAAAAAAAAAAAAAATGCTGGGGCACAGTGGCACGCATCTGTAGTCGTAGTCCCAGCTACTAGGGAGGCTGAGGTGGGAAGATTGCTTGAGCCCAGGCTGCAGTGAGCCATGATGGCACCACTGCACTCAATCTAGGTAAGAGGAAAACCCTGTCTCAAAAAAGAAAAAAAAATTACTGTCAAAATACCCTAAATCTGTTTTCATTTGGAATTAACCTTTACTCAGGGATTCATAATTTTGCACAGAGGCAAAGAGGGTATCAATTGTGATGGCAGCATTAGCAGTAATGGAAAAGAATTTATGAGTCATTGTGCCCAGGAAAAGTCTGGAAAGCCACACTCCAAACACTAATAGTGCTTACCTATGGAGAGTGAGGTTTGGGATGAGAGGGGTGTGTTTTTTTGCTTTATATAAGTTTGTACCATGTGACTTCTTTGACAATCAATATGACTTTTATATTTTTCTTTTAAAATTAAGCAAAAATAGGCCGGGTGCGGTGGCTCATGCCTGTAATCCCAGCACTTTGGGAGGTTGAGGCGGATGGATCGCTTAAGGTCAGGAGTTTGAGACCACACTGGCCAATATGGTGAAACCCTGTCTCTACTGAAAATACAAAAAAAATTAGCTGGGTGTGGTGGCGGGCACCTATAATCCCAGCTTCTGGGGAGTCTGAGGCAGGAGAATCGCTTGAACTCAGGAGGTGGAGGTTGCAGTGAGCCGAAATCAAGGCATTGCACTACAGCCTGGGGGACAGAGCGAGACACTCTTTCAAAATAATAATAATAATAATAATAATAATAAAATTAAGCAAAAATAGGCTGGGTGTGGTGGCTCATGCCTGTGAGCACTTTGGGAGGCTGAGGCAAGTGGATCGCTTGAGCTCAGGAATTTGAGACCAGCCTGGGTAACATGGCAAAACCCTATCTCTACGAAAAATACAAAAATTAGCTGGGTTTGGTGGTACGCACCTGTAGTCCCAGCTACTCGGAAGCTGAGGTGGGAGGATCCCTTGAGCCTGGGAGGTTGAGGTTGGAATGAGCCATGATCTACCACTATACTCCAGCCTAGGTGACAGAGTGAGACCCTATCTCCAGAAAAAAAAAAGAAAGAAAGAAAGAAAGAAAGTAGAGAAAGGAAGGGCAATGACAGTCTCAGGAGCATAGCCATGGCAGGAGAAAAAGAAGCCTTAGGCGGGGCGCGGTGGCTAACTCCTGTGATCCCAGCACTTTGGGAGGCTGAGGCGGGCGGATCATGAGGTCAGGAGATCGAGACCACCCTGGTTAACACCATGAAACCCCGTCTCTACTAAAAGTATAAAAAATTAGCTGGGCATGGTGGCGGGTGCCTATAGTCCCAGCTACTCGGGAGGCTGAGGCAGGAGAATGGCGTGAACCTGGGAGGCGGAGCTTGCAGTGAGCCGAGATCGTGCCACTGCACTCCAGCCTGGGCAACAGGGCAAGACTCTGTCTCAAAAAAAAAAAAAAAAAAAAAAAGCCTTAGCCAGGGCTGGAGAAGGACTGGCCAGAGAAACTGTTGACAGTGTAAAAAAGTGAGGGAGGGCGGGGGGGCGCGGTGGCTCACGCCTGTAATCCCAGCACTTTGGGAGGCCAAGGCGGGTGGATCATGAGGTCAGGAGATCGAGACCATCCTGGCTAACATGGTGAAATCCCGTCTCTGCTAAAAATACGAAAAATTAGCCGGGCGTGGTGGCAGGTGCCTGTAGTCCCAGCCACTTGGGAGGCTGAGGCAGGAGAATGGCGTGAACCCGGAGGCGGAGCTTGCAGTGAGCTGAGATCACACCACTGCACTCCAGCCTAAGTGACAGAGCAAGATAGTCTCAAAAAAAAAAAAAAAAGGTGGGGACGGAGGAGAGTCTCTGAAGAGGAAGGTATGGCCAACAATGTTAGCCACTATGGAGTGCTCAAGGAAGAACAAGAGTTAGAAGAGGATTTAGTGATTAATAACTTTCCAGAGCAGTGCCTTTCAAATATTTCTGGGTGCAACCCACAGTCAGAAATCATTTTTACATTGCAACCTGTGGTCAGTTAGATTATTGCTCCCAACTCTTCACACCCTCTGTTGGAATTATATACATCAACATCCTTGCCGTGTGACTTTGCAGTATGTCCTACTGGTGCTGATGTTGGGTTTTACTGTGTGACTTGCTTTGGCCAATAAAATGTTAATAGACGTGTGTGTGTGTGCGTGAGTGTGTGTGTGTGTAAGAGATGGGGTCTATTTTGCCCAGGTTGGAGTGAGTGTAGTGGCTATTCACAGGAACAATCATTGCACACTACAGCCTCAAACTCATGGGCTTAAAGCGAACCTCCTGCCTCAGCCTCCCAAGTAGCTGGGACTACAGGCACATGCCATGGTGCCAGCTCAGACTTGTGGTTTGAAATGTGCTTGCACAGTTTGGCTTGACCTCTTGCACTCTGCCACTGCATAAGAACATGCTCTGGGTGCCAGCAGACTAGACCTAAGCCAGACCTCCAGCCTGGCACCAAGCACAGCCAAAATCAGCCAACCCTCACCAACCTGCAGATACATGAGTCAGAAAAAAATCTTGTCAGCTAGTAAGATTTGGGGATTACTATGCAGTATCACCACCCAACAGTTAACTAACACACTATCCAATATATATATATATATGCAGCAAATATAACAAAATTTTGTAAAACAACAATTACCCTTAAAGGATACAACGTACTCTGATAGTGCCTATTATGTTTCTTTTTTTCCCTTTTTTTCTTTTTTAATGCTGGTTGCAAACCAGAGTTTGAAAAACACTGCTCTAGAAAAATTTTCCCTTCAACACATCTGAAGGATGTAATGCATGGTGTATACCAGTGACTATGGCTCACTTACTAGCTGTGTAACCATGGGCAAACTACCTGACTTCCCTTGAGACTCAGTTTCCTAATCTGTGAAATGGAAATAATCTCATCTGGCTAACAGAGTAGTTGCAGAGATTAAATGAGATAATGCACATTAAGTGACTAGTGCAGATAAAGTCTTCAAAAAACATTAGCTTTTCTTTTTTTTTTTTTTTTTTTTTTTGAGACAGGGTCTTGCTCTGTCACCCAGCCTGGAGTGCAGTGGTGAGAACCTCCTGGGTTCAAGAGATCCTCCCTCCTCAGCCTCCAGAATAGCTGAGACCATGGGCACACCCCCACTACCCCCAGCTAATTTTTTTTTTTTTTTTTGAGACAGAGTCTCGCTCTGTCTCCAGGCTGGAGTACCGTGGCATGATCTCGGCTCATTTTAACTTCTGCCTCCCAGGTTCAAGCGATTCTCCTGCCTCAGCCTCCTGAGTAGCTGGGACTACAGGCACGTGCCTCCATGCCCAGCTAAATTTTGTATTTTTTTTAGTAGAGACCATGTTGACCAGGATGGTCTCTCTTTTTTTTTTTTTTTTTTTTTTTGAGACAGAGTCTCACTCTGTCGCCCAGGCTGGAGTGCAGTGGTGCGATCTCGGCTCACTGCAAGCTCTGCCTCCCAGGTTCACGCCATTCTCCTGCCTCAGCCTCCCGAGTAGCTGGCACTACAGGCACCCACCACCACTCCCGGCTAATTTTTTGTTTTAGTAGAGACAGGGTTTCACCGTGTTAGCCAGGACGGTCTTTATCTTTTGACCTTGTGATCCACCCGCCTTGGCCTCCCAAAGTGCTGGGATTACAGGTGTGAGCCATGGTGCCCGGCCCTACACCCAGCTAAGTTTTAAATTTTTTGTAGAGGTGTAGTCTAGCCATGTTGCCCAGGCATTTCTGTCACCTCAGCCTTTTAAAGTGCTGAGATTATAGGCATGAGCCACTGTTCCTGTGGCCTTTTATTATTATTATTTTTTGAGACAGAGTCTTGCTCTGTTGCCCAGGCTAGAGTGCAGTGGTGCAATCTTGGCTCACTGCAACCTCTGCCTCCCAGGTTCAACCGATTCTGCCGCCTCAGTCTCCCAAGCAGCTGGGACTACAGGTGTGCACCACCACGCCCAGCTAACTTTTGTATTTTTAATAGAGACAGGGTTTCACCATATTGGCCAGGCTGGTCTCAAACTCCTGACCTCGTGGATCCACCCACCTCAGGTCCCAAAGTACTGGGATTACAGGCGTGAACCACCGTGCCCAGCCGGCCTGTTTTTTTTATTTTTTTGAGACAGGGTCTCACTTGATCACCCAGGCTGGAGTGCAGTGTTGTGATCATAGCTCACTGCCACCTCAAACTTCTGGGCTCACATGATCCTCCTGCCTCAGCCTCCTCAGTAGTTAGGACTACAAGTGCATGTCGCCACACCTGGCTAATTTTTAAATTTTTTGTAGAGACAGGGTCTCACTATGTTGGCCAGGCTGGTCTCAAACTCCTGGTCCCAAGTGATCTTCCTGCCTCAGTCTCCCAAAGTATTAGGATTACAGGTGTGAACCACCATGTCCAGCCTGCTGTTATTTTTATTATTCAGAAGTTTGGTGAGGAGTAAAGGAACTAGAGCAGTTTTGGAGTTCAGGACTCGTTTCTTTTGGATGGTGAACCAGGCTGAAGTTACTGGAATGAGGCAGAGGATAGGTGAGGACACAAGATCCAGGCATTAAGCACCGTCTCTCTGCTTGGTTCTACCTACTTCACTTCCCTCCTAGGGTCTTGAAAGGACTCAGAGACCTGAGTCTGTCACTAACTCCTTCTCCAATCCTACTCTAACTTGCTCCCCTTCACGCTTCTACCCTCCCCATCTGAGCACAAGGATTAGGCCCGTCTAGGTGACAGTCAGAGGACAGCACAGGGTTGCACAGACAACAGGTGATCTTGCCTTCTTCATGCCTGCATGCTCACCTGCCCTGCAAACTGGAGAGAAGAACCAATATCCACCGGTTCATCCTGTCCAAGCCCCACCAGACTCCATGAAGGCACATGGCCCTTTCATTTTTCTCTTTTTTTTTTTGTTTTTTTTTAGACAGAGTCTCGCTGTCACCCAGGCTGGAGTGCAGTGGTGTGATCTCGGTTCACTGCAACCTACATCTCCTGGGTTCAAGCGATTCTCCTGCCTCAGCCTCCCAAGTAGCTGGGATTACAGGCGCCTGCCACCATGTCCAGCTAATTTTTATATTTTCAGTAGAGACAGGGGTTTCACCTTTTTGGCCAGGCTGGTCTCGAACTCCTGACCTCAGGTGATCCACTGGCCTCAGCCTCCCAAAGTGCTGGGATTACAGGCATGAGCCACTGCACCCGGCCTGCACACGGCCCCTTCTCATCAGCGGGGGAAAAAGGAACATCTTCCACGAGCAAGAGCAGGGAATGAATCTCAGAAACAGGTTGTAAAAAAGGCTTATTTATTGAGAGCAGCGAGTGTAAAAACAAAAACAAAAACAAAAAAACAAAACAAACAAAAAACGACAACAATAAAAGTGTGGGGTAAGGATGGCCCACCCTCCTCATCTCCAGGGCCCACCCCTACCTCCCATGCCCACCCACCCCACGCTGCAATTACATATAAAAGCCGCCCGTGGTGCATACAAAAAGGGCGGTTTATATAGTGTCAAAAGCTCCTGAAAACTCCTTCATCTGCCAGGCACTTAGGATGAGGAAAGGAGAGAAGGGTGGGGAAGACGTGGGTCTGGGTCAGTGTGCACAAGCCCAGAGTGGGGAGGACTCACTTGCTGTGTCCTCTATAATCCTGGTCTAGACCCCCAAGTGGGACCAGTGGGCCAAGAGACTCATTAACCCTGTGTGCCCAGAACTTGAGAATATTAAGGAACTCCCCACAAACCCAGCTCATCCCAAGCCTAGCCCTCCCCAGGCAAAGTTGGCAGATGAGTGGCAGAGTTGGACCCGGTCAAGGGGAGAAGTTGAAGGCCAGAAATTGGGGTTACCTGTGGCACCCACACTGTCCCTGATAGAGGAAGAGGTGGCAGGGAAAACTGCCCAGCTCAAAGCCCTAGTCGCCCAGTTTGGGTCCAAGTCAGCCTCCCAAAGGATGAGGGTGAGGAAGAGGAGGAAAGGCCAGGCCCTGCTCAGACCTCAGCAATGCCTGTTGCACTAGGGCAGGGGCCTCAGGGCCCAGGAGGACAGGGATCTTGCCCATCATGCTGTGAGCTTCCCTCTAGAGATGTCCTCCCCTGCCCAGGCCATCCTGAGCGGGCTCCCTCCTCACGGCTTGCTGTCCACGGTGCTGTCTCCCAGGGCGCTGGCAATCTCACTGAAGGAGGGCCGGTCCTTGGGGCTGAGGGCCCAGCAGCGCTGCATCAGCCGATAGAGTTTGGAAGGGCAGCCCTCGGGCTGAGGAAGTCTAGCCTTCCCAGCCTGCAAATCTGTAGGGAAGACAGCAGGTGCAGTGTTGGCCAAAACATTCAACAACTTGTTCAACACTTTGTGGACCTTGCAGTTTATACAAGCAGCCACCCAAGGATGCCTCTGGGGCAATGCTGGCCAGCGGCAGGTGGGTACCCGCAACGGAAAAAGATGACTCCCCTGGCCCCACTCACTCTGGCTGGTAGGACGGGGTCCATGCATAGGAGCTGAAGTGGGCTGGCGGACAGGCGTCAGAGTGGCTGGAGTGGGCACTGGGGGCAAAGGCTATTTACCAACCAATATAGAAGTATTGCAGTATTTTCGGCCAGGTGTGGTGGCTCACGCCTGCAATCCCAGCACTTTGGGAGGCCGAGGCGGGTGGATCACAAGGTCAGGAGTTTGAGACCAGCCTGACCAACATGGTGAAGCCCCCCCATCTCTACTAAAAATACAAAAATTAGCCAGGGAGTGGAGGTGCGTGCCTGTAATCCCAGCTACTAGGGAGTCTAAGGCAGGAGAATCGCTTGAACCCAGGAGGCAGAAGTTGCAGTGAACGGAGATCGGGCCACTGCACTCCAGTCTGGGCGACAGGGCGACACTCCGTCTCAAAAGAAAAACAAAGTATTGCAGTATTTTAACAACCAGAGTGGTTGTATCTGTGTGCCTGCTCAGTAGCAGCCCTGAGAGGGAGGTAGGCTGAACCAGCCCTGGGGCCCTGAGTAGGCCCCATCTGGGGCCCATCTGGAATCATCCCCTAGCAGCAAGGCTGCCTACCTGCCAGTACTTCATCATCTGCCTGCCCACCATGGGGCATCTCTCCATGTGTAAACACTTCCCACATCAGCACACCGAAGGCCCAGACATCAGACTTGGTAGAGAAGTCACCCTCCAGGATGGCCTCGGGGGACATCCAGCGCAGCGGCACCCAGGCCTGGCGGAAGTGGTAGTACTCACTGCAGGAGAGAAGCAACCCAGGGGTGAGGTGGGGTGGGAGCGTGGCCTGGCGCTGCACCCTCATCTCCCCATCTGGAACGCATCCCCAAGCCGGGGGCCCAGCCTTTCTACATACAGACATCAAGAAATTGGTCACATGCGTGCTGAGCATGGGAGTACACTAGACAAAATCTGGAGGTAACCACACGAGAGGTTTGATGGTTAAAAAATTTCCATTAAGAATCAAACTTTGCCTAAATGTTAACAGAAAAGTTAATAGTCATACATACTTTCTATATTGGTTGTAAAAATGTAAAAACTAAGAACTGTTAAATGGAAAGAGCTTTATTAGTGATAAACCAATCCTCACTACAGCTATAGTCAGACAAATGGGGGTGACCTGGAACCAGAGGGACTCAGGGTGATGTTCCCGGCAGCGCTGCAGAGCCCTCGTAGGCTGTCTAGAGCAAGCTCTGGCATGGGTGCTGAGGCATAAGTCTCAGACTTCAAAATAATAATGACTGAATTCAGGAAGTTACAGAGAGAGCCATATAAATAGATTATATATAAATCCTTATCAAATTTGCCTATTTTTTAAAAAAGGTTTATTTATTTATTTAATCGCTAGAGACATTTTACAACCACCAAGGGTGTGCACTGGGTGGGAAGCCTGCTGCACCCTTGGAAAAAGGATGAGAAAGCTCTTCCCTATCCCAGGCCCTCCAGCTTTGGACTAAGCAGGCACTAAACCCTTTCCCACACCCCCCAAACTATCTGTCCTCTGCCCCTCACCCTCTGGGAAAAAATGGGGAGCCCCCACCCCACGCATGCCCTTCTACCTGTTGTACACATCCTTGCTGAGGCCCAGGGCAGACACCTTCACTTGTCTCTGGGCACTGACCAGGCAGTTACGCGCAGCCAAGTCCTTATGCACAAAGCGGTTGTTGGACAGGTGCTCCATGCCCAGGGCTACCTGGGTGCATAGGGCCACCTGGAGAGATAAAGGGGCCTGTTAGAGCAGCCCAGGAATAGGCATCAAGATGACCACCCTCAACACAACCCTTGGTAGCGTTTCAACACTATTGGTGTGCTGCGTAGGAAGCCCAGAAGCACAACAGCCTCAGCTTCCTTCTCTGTAAAATGGGGATAATAACAGTACCTGCCTTCCTGGGTTGTTAGAAGACTGAACTAAGCAAACTAAAGTGCCTGACACCATGCTGACACACAGCAAGTGCCAGATTAAGTGAGTGGCACATGGGCCTAAGGGCACATACATAGTAACCACTTGTCCAGTGAAAAATAAGTGGGCAGAAATCATAGCTGATATTTTTTATTTTCAAGTGACAGGGTCTTGCTCTGTCACCCAGGCTAGAGTGCAGTGACATGATCACAGCTCACTGCAGCCTCTAAACTCCTGGGCTCAAGCAATCCTCCCACCTCAGCCTTCCAAGTAGCTAGGACTATAGCTGTGCATCACCATGCCCAGCTTACTTTTTTTTTTTTTCTTTTGAGACGGAGTCTTGCTCTGTTGCCCAGGCTGGAGTGCAGTGGCATGATCTCGGCTCACTTCAAGCTCTGCCTCCCGGGTTCACGCCATTCTCCTGACTCAGCCTCCCGAGTAGCTGGGATTACAGGTGCCTGCCACTACGCCCAGCTAATTTTTTTGTATTTTTAGTAGAGACGAGGTTTCACCATGTTAGCCAGGATGGTCTCGATCTCCTGACCTTGTGATCCGCCCGCCTCGGCCTTCCAAAGTGCTGGGATTACAGGCATGAGCCACTGCGCCCAGCCCCCAGCTTACTTTTTAATTAAAAAAAAAAATTCTTTACCAAGGCAGGTGGATCACCTGAGATTGGGAGTTCGAGACCAGCCTGATCAACGTGGATAAACCCAGCACTACTAAAAATACAAAAATTAGCTGGGTGTGGTGGCACATGCCTATAATCCCAGCTACTGGGGAGGCTGAGGCAGAAGAATCGCTTGAACCCAGCAGGCGGAGGTTGTGGTGAGCCGAGATTGCGCCATTGCACTCCAGCCTGGGCAATAAGAGCAAAACTCCATCTCAAAAAATATATATATATATTTCTTTGGTAGAGACGGTGTCTAGCTACGTTGCCCAGGCTGGTCTCAAATATCTAACCTCAAGCGATCCTCCTGCCTTAGCTTCCCAAAGCACTGGGATTTCAGGTGAGTGGCACCATGCCTGATCTTAGATGATATCTTTATGGGTTGTTTCTTTTTCATTTTACTTCAAAAGTCTATCTTTTCTACTAGTTGTGTTAAAAATATGTGTGTGTATGCTGGGCATGGTGACTCATGCCTGTAATCCCAGCACTTTGGGAGGCTGAGGCAGGAGGACTGCTTAACCTCAGGAGTTTGTGACCAGTCTGGGCAACATAGTGAGACTCTATTAAAAAAAAAAAAAAAAAAAGAAAAAAAAAAATATATATATATATATATATATATATATATATATATATAGCGTGTGTGTCTGTGTGTGTGCACGCACGTGTGTGTATGTGTTAAGGCATATAGACCCATATGACTGGCTGCCTCCAAGGAACGGAACTGGAGGCTAGAAGGTAGAAAGGTAAGAAAACTTCTGGCTTACATTTTTTTGTGGGAAAAAAAAAAAAAAACCACAATCCAACAATGCTAGCACTCAAGAGTTCCTTCCCAACCATATGTTCTCCCTCCCCTCAAGGAGTAACCACTACCCTGACTTTTGTGATAATTTCTTTCTTGTTCTTTGTAGTTTACCACTTACATGTTCCTAGATAATATAATTCCATTTTGCCTGTTTCAGAGCCAGATTAAAACTGGAAGCACACAAAATGTATACTCTTTTGTGCCTGGATTTTTTTTTTTTTTCACAACATTGTAAGATTCTTTTGTTTGTTTGCTTGTTTTGAGACCAAGTCTCGCTCTTGTCACCCACGCTGGAGGGCAGTGGTGCGATCTCGGCTCACTGCAAACTCCACCCCGCTGGGTTCAAGTGATTCTCCTGCCTCAGCCTCCCAAGTAGCTGGGATTACAGGCGCGCACTACCACGCCTAGCTAATTTTTGTATTTTCAGTAGAGATGGGGTTTCATCATGTTGGCCAGGATGGTCTCGATCTCGTCCTCATGATCCACCCTCCTCAGCCTCCCAAGTGCTGGGATTACAGACATGAGCCACTGTGCCCGGCCTTTATTTTTTGAGATAGGGTCTCACTCTGTCACCCAGGCTGGAGTACAGTGATGGTGATCACGGTTCACTGCAGCCTCGCCCTCCTGGACTCAAGTGATCCTCCCAACTCAGCCTCCTGTGTAGCTGGGACAAAAATGTGTACCATCAATCCCAGCCTTTTTTATTTTTGTATTTTTTTGTAGAGACGGGGGTCTCCTTATGTTGCTCAGGCTGGTCTCAAACTCCTGGGATCAAGCAATCCTTCCATCTCTGCCTCCCAAACTGCTGGGATCACAGGTGTGAGCCACTGGGCCAGCCAGGTTAATTTTTTTAAATCACTGGACATGGTCTGTTTTTCATTATAAACATCTCATATTTTAATTCTTTTTTTTTTTTTTTTTTTTTTTTTTGAGACAGGGTATTGCTCTGTCACCCAGGCTGGAGTACAGTGGCATGACCTCAGCTCACTGCAACCTCTGCCTCCCAAGTTCCAGTGACTCTCGTGCCTCAGCCTCCCAAGCAGCTGGGATTACAGGTGCCCACCATGACACCCAGCTAATTTTTGTATTTTTAGTAGAGATGGGGTTTCACCACATTGGTCAGGCTGGTCTTGAATTCCTGACCTCAAGTGATCAGCCTGCCTCAGCCTCCCAAAGTGCTGGGATTACAGGCGTGAGCCACCACGCCTGGCCTCATACTTTAATTCTAATGCCAATGGGTTGTTTCCAGTTTGGGGCTATTAAGAACAGCGTTATTATGAACACTTTTATAAGTGTACACATGTATGAGTTTCTCTAAGATACCTAAGACGAAGTCTAGAATATGAATATCTCTAGCTATACAAAATAATGCCCAACTCTTTTCCAAAGTGAAAGAGTTGGGGAGATTTTTCATTCATTAATACTCTTTTTAGAATTTTGAGCCAATGTGAATATATTATATTATACACTATATATGAAACGTAACTAAATTACATTAACTTTTTTTTTTTTTGATGGAGTCTTGTTCTGTTGCCAGGCTGGAGTGCAGTGGCCTGATCTCGGCTCACTGCAACCTCCACTCCGCCTCCCGGGTTCAAGCGATTCTCCTGCCTCAACCTCCCGAGTAGCTGGGTTTACAGGCACATACCACCACGCCCAGCTAACTTTTGTATTTTTTCTAGTAGAAACGAAGTTTCACCATGTTGGCCAGGCTGGTCTCGAACCCCTAACCTCGTGATCCACCTGCCTCGGCTCCCAAAGCACTGGGATTACAGGCATGAGCCACCACACCCAGCCACATTAACATTTTAAAAGTATGTATTAATGCACTGAACAAATATAAATTGAAGCCAGGCACCTGTAGTCCCAGCTACTCAAGAGGGTGGGGTAGGAGAATTGCTTGAGCCCAGGAGTTCAAAGCCAGCCTGGGCAACATTGTGAGATCCTATCTCTTTAAAAAAAAAAAAATTTGAGTATCTACCACGTGCCATATACAGTGGATGTTGGTGGAATATAACAGGGCTGGCCAAAGCAGGGCTCTTGATGGGGGGCTGCAGCCAGGTTACTTGGTGCAAATAAGAAACCACCCATTCACAGAGAAGGGGAAGGGCCATTTGGTGAGCACCTGCTGTGTGCCACACCCCAAACAAGGCTGGTTGCCTCTCTCCACACATGCACTGTGAGGCAGGGCCCAGCCTTGGCTTCATTGAGGGGCCCATGGTGAGGCTAGTGCCAAAGGCTGGCTCTTCCCTACCACTGCAGCCGCCTCTCTGAATCACATCACTGCTGATGGACTGTCTGCCCACCAGTGGGCACAGAGGTTGGGCTGCTGGCTACTGAGCTGGCCCTTCAGCATCCCTGGCTAGCTCAGAGCAGCTTCCCCGCCTGGCTCCCAGAGGTCACAAGAAGGCCAGCAGAGGTGCCAAGCCCGAGCGCTAGGAGAGGGGACACTCCAAAGACATCTCTTCTCAGTTTTCTTGGGCAGTGGCCAGTGACATCCCTGTGAGCCCCACTGCCTCTACTGGTGCTTTGCTAACTATGGTCACAATCTCTATGTCATGAAACCAATTTAGGGAATCTTAGCCAGCATTAAAGAAAAAAAAAGGGAATAGAAAATAGAGTGCATCACACTTAGTAAGAGCATCATTCATGAAATGTTTTCATTTTAAAAATATATACATATGTGTGTATTGGGTTGTGATGCAAACTGTACTTTTTGCCCAGTCAAAAAGTTTTTTAAAAACAATGGTCTATATCTGTGCTGTCCTATACAGTAGGCACTATCCCCATGTGGCTATTTAAATTTAATTAAAACTTTTTTTTTTTTGAGACAGGGTGCCTGTTGCCCAGGCTGGAGTGCAGTGGTGCAATCACAGTTCACTGTATCTTCAACCTCCCAGGCTCAAGTGATCCTCCCACCTCAGCCTCCCTAGTAGTTGGGACTATTGGCATATACCACCATGCTAATTTTATTTATTTATTTATTTATTTATTTAGAGACTGAGTCTTGCTCTGTCACCCAGGCTGGAGTGCAGTGGCGCTATCTCGGCTCACTGCAACCTCTGCCTCCCGGGTTCCAGTGATCCTCCTGTATCAGCCTTCTATGTAGCTGGAATTACAGGTGCCCACCACCATGCACGGCTAATTTTTTTATTTTTAGTAGAAACGGGGTTTCACCATTTTGGCCAGGCTGGTCTTGAACTGCCATTAAGTGATCCACCTGCCTCGGCCTCCCAAAGTGCTGGATTACAGGCATGAGGCACCACGCCCAGCCTATTTTTATTTTTTAGAGACAGAGTCTCACTTTGTTGCCTAGGCTGGTCTCAAACTCCTGGCCCAAGCAATCCTTCCACCTTGGCCTCCCAAAGTGCTGCGATTACAGGTATGAGGCACTGCACCTGGCTTTAAGTTAATTAAAACTCAGTAACATTTAAAATTCAATTCTGTTTAGCGCAGTAGCTATTGCTGGCCTGTAATTCCAGCGGTTTAAGAAGCTGATGTGGGAGGATTGCTTGAGCCTAGGAGTTTGAGACCAGCCTGGGCAACATAGTGAGACCCCATTCTCTAAAGAACATTTAAAAATTAGCCAGGTGTGGTGGTGGGTGCCTGTAGTCTCAGCTACTTGGGAGGCTGAAGTGAGAGGATCACTTGAGCTCCACAGGTCGAGGCTGCAGTGAGCCATGATTGCACCACTGCATTCCAGCCTGGGTGACAGAATGAGACTCTGTCTCAAAAAATAAAATACAGGCCGGGTGTGGTGGCTCATGCCTGTAATCCCAGCACTTTGGGAGGCCAAGGCAGGCAGATCACAAGGTCAGGAGATCGAGACCATCCTGCCTAACGCACAGTGAAACCCTCTCTCTATTAAAAATACAAAAAAATTAGCCAGGCATGGTGGCGGGCGCCTGTAGTCCCAGCTACTCGGGAGGCTGAGGCAGGATAATGGCATGAACCTGGCAGGCAGAGCTTGCAGTGAGCCGAAATCATGCCACTGCACTCCAGCCTGGGTGACAGAGAGAGACTCCATCTCAAAATAAATAAATAAATAAATAAAATACATTAAATAAAACTCAGTCCGGGCGTGGTGGCTCACACTTGTAATCCCAGCACTTTGGGACGCCGAGGCAGGCGGATCACTTGAGGTCAGGAGTTCGAGACCAGCCTGGCCAATGTGGTGAAACCCCATCTCTACTAAAAATACAAAAATTAGCCAGGTGTGGTGGCACGCACCTGTAATCCCAGCTACTCAGGGGGCCGAGGCAGGAGAATCATTTGAACCTGGGAGGCGGAGGCTACAGTGAGCCGAGGTCCTGCCACTGCACTTCAGCCTGGTCGACAGGGTAAGACTCTGTCTCTAAAGAATACATAACATAACATAACATAACATAACATAACATAACATAACATAACATAACATAACATAAATAAAATAAAATTCAGTTCTTCTGTTGCTCTAGCCAAATTCCAAGTGTACAGTTGCTATATGAAGCTAGTGACAACTATATTGACCAGCACAGAAATGGAACATTCCCATCATCGTCCTGATCAGTGCTGCCTGAGGCTCTAACAGGCAGTGCATTAATGCAGAGGTGCTAAATGAATGATGTAATTAGAGTTGGGAAAAACCTCATCCAGACGGAGTCTCACTCTGTCGCCCAGGCGGGAGTGCAGTGGCAGTCTCAGCTCTCCGCAACCTCCGCCTCCCAAGTTCAAGCAATTCTTGTGCCTCAGCCTCCCAAGTAGCAGGACTACAGGCATGCGCCACCACGCCCGGCTAATTTTTGTATTTTTAGTAGAGACAGGGTTTCACCATGTTGGCCAGGCTGGTCTCAAACTGATGGTGAATGATCTGCCTGCCTCGGCCTCCCAAAGTGCTGGGATTACAGGCGTGAGCCACTGTGCCTGGCTGCTTTGGTACATTTCTTTATCAACAGTGAAGACATAAAATCTCAGGATAGCTTTCAACTAAATGTGTAACCAGTGAGGAAGGTTAAAGAAGAGGGCGGGTGGGCTGGGCGCAGTGGCTCACGTCTTTGAGCGGTGGCTCACTTTGGGAGGCCGAGGCGGGTGGATCACAAGGTCAGGAAATCGAGACCATCCTGGCTAACATGATGAAACCCCGTCTCTACTAAAAAAAATACAAAAAATTAGTCGGGCTTTGTGGTGGGTGCCTGTAGTCCCAGCTACTCGGGAGGTTCAGGCAGGTGAATGGCGTGAACCCGGGAGGCGGAGCTTGCAGTGAGCCGAGATCCCGCCACTGCACTCCAGCCTGGGCGACAGAGCGAGACTGCCTCAAATAAAAAAAAAGGCGGGGGGCGGGGGGGCTGGGCGCGGTGGCTCACGCCTGTAATCCCAGCACTTTGGGAGGCCGAGGCGGGCGGATCACGAGGTCAGGAGATTGTGTCCATCCTGGCCAACTTGGTCAAACCCCGTCTCCACTAAAAATACAAAAAAATTAGCCGGGCATGGTGGCGGGCGCCTGTAGTCCCAGCTACTCTACTCGGGAGGCTGAGGCAGGATAATGGCGTCAACCCGGGAGGCGGAGCTTGCAGTGAGCCGAGATCGCGCCACCACACTCCAGCCTGGCGACGGAGTGAGACTCCGTCTCCGAAAAAAAAAAAAAACAAAAAACAAACAAAAAAACGGGGCTTGGGCGCGGTGCCTCACGCCTGTAATCCCAGCACTTTGGGAGGCTGAGGCGGGCGGATCACGAGGACAGGAGATTGAGACCATCTTGGCTAACACGGTGAAACCCCACCTCTACTAAAAATACAAAAAAATTGGCCGGGCGTGGTAGTGGGCGCCTGTGGTCCCAGCTACTCGGGAGGCTGAGGCAGGAGAATGGCGTGAACCCGGGAGGCGGAGCTTGCAGTGAGCAGAGATCACTGCCACTGCACTCCAGCTTGGGCGACAGAGCGAGACTCGGTCTCAAGAAAAAAAAAAAAAAGAAGGCAGGTGGATGGCATGTCAGGATTACTGGGCCTCTCTTCTCTGGGTACAGGGAAGTACACTGGGGTTTCCATGAAAAAGCAGAGTCTGGCTGGGCACAGTGGCTCACACCTATATTCCCAGCACTCTGGGAGACCAAGGTGGGTGGATCACAAGGTCAGGAGTTCAAGACCAGCCTGGCCAATATGGTGAAACCTCATCCCTGCTAAAAATACAAAAATTAGTTGGGTGTGGTGGCGGGCTCCTGTAATCCCAGCTACTCGGGAGGCTAAGGCAGGAGAATCGCTTGAAGAGCGATCCCAGCTACTTGGGAGGCGGAGGCTGCAGTGAGCCGAGATGGTGCCACTGCAACCCAGCCTGAGTGACAGAGACAGAGCGAGACTCTGTCTCGGGAAAAAAAAAAAAAAAAAAAAAAAAAAAAAGCTGAGTCTACATCCCTAAAATAACCCCTGCAGCACCGTCCTCAGAATGCCTCAGGTGCACTGGTGGTAAAGGGGCCAGGCTGCTTCAGTGGCCATCATAAACAGAGCCAACTCCACTTCAGGCTTCAAAATCCCAGGGCATTGTCCAACCTTGCTTGATTCTCTGTAAGCGGCAGGCAAAGGTTTTGGTAACGTGCCCTCATCAGACTTGTGAGTCCCCTTGGCCTGCTCTCTCTGATCTGGCTCACAAGTTAAACAATCTGCTGCTAGTCAAGGTAAACAGAAGAAGGTGGACTTGGCATGGTAACTGACTTGCTATCTTTCCAGAGAGGTGGTGCTTCCGGAAAGCAAGGGCAGTAAAAGGGAATTCTGTTAGACTCAAGCCAATTCGGTGTTTCCTTTATGCTGGGCAAGATGCCATCAGATAGCCACTGGAGTAATTCTCAAATACTGTTATAAAAGACCCGTTCTTTGGTAAAGATCAGACCCACTCCTTCCTTTCCAATTTTAACACCCCAGGGGTTTGCCCATGTTCTGGCTAACCCACTGTGATGCTATGAGATCTCACAAGAGGCCTTCTGTTTCCTGCCACGGCATCTGACTGCATAAAGCATGGTCCACCAGGTGTGCTAAGCTGATCCTGCTTCTCATCACATCATTAGTTCACAAGTGATCCATGAAGCAATCACAGATTACAGCTCTCTGATATCATCTTATCAGCTACTCTAAAAGGCATTACCTACCATTATGCCAACACCCAGGACCCATGTCTTTGATTTCTGTCACTAACTCACTGCTCTCTTAAAATCCTCCTGAGGCTCCCCTCAGCCCACTCACACCCAATATGGCACTTTGGTGCCAACTCTAGCTGGCCAGGGAACACCCTGCCTACCACTCCACCTCCCTAGAATACTTAAGTTCAAGACCAGCCTGGACAACATGGCGAGACCCCCATTTCTACAAAAAATAAAAATAAATAAAAAGAGGACAGGATAGAAAACATCAAGTGCATCAAACACAACATTGTGAAAGTTTAATTTTAGTTATATGAGCCTGCACACCAGATCATGAGTAAAATGCATTTCTTTTTTGTTGTTGCTAAGTGATGCAGGTCTTGCTATGTCACTCAGGCTGGCCTCACTCCTGGGCCCAAGGGATCCTCTGGCCTCAGCCTTCCAAGTAGCTGGGATTACAGGCACATACTGCTGCACCAGCTTAAAATGCATTTCCTAAAAGGGATTATAATCAAAAAGCATTTCAAAGCTACTAGTCTCCACCAGGGCTCCTTGAACTTTAATGAGCTTAGGAATCAGCTGGAGAGCTTGTTTGAAAAATTCACATCTTTAGACCTCACTCTCAAATACTCTAATTCCCTCATTCTGAGTCATGGTCCAGAAATCTTTTTTTTTTCTTTTGAGACAGGGTTTGACTCCTGTTGCCCAGGCTGGAGTGCAGTGGCAAGATCTCAGCTCACTGCAACCTCTGCCTCCCAGGCTCAAGCGATTCTCCTGCCTCAGCCTCCCGAGTAGCTGGAATTATATGCACGTGACACCATGCCCAGGTACTTTTTGTATTTTTAGTAGAGATGGGGTTTCCCCACGTTGGCCAGGCTGGTCTCAAACTCCTGGCCTCAAGTGATCTTCCCGCCTCAGCCTCCCGAAGTGCTGGGATTTCAGGTATGAGCCACTGTGCCTGGCCTGCATTTCTTTTTTTTTTTTTTTTTTTTTTGAGACAAAGTCTTGCTCTTGTCTCCCAGGCTGGAGTGCAATGGCACGATCTTGGCTCACTGCAACCTCCATCTCCCGGGTTCAAGTGATTCTCCTGCCTCAGCCTCCCGAGTAGCTTGGATTACAGGCACCTACCACCACACCTGGCTAATTTTTGTATTTTTAGTAGAGACGGGGTTTCACCATGTTGGCCAGGCTGGTCTCGTACTCCTGACCTCGTGATCTGCCCGCCTCGGCCTCCCAAAGTGCTGGGATTACAGGTGTGAGCCACTGAGCCCTGCCTGTTTTTTTTAAAAGCATCCTCTCTATGTAACGCAGAGTATGGTCCTTGGAGAGTGTAGAACCCAACTTATTAAAGTTCCCCCATCATATTTAAGACACTATGGCAAAAAAGTGTGAAAAAGATATTTAGCAAAGATGGTGATGACTTGCAGTCAAATAGAGTCCCTTAGGTCACATGAGAAAGGTAACTGACTTCCTGTCAGCCTATGTCTCATCCCAGCCAGAGAATCCCACCTTGACTCCCCTGACTCTTGAAGCCATCCCCTTTCTGCCATTCAACTACATCCTGTCCTTGTGAACTAAACTCAAATGGTTTTCTCTACTAGGAAGACTTCTTTGTTAACCACAACCATCTGTCCACCTACAGGACATGGGTGTCTTCAACATCTCTTAATGCCTCCCACTTGCTTTCTGTTTTACCTCAAGTCTGTAAGGCACAGGTCATACTCATGTACCTAATCTCCTCACTAGATCATAAGTGCCCCAAGGGCAAGATGCCTGTCCTTTCCCCCCCTCCCCTCCCTTTGAGACAGGATCGTGCTCTGTTGCCCAGGCTGGAGTGCAGTGGTGTAATCATGGCTCACCGCAGCCTCGACCTCCTGGGCTCCAATGATTCTTCCTCCTCAGCCTCACAAGTAGCTGGGACTACAGGCATGCCCCCACGCCCGGTTAACTTTTTTTTATTTTTTGTAGAGACAGGGTCTTACTATGTTGCCCAGGCTGGTCTCAAACTCCTGAGCTGAAGCAATCCTCCTGCCTTAGCCTCCCACCGCACCTAGCTGATGCCTGTCTGTTTTAATTTTGCATTCCCAAGGGCCCCTGGGGCCACACCTGGCTCAGTGAGGAGTCACTGGCTCTGTGAGTGTCCTAATTTGTGAGCTCTTTAGTCCTGAAATCTCACTTAGCTGGTGTAGCAAGTCCCATCCTGTGGCTTCTCCTCTACAGCCACTATACACAGTTCCTGCAGTTTCATGGGGAAGGAGGTAGGGGTGTGGTGTCAGGTGGCCAGGTCACTTGTCCTGTCTGGGTCTTAGTAAATTCACATGTAATAAGAGGGGGCCAGCCTGAAGGGCACAGAGCTGCTTCCCCAGAGAGATTGGGGGCAGCCAGGGTCCCATTCACCTGATTCATCTGCCAGCCATGCCTTTCTGCTCTGCCTCCAGAGTCTGTGACCTGGGACAGCCTAGCAGGCAAGGAATGGTCCCCTGGGAGAAAGGGCAGAGCCTTCTGCCTACCCTGCCCTGAGCTCTGATTTGGTTTATGAGGTCACTTCACTGCCAGCTTGGAAGCAGACTCTCCAGTCACATGGAAGGAAGTAGATCCATTTCAGAGGGGAGAGGAGGCAGCTGTGGGCAAGAAGAACCTGAGGGAAGGAAGAAGGGGCCGGGCCACAGCAAGCCCCAGGCACTGGAAAGGTATGGACTGAGGTGGCAGGGGGTAGCAGGCAAGCTTTCCCTTCTTCACTGTTTCAACCAAGGTCTGCTCTACCACAGGGGCCCCAGCCAGGGCTCTGTGCCCAGAACAACCTCTGCGCAAAAGGCAGGAGGAAAACTGGAATGAAAGGCTGGGCAGCTACAGCCCAAGGGAGAGGACAAGATGCAAACCACAGAGGGGGAAACCCAGGCAGCCCATTCACAGAAGAGTCTTCTCCACTCAGAGCTGAAGAAACACGCTCAGGCCCACAGCTAGCCCAGCAGGCCCCTGCACTAGGACTGCTTGCTGCTTCTCCAGCTCAGAGCTCATTGCAGGTGGGCAGGCGTCCTGCTCCAATGCAAGCTCCTGCCCAGAGGCAAGGTCCGAGGGTAGCTCTTCTCCGTGAAGCCAGCATGGCAATGCAAAGCCACTTCCAGGCTACATGACCTGGGACAGGTCAGACAACCTCCTAAGCCTCAATGTCTTCATCCACAAAATGGGGATAGTAGTATATATTTCAGACGACTACCGTGATAATTACAGTAACACATGTGAAGTTCTTACCATAGGGCCTGGCCCATAGAGAGCCCTCAATAAATGGTGCCTCTGTTGCTCCTGGCCCACCCCTGGGCACCCTCTCCCTCCCTCCTTCACTCCCTGTCCTCACCTTCTGCTTGGTGCTGAGGGGCTGTGACTTCAATTTTTCATCCTTGCTCTTGGAAATCCTCAGGAACTGCTTGAGGTCTCCCTAAGGGAAAAGCCAGGCATCTCGCTCAGGTCAGTGCACAGCCATTGGCTGTAAAGCCTCAGACCAAGCAGGTGCTCGCAGAATTCCTGCCTGGGGAGGCAGTGAGAAGGCCTAAGCTAGCCTGGGCCCCTTTCCCAGGGGGAAGTTCACTGGGAGTGCAGAACTTTAAAAATATATAGGAGACGCCTCCTAGAGGCTGTCTCAGTTAGAAAGGAGGAGAATTGGCATTTCTACCCCAAGGGGAACCTCCAGACAGGTGGGGCAACAGAGCCCCCATCTTCAGTGAGCCAAGAGGAAAACAGTCCCCTACCCTCTGCCCTCAAAGATTCCTGAGAGGAAACCCCTGTCCTCCAGAGCTTTACAATCTAATCTAAACAAACAAAGGAGAACGCCAGCAGCAGAAACATACATAAAGCATTCATAAGTACTTGTTTGTTTGTTTTTAATTTTTTTGTAGAGACAGAGTCTTGCTATGTTGCCCAGGCTGGTCTCGGACTCCTGGCCTCAGGCGATCCTCCTGCCTCAGTCTCCCAAAGTGCTGGGATTACAAGTGTGAGCCACTGTGCCCAGCCGCGTAAGTACTTGTTAATGGAAAGACTGATAGGACTCCTGCCCGCTCTTGCCCCAGAACTAGGGATTTGAGAAGCAGCAGTTTGAGGACCATGGGGTGAGGGCAAGGACCAGCTGGGGAATGAAGAGGAAGGCGCAGCTCTGGGAATGACACCCTGAGTGGAGAGGAGAAGGCTGGTGGCTGGGGTAACACTCATGTCACAAGTGGTGCTAGGAAGGAGGGAGGCAAAGTGGGTTCTGATATATTTATTCTCAAGTGGGGACAAGCTTTTGGGGAGGAAAAAATAACAAACCAAAGAAAACAAGAGTCAGAGAAGATGACCTGGAAGGCATCCCTGCAGTGTGACAGTGAGAAGTCCCAGAAAAACTTAGGACCAACGCCCCTGAGATACAGATGGAAAGACTGGGTGCTGATAAAGGGAAAGCAGGCATCCAAGAGCAGGGAAGGCAGAAGCTGAGCATCATAAGGTGGGCAAAGTGTAACAGCAGGCAGGTGAGGTCTCGGCTGAGACTGCACGAGACAAGGTTTTCACGGTGCTCCAACCACTGACTCCCACCTTTGTAGGACACTGCCCTCCCTACCCGAGACCCCCACGTCCCCTGCCAACAGCATACCAGATCCACATATTCCAGCACCATGTAGTGGGGCTCAGCCTCCCGGCACAGCCCCAGGAGCCGCACCACGTTGGCGTGGTTCAGCTTCCCAAACATCTCCAACTCCCTCCGGAAGTCCAGCTGCTGCTGCTCATCCTTGCTCTGCAGGCTCTTCACAAGTACCAGGGTCTCTGCCACTCCCTCCTCCAAGCCCTGAGCCTTTGCCAGGAACACCTCCCCAAACTCACTCTTCCCTGTGGGTACAGTCTGAGTCAGCCAGCCACCTTCACCCAGGCCGAGGCAGCTCCTGACCTGGGGGAGGGGCCTAGCCTCTCCCACAGTGGGGACCCACCCACCTGGGCTGGGCACGAGACCCGGTTCTGCTGTGACCCCCTCCCTCCTTAGGCTTCAGTGTCTGCAGCAACAAAATAAAAGGGTGGGACTAATATTCAGCATTTTCCAAAGGGTGACTCGCATGAGAATTTTTGGTGGCTCATGGTAAACATGTCTTAACGTATGCTAGGAAAAAACGTAACTATGACAAACCCATGATTTCTCATATTTTTTCCTAGAACAATGGTAACTTAGTTTTTTTTTTTAAAGAGTCAATTTAAATAAAACATCAAGTAAATAATACTACAGGTAGTACACAGGAATGACAAAATCTGCACGAAGGGCAGTGAATAACAGGCTCTGGGGCCACACTGGGCTAGATCTCTACCTATGCTTCCCTCCACCTCTAACATTCTAGGTTTCAGGGACTTCAGAACACTAGCCCGTACCCAGCCTCAAGACACAGCGGGTGACTTGTAGTTAGGCAGGGGCAGCTGTAGTCAAGGCAACATACCCAGCGTGGTGATGGGCTGCAGGCTAGACCGTGGGAAGTGCATCTTATCACTTGTGCTGTGGCGTTTGTTGGTGGCCGCGGGGCCGGAGCCCAAGCTGGTCAAGGCCACTTCTTCTTGGATCTCTGCTGAGGGCTGCCCGTTCTGCAAAGGCCCACCTGGGAAGGAGGAGGACAAGAGCGTCACGATGAGACCTGACACTCTGGCCACCATGGGGATTTCTGTTCTGTCCCCTGGTCTTCCACTCTTGCCAACTTGGGTCCAATCACAGTGCTCCACATGAAAGGGCAAGCCCAAATGATGAAATAATGGGGCTGGGGCTGGGTGGGGGATGTATGGCTATCCCCTAGGGTATGACCCCTTAGTGATGCAGCTGATTATGACCTCTGAGATGAAGCCAACTGCAGACATCTAATCTGAATCACTGGTCCTTAATACCATAGCTACACATAAGGATTTTTGCTTTCATGGGGCCTCCTATTGGGCAAAGCCCTAAACAGGCACAAAGGGAAAATCACAATAATGGAGACCCAACCTCTGCTCCTGAACACCTGAGCTGATAGGAGAGACCCAGCAATGACCTCAAGGAGCTCCCAGTCCAGGAAGTGGGGATAGGAGAAGGGAAGTAAACAGAAAGACTGCCCCTGGGGGAGCTCTTAGACTCATAGAGGGAGACAAGACATGCAACAGCAACGTGTGTACATATACTAATGATATCTGTGGTTTTGTGCTGGGAGGAGGAAACAGCAGGGAATCATAGGAAGCTGGTCCAAGGGGCTCCAATGAAGAAGTCTCAAGCCAGGTTGCTCAGAAGACGAGGCCCTGGGAATCCAACTCCAGGCTTCCCGCTAGGGGTGGGGCAGTCCCAGCTCCAGGACCCAGCAACAGCCGCTCGGTTTCCAGAGTGCTGGCGCTCTCCCCTCCGTGGCCGCGGGAGGGCGCTCAGCTCCCGCACACGGGCACCACCTCCCCGTCCAGGGCCCCTCACCGTTGAGGCATTCCATCTCTGGCTCCTCGCCCTCGGGCTGCTTCTGCAGCCGCTTGGCTTTGCAGCGCTTCTTGCAGTAGAACATGAGGCCCAGCACGGCAATGATGTAGGCCACAGCGGCACCCACCGACAACCCAATGGTCTGGATCATCTTGTAGGGGGGAGGGCTGCCAGGGCCCTCCGACTCCTCCGGCACAGGCTTGTCTGAGAGACACACAGATGGGTCTGGGCAGGGGCTGCTAAGCAAAAGAAGCCCTGCTTCTCTACTAACTCCTCCCAACCCCATCAACAGGGCAACTTAACAGATGGCCCGGGAGGGTCACCACCTTCACTGGCTTTAACAAGGGCCAGCAGGTCCTCATGCCCCACCAAGGTCAAACGAAGACTCTGAAGGAGATGAGGCCAGGGGTTCCCAAGCTGGCTTTGCATCGGAAGCCAAGACAGGCGACACGGATAAGCACACCTGTCAAGGAGCTACCACAAACCCACGTTATTTGTTAAGCTTCCCAAGTGACTTGATAATGTGAGCCAGGCCCCGGAGAGCAGCATTTGGGAGCTTCAGGTTTAGAATTCCAGGCACTGCCTGGCACAGAGCAGGTTTTTCAATAAGCAGATCTGTAGAAGGGATCTGCTGGTCTAGGGGCCTTTTAATGGCCCACACTGAGGGGCCTCAAGAGGCATTAGGGGAATGAAGGGAGACCATGCAGGATCCCCCAACTGCCACACACACCCCAGTGGCTCCCACCAAGGGGGCCTCCTCAGTTCATTTTCATCCATTTAAACTTTCACATTATACTTTGTCTAGAAAAATAACTCTGCTGCCAAACCAAGAAAGTTTAAGAGCTTCTCATTTAAACCACTTTCACCTGTGGATGCAGAAACAAGTCCCCAGAGGAGAAATAAGTCTCCCAGGGGCAGAGAGTTAAGTGCAGGGCCTTTTACCTGACCCATCATCCTCTCTGGGCCTCCTGGAGAAAAGAACCTTGTCCTACTGCATTCTGACCTGGTCCTCCTCCCCAGCCACCCAGAGATATGTGTGGCTGCTGCAGGAACCTGGGAGGCAGCATTGTAGGAAGAGAACACCCCCCCACTCCCCCACAACACACACACACACACACCGACCGTTGGATGTTAAATAAACGACAGCCCGGCTCTGAGCAAGGACTCTAAGACTGTGCAGCAGCATGGTGAGACGGCCGAATCCCCACCGCTGCCACAAAAATGGCTTCTGTGCCATGTTCTGTACACAGGGGCTGAGTACAAGGTGACAAACGTCTGGGCCCACCACTTCCTGTGCAGCATAACCCTCCCCAGCCCATACCCACGACATAGAGGGGGGCCTCCGTGTGCTTGATGTTGCAGCTGTTGCCTGCAATGCAGGTGTAGCGGCCTGAGTCCTCAGGGGCCACGTCATGGATCACCAGGGAGCCATTCTGGAAGATGTGCATCCTGTCGGGGGAGAAGCCATAGTGCTGGCCAGCTCGCAGGGAGGGGGGCTGCAGGAGAGGAGGGACGGGTGTGGGAGAGAGGTGGCCCTACCTGGGTCCCAGCTTGGTGGGGTCCAGGATGCGGTCCTTGCCTTTCCACTGAATCAGCGGCTTGGGGTCCCCCTGGGCCTCGCACTGCAGTAGGGCTGTGTGGCCCTGGTACACAGTCGTACGCTCTGGTTCCACTTTGAAGGTGATAAAAACTGGAAGAAAAGAGACCAGCGAGGCGCAGGGAGGGGTAAGCCAAGGGGCTGGCAGGGTACACGGTGCTACCCCAGAGGGCCCTCCCAGCCCCAGGGCCCTGCCACGGTCGCACCTGCCACAGTGAGCTGGACATGGGCACGAATCTGGCCCTGCGGCCCGTTGGAGGCAATGCAAGTGTAGTTGCCAGCGTCATCTCGAGTCACCCGGGCAAAATGCAGGGTCCCAGCGTTGTCTGTCACCCACTCTGGGAGGCTGCTCCCATCTGCAGGGGTAACAAAGGGAAATTATGGGAAGGATCAGGGTTACACAGACAGCTGGCAATGCCTTCAGTCCCTCACCTCTACTCAAAAACACACCATCGCTCCTGACCACCCACAGGCAAAGTCCAAACTCCTGAGCCAAGTGTTAGAAGCCCCTCCGTTATTTACCCCTCTTCCAATTCTTCAGTCTCACCTCTTCCTCCTACTGCCCTGTGTGACATTCCACGTCTGCCAAACCGGACTCTGTTTGGGCCCAGATCGGCCCTGTTCCTACTCCGCTGCCCATCAC
Source organism: Homo sapiens (assembly GCF_000001405.40). Classification (NCBI taxonomy): domain Eukaryota; kingdom Metazoa; phylum Chordata; class Mammalia; order Primates; family Hominidae; genus Homo; species Homo sapiens. The sequence continues at coordinate 43,141,380 of NC_000006.12, read as the reverse complement.
TTCTCCCTCCTAGAGCCCATTCCCGCTCTTTACCATCCCAGGCTGTAGATCCATTTTAAGCCTCACCTCTCCCAGAAAGTTCCCCCAGACCTGAGCAGAGGGAGCCTACTTCCTCCTCAGAATCTACAACTGTACTCTCTCACTCTAGGTGGAAATGTCAAAATTGGTCCAACCTTTTAAAAAATAATTTGGCAACTCACATCAAGGGCTATAAAAATGTTCATACCCCCTTTCGTGCATAATTATCCCAATTCTGGGAATCTTTCCCAAAGGAAATAAACCTAAATCCAGAAAAAAACTTTGGCTTAAAGATGTTTATTGCAGCAATGAAAAAAAAGGGGGTGGGTGGGTGGCTGGTTAACAACCCAAATCTCCAACATTTAAGGAACAGTTAAGTAAATTACAGTGAATCCAATTGTTGAAATATTATTAGGATCATCAAAACAAATATTCATGAAGAGTGTATAAAGATGTGGGGAAATGCTTGACAATGGTAAGTAAAAAAGGGTATAAAATTACACCGTTACAAAAAAAATAAAAATAAATAATTTTAAAAAATATTTTTAAAAACTACATAGTTATCTGTATTGTCTAATTCTACAATAAGCATGTCTACAGGCATGCACCACCATGCCTGGCTAATTTTTAAATTTTTTGTACAGACAGGGTCTCCCTGTATTGCCCAGGTTGGTCTTGAACTCCTGGGCTCAAGCGATCCTCCCACCTCGGCCTCCCAAAGTGCTGGGATTACAGGCATGAGCTACCACACTCAGCCAATCATGTAAATTTAATAACTGAAACTATATATACAATAAAACTGCTAGGTAAAAAAAGAAAAACATATGCACAGAAAAAGAAGACATACACCCAAAGATGATAAACGGCAGGACTGTACATTTTTTCTCCCAATATTTTTTTTTTTTTTTTTGAGATGGAGTCTCGCTCTGCCACCCAGGCTGAAGTGCAGTGGCACAATCTCGGCTCACTGCCACCTCCGCCTCCTGGGTTCAAACAATTCTCCTACCTCAGCCTCCCGAGTAGCTGGCACTACAGATGCGTGCCGCCACCCCTGGCTAATTTTTTGTATTTTCAGTAGAGACGAGGTTTCACTACTCTATGTTAGCCAGGATGGTCTCTATCTCATGACCTCGTGATCCACCCACCTCAGCTTCCCACAGTGCTGGGATTACAGGCGTGAGCCACCACGCCCGGCCTCTTCCAGTATTTTGTAAAGGAGCCCATGTAACTTTTGTTTCTTTTTTCTTTTGAGTCAGAGTCTCACTCTGTCAGCCAGACTCTGGTGCAATGGCATGATCTCGGCCCACTGCAGCCTCCACCTCCTGGGTTCAAGCGATTCTCCTGCTTCAGCCTCCTAAGCAGCTGGGATTGCAAGCATGTGCCACCACGCCTGGCTAACTTTTGCATTTTTAGTAGAGATGGGGTTTCACCATGTTGGCCAGGCTGGTCTCAAACTCCTGGCCTCAAGTGACCCACCCATCTCGGCTTCCCAAAGTGTTGGGATTACAGGCGTGAGCCACTATGCACGGCCTCCATGTAATTTTTATGTTGGAAAAGATAAACTATTTTGGAAAAGGGGAAGAGAGGACTTTACAGCACTGTCTGAACCAATCCAATCACTTGTTGCCTTGAGTTGTCTTCCATGTTGTCCAAGGCTATAATCTGACCTCTTCTGTGTCTGGCTTTTTCCTTCCTAACTAAACTATACATCAGCCCTGCACTGCTTGTCTAATCTCCACATTTCCTGGCACAGTGCGGGGCACCCAGCAGCCCTCAGGTATGTATCTGATCAGTGAACTGCCTGCCTGCCCCTACCCTATGCCGGCACTGTACCCACCTGCCCGTTCCCACTTAATAGTGGGCTTCTCTCGGCCTGTGGCTGAACAGGGCACCGTGGCCTCCTTGTCAAACTCCATGCACTGCTGTGGCTGGGGTGGTGGTGTGAACTTGAGCTTTTCTGTTTCAGCAGAGGGTGGGTAGAAAGACGAGGAATTGGGGCCGCTGGAGAGGCCGTGGCCAGGCCTGCTGCTCCCTCCCCTTTCCTCTCCTGCCTAGCCAGGAAGGGTGCTCCCCCAAGACATGCTGGCTCACCCAGCACTTGGACACGGGCTTGCGCCTCGATGCTGCCGGCTGGGGTGCTGCTCATACAACGGTACCATGTCCCATCATACACCTCCACGCTGTTGATGCGCAAGGTCCCATTCTTGAAGACCTCGAACCGTGAGTCCTGCAGCACAGGTGAGAGGCCTCAGAGCCTGAACCCACACCCACCTCTCCCTGGAGGCTGCCTCCAGGGTAAGAGTGCTATGGAGGTGAGCACAGAAGAGGGCAAGTGGAGGGAAGGCCCCGCCCATCCACTAGCAACACTCTTCTTTCTCACCTCTGAGATGAGCATCTGGTTTCTGTACCAGACAACTGTAGGTTTTGGTGTGGCCTGGGTCAGGCAATCCAAGTAGCCGGGTTTGCCCTCCTCCAGCTGGCTGTCTTGGGGCTTCTTCAGCCAGGAGGGCACAGCTAGACAGACAGGAAGGAAACAGTGAAGGCTGCTTCACAGGTCTCCAAAACTAAAGGATCCATCTCCAAGAAATCCTACTACCATTCTAGGCCCTGAGTTCAGAAGCCCCATGCTCCTCAGATGGCAGGAGTTTCCCTTTACGGAAGACCCAGGTGCCAGCACCTTTTTTAAAATTTTTTTTCTTTTAAGACAGGTTCTCACTCTGTCACCCAGGCTGGAGTAGAGTGACACAATTATGGCTCACTACAGTCTCGAACTCATAGGCTCAAGTGATTTTTCCCACCTCAGCCTCCCAAATAGCTGGGACCACAGGCATGCACCACAATACTTGGCTAATTTTTTTATTTTCTGTAGTGATGGGGTCTTGCTATGTTGCCCAGGCTGGTCTCAAACTCCTGGCTTCAAGCCTCCCCAAGTGCTAAGATTACAGGCATGAGCCACCACGCCCGGCCACCAGCACCTTTTGAACATTATCTTAGTTAACTGTCACATTAATTAACTTAGTTAACATTATCTTAGTTATAAGCCCCTATGGTAGGCAGGGAGTGGTGGCTCACACCTGTAATCCCAGCACTTTGGGAGGCCGAGGCGGGAGGGCTGCTGTAAGACACTGCACTCTAGCCTAGGCAACAGAGTGAAACCCCCATCTCTAAAAAAACAAAAAAAACAAACCCCCCAAGGTATGTATTCCAACACGCACTTTACAGCTAAGAAAACAGATGTTCAAAGAAGTAATGGTGGCCAGGCACAGTGGCTCACGCCTGTAATCCCAGCACTTTAAGAGGCAAAGGCGGGCAGATCATTTGAGGTCAGGAGTTCAAAACCAGTCTGGCCAACATAGTGAAACCCCGTCTCTACTAAAAATACAAAAACATTGGCCGGGTGTGGTGGCGGGCACCTGTAATCCCAGCTACTGGGGAGGCTGAGGCACAAGAATCGCTTGAACCTGGGAGGTGGAGGTTGCAGTGAGCCGAGATCACGCCACTGCACTCCAGCCTGGGCGAAAGAGTGAGACTCCATCTCAAATAAAAGATAAAAAATAATAATAACAATAATAAAAAAAGAAGAAGTAATGGTGATTTGCTAATACCTAATAGTGACAGAATTTAAAACTCTGGTCTATATGACTCTGAAACCCTTGTTCTTCTTATTACACCATAAAATGCCAAGGCGCAGTCCTCAGAAATCTGTTCTGTTTTAGCAACACTCACTCATCCAGTCCACAACCTTCAATACAACATGAATGGTTGGTTCCCAAAACTACATCCTGATTCCTATAAATCCAATTGCCTACTGGCATTTCCAACTGGATATCCAACAGGCATCTCAAACTTTACGTGTGCTAAAGAGAACACCTGACTTCCCCCAAAACCTGCTCACTCATTTTCCCTATCTCAGTCAATAGAACTATCTAGTCAGTTAAGAAAGCCAAAAAGCTAGCCTTGTCTTCTCTCTATACCCCACCCCCATCACACTCGTTCTACCAAACCCTATCTACTGGGGCTCCTAAATATATCCTGAATTTGACCACCTCTCACCCCCACCGCTACTGCCTCTGTTCAAGCTCCTTCAGTATCTCCCCTAGACTATTATAGTCATCTACTTAGTATGGGTCTCCTTGTTTATACTCTTGGCCCTAACATTCTAGTCTCAAAACAGCCAGAGCGATCTTCTGAAAAATCAGTCTTCCACTCAAAACCCTGCAAGACCTTCCCATCCAATGTGGTGTGGTAGGCTGCTTGCAATGATAGTTATAAACAATCCTCCCATCCCTTTCAACTCTTTTCAATGTGATGTTGACACTTTCCCATCAAGAGGTAGAGTTTATTTCTTTTTGTGTGTGTGAGACAGGGTCTCATCCTGTTACCTAGGCTGGAGTGCAGTCACGCCACTATGGCTTACTGCAGCCTCAGCGTCCCAGGCTCAAGCAACCCTCTCACCTCAGCCTCCAAAGTGGCTAGGACCACAGGCGCGTACCACCAGGCCCAGCTAATTTTTTTTTTATTTTTAGTAGAGACGGGGTCTGGCCATGTGGTCCAGGCTGGTCTCAAACTCCTAGGCTCAAGCAGTCCTCCCACCTTGGCCTCCTAAAATACTGGGATTGCAGCGTGAGCCACTGAACTGGGTCATGGTGTATTTTTCTAGTCCCTGGAATCTGAGTGGCCTGTGACTTCCCTTGTCCAACAGAACACAGTGGTAGTACTGCAGCTTCCACTTTTGCCCTCTCGGAACCCAGCTGCCAGGTGAGGAAGCCTGGCTAGCCTACTGGAGATGCCATGTGGAGGAGAACTAAGGCACCCTGGTCAATAGCCCCAGTCAACTGCCAGACAGGTGAGTGTGGCCGCCAGGGACCAGGCCAGCTCACCCATCAGCTGACTGCAAACGTGTACACCCAGCCGATAGCACACCAGGTAGACGAGCGGGCCCACCTGAACCTGTCCACAGAATCATAAGCATGTCAACGGCTGTTGTTTGTTGTTTCAAGTCACTACGGTTTGGTTTTTTTTTTTTTTGAGTTGGAGTCTTGCTCTGTCACCCAGGCTGGAGTGCAGTGGCGCGATCTCTGTTCACTGCAACCTCCACCTCCCAGGTTCAAGCGATTCTCCTGCCTCAGCCTCCCAAGTAGCTGGGATTACAGGCATGTGCCACCATGCCTGGATAATTTTTTTTTTTGTATTTTTTATTTTATTTTGAGATAGAGTCTCGCTCTGTCGCCCAGGCTGGAGTGCAGTGGCGCAATCTCGGCTCACTGCAACCTCCGCCTCCTGAGTAGCTGGGATTACAGGCACATGCCACCACACCTGGCTAATTTTTGTATTTTTAGTAGAGACGGGGTTTCAGCACGTTGGTCAGGCTGGTCTCGAATTCCTGACCTCGTGATCCACCTGCCTCGGCCTCCCAAAGTGCTGGGATTACAAGGCGTGAGCCACTGCACCCAGCCATTTTTGTATTTTTAGTAGAGATGGGGTTTCACCATGTTGGCCAGGCTGGTCTCAAACTCCTGACCTCAAGTGATCCACCTGCCTCGGCCTCCCAAAGTGCCACCACGTTTTGAAGTGGTTTGCTATGTAGCAATGGATAACTGATGCCGAAGCCAAAGTCCTTACTATGCTTTTACAAGGCCTATGGGATTTAGTTTCCACCTCTCAGGCAACTTCAACCCCTCTCACCATCGTTTATTCAACTCAAGCCACACAGGCGACTACTGTTCCTCCAACATACAAGCCCATTTCCATCTCAGGGCCTATCACATGGCTGGCTCCCTTCTTAATTTAAATACCAACTCCAATGCACCTTTTACAGAAGTCTTCCCTAAACTCTCACTGGCCCTGCCCTTTCTCTATCACTTGCCCTATTTCATTGTTCTCCCTTGTTCTACTGGCACCTAAAATTATATTTGTTCATTTGATAGTTTTTCTTACTGGCTTTGTCCCCGCTGTTAGAATATGAACTCCACAAGGAGAGGGGCTTCTGCCTGCTTTGTTCACAGTTGCATCCAGTACTGGGAAGAGCTAGCACAAGGTGCTCGACAAATCTCTGTTGACTGAATGCATTCCCAGAGCTCTCCGTCTTCTGGGCTCTACCCTCTAACACCCAGCACCTGATCTGGCCCTGTTTGCATCACACACTCTCAAATGCCACAGGCCTCCTTCTCAGAGCACAGCAAGGGACACTGGCATGGCTCAGTGTCAGCCTCAGTCAGCATCTGTGGAATGACTGATCAAAGCCAGAGTTCCCCAACTTGAACACACATGAAGTATCACCCAGAGCACTTGTTAAATACACATCTACCTGGGTCCCACCCCTAGAGCCTGGGTTGGAAGCTGTGGAGTGGGGCCCCGAATTCTGCATTTTTTTTCTTTTTTTCAAGGCTCCAGCAATGTCTTAGACATTTTTTTGGAGACAGGGTCTTGCTGTCATCCAGGCTCCAGTACAGTAGTGTGATCATAGCTCACTGGAACCTCCAGCTCCCGAGCTCAAATGATCCTCCAGCCTCAGCCTCCCAAATAGTTGGGATTATAGGTGTGCATCACCATACCTGGCTAAATTTTTTTTTTTTTTTTTCCTGAGACAAAGTCTCGCTCTGTCACCCAGGCTGGAGTGCAATGGCACGATCTCGACTCACTGCAACCTCTGCCTCCTGGATTCAAGCAATTCTCCTGCCCCAGCCTCCCAAGTAGCTGGGATTACAGGTGAGTGCCAACATGCCCAGCTAATTTTTGTATTTTTAGTAGAGACGGGGTTTCACCATGTTGGTCAGGCTGATCTCGAACTCCTGACCTCGTGATCCACCCACCTCGGCCTCCCAAAGTGCTGGGATTACAAGCGTGAGCCACCGCGCCCAGCTAACTTTTTAAATTTCTGTAGACACAAGGTCTCACTATTTTGTCCAGCCTGGTCTCAAACTCCTGGGCTCAAGAGATCTTCCTATCTCGGCCTCCCAAAGCACTGGGATTATAGGTGTGAACCACCACGCCTGGCCTGTGTTTTAAAAAGTATCCCTAATGAGGCCGGGCATGGCAGCTCACACCCATAATCCCAGCACTTTAGGAGGCCGAGGCAGGTGGATCACTTGAGGTCAAGAGTTTGAGACTAGCCTGGCCAACATGGTAAAACATCGCCTCTACTAAAAATACAAAAATTAGCCAGGTGTGGTGGCACACACCTTTAAACCCAGCTACTTGGGAGGCTGAGGCACGAGAATCACTTGAACCTGGGAGGCGCAGGTTGCAGTGAGCCAAGATCACACCACTACACTCCAGCCTGGGTGACAGAGTGAGACTCCGTCTCAAACAAAAGAAGAAAAAGTATCCCTAATGAAAGCAGGTGATTCTCAGACCTCAACTGGAGGAAGGCTTGACTGTGCATCTTGCCTTTGCACCTGCACTGTGAGTGTCCTGAGCACTCGTTACACATGTGCTGTGATTCCCACCCAAATCACGGCCTGAGTATAGGTGCATGTCTTCTAAGATTTCAGTATCCTAATGGGAATACTAGCATCACAACTTCACATTTACAAAGCCACTTTCATATTCAAATCTTTTTGCAAAGTTACCCACTCGGAAAGATAATAGTAACATAAAGGTAAGTGGAAGAAGCAGATTGCAAAATAGTTTGTATGTATGTGTGTCTCTGTGTGCATATTGTAATTTTTATTGTGTATCCTTTTAAACTACCACAAAAGGTTTGGAACAAGGCATGGTATAAAGAAATAAGTAAACAAATAAATCCCTATGCCTGTAGTGAGGATATAAGGTTTGTTTTGTTTTGTTTTGAGATGGAGTCTCACTCTGTTGCCCGGGCTGAAGAGCAACGGTGCGATCTCAGCTCATTGCAACCTCTGCCTCCTGGGTTCAAGCAATTTTCCTCCCTCAGCCTCCTGAGTAGCTGGGATTACAGGTGTGCCCCACCACGCCCAGCTAATTTTTGTATTTTTAGTAGAGATGGGGTTTCACCATGTTGGTCAGGCTGGTCTCCAACTCCTGACCTTGTGATCCGCCCGGCTCGGCCTCCCAAAGTGCTGGGATTACAGGCATGAGCCACCGCGCCCAGCCTGATATAAAGGGTTTATCATGTGTACTTTCAGTCATATGTCTTGCTTTTCTCCCCCTCTTTTTTTTCATAAGTAATATGTTTAGTAAAGAAATTTGGAAAGCATAACAAACTAAAACAAATTAAAAATCACCTATAATTTTGTCCACTATTACCTCCCAAAAAAGAAAAAAAGAAAAATCATTTTCATCTACTTCATTTGACCTTTCCAACCACCTTGTGGGGTAGGTAGTAGATTACTGGCTCCATTTTATGGATGAGGAGACTGAACCCCAGTAAGGTGGGTGATTTGCTACCATCGTCACTCTGTGCATTGGGAGCATAGTGGGACCCAGGTCTCTAGATTCCTAGTCTATTGCTCTTTCCTCTGTACCCAGAGGACCATTTTTCTGTGAGGGCTGTCACTATTTCCTCTGGAGCACCCACCCTAACCCCTGTGCCTGGCTCTCTACTGTCTACACCGACTCCCAGTAGTGAACTGATTCCCAAGCCTGCAGGGCCCAGAACTGAGAGGACCTCAGGTGAGTACCAGGGAAGCCTCTGTCCATCACACCCAGACCTGTGTTCCCCTCCACCTCTCCTTGACCTTCAGGGCAAAGGTGCTCACTGGCCACAGTGATGTTGACATCCTGTCTCCGCTGACCAGCCAGGTTGGCCGCGTGGCAGGTGTAGACACCAGCATCACTTTCAGCAATATTGGCCAACACCAGCTCGTGGCCCTTCTGGTAGACCCTGCCATGGGTGGGCAGCCGGACTCCCGCGTGCTCCCACCACACGCTGGGCTCTGGCAGACCCTTGGGGGGAAGGCAGGTCACACGCTCCTCGCTGCCAGCTGTAAACACCCGTGGCTCAAATAGCGGCATGTCTTCAATCTCTGCAAGGACATAAGTAGGAGGAATGGCCCAATTATTGTGGGTCTCAGGGTACATGATGTTCTCCCACAGCAAGCCTAGGCCCTTTCCCAGCACAAACCCTCCCCTGCAGCCCTCTGCATATCCTCTTCCTACTCCCAGCATCCTTTTCTTCCCCTGCCCTCCAAGCGGCTGAGTAAAAACAGAAGCCTAAATCTCTATGTGCCAAAAATGTTAAAGGCAGCCTCCCACATCAGCACCCCAGACCCAGAGACTCACCTGCTAGGTGAAGTGTGGCTTCCAGGATGATGGGTGGGCCCCTCTGCCCCTGGCCAATGCAGCGGTAGATCCCTGCATTGCGTGGCCGGACCTGGGTCAGCAGCAGAGACCCGTTGGCAAACACTGTGGCTCTGCGGAGGTGTGGGGGGCTGCAGAGGGGAGAGTGCAATTTGGAGAAAGTGGCCAATAGGCCTAGTTCTGGAAAGGAATGCAAGGGAACCCCTTTCCTGCAAAGTCGGAAATGTAGTAAGGAATCGACCAGGAACAGGGCAGAGAGAAGGAAGCTGACACTCCAGACTGGTGTGTGTGCCTGCATACACTTGCTCAGGTGCACGTGCAGGTGTGTGTTCCAACTACAGGAGATCAGCTCGGGAAGCAATGAGGCAAATGGCAATGCAGGTGCGAGAGAGAGTGATATGGTTTGGCTGTGTCCCCACTCAAATCTCATCTTAAATTGTAGCTCCCATAATTCCCACATGTTGTGGGAGGGACCCAGTGGGAGGTAACTGAATCATGGGGGCAAGTCTTTCCCGTGCTGTTCTCATGATAGTGAACAAGTCTCACGAGATCTGATGGTTTTAAAATGAGGCATTCCCCTGCAGAAGCTCTCTCTCCTTTGCCTGCTGCCATCCATGTAAGACGTGACTTGGTCTTCCTTGCCTTCTGCCATGATTGTGAGGCTTGCCCAGCCATGTGGAACTGTAAGTCCAATTAAACCTCTTTCTTTTGTAAACTGCTCAGTCTCGGGTATGTCTTTATCAGCAGCATTAAAATGGACTAATACACAGAATAACCACCATGTGCAACTGTCAAGACAGGGAAGCCACCTTCCCACAGGGCCACGTTGATAGGGCACCCAGCTCCAGGGTCAGATACCCCTCAGCCATACCAGGCAGGCTACTGATGATGTCCTCAGGGCTGAAGCCAAGTGGCATCCAAGCCCCTAGCCTAGGAAGCCACACCCCCAAGGACCATGGTCGTGCCTGACACTGCAAAGGTGTTCTATGTTCTCCTAGGGTCCAGGCAAGAACAGAAGTCCCTGCAGTAGGGCTGGAACCTTCTAGAGGTGTTTGCTTCCTCTAAAAAGTGTGTGTGTGTGTGTGTGTGTGTGTGTGTGTGTGTGTGTGTGTGTGTGATGTCTTTGCCACACTGGATCACGCTATCTAGACTATGACCACCTGACTACCTAGGTCTCTTGTGTCTCTCTCATCCCTGGGGTCTCTACCCTTCCATCCCAGAAGACCCATGTGGGTGGTGGGGAGAGAGAAGTGGAACCATCACTAGCTCAGAGTGCCTTTGTGCAAACTGGAAAAGGGCTCTTCCCAGAGACTCTTCCCTGTGTCAGACTCATCTTGTAAAAGCAAAACATTCAACTGTGTCTCTTGGAAATTTGAAATAATACATGTACAAATCTGTGATGTCTGTGATACAAATCGCACCCCCTTCTACAGAATGCATGTGTGTGGTACATGGTACTGGAATGCTCCCAGCCAGATGCCTTACCGACTGCGGTTAGTGATGGGAGTCTCATCCTCAAAGAGCCACTGCAGGCTCGGGGGTGGCTGGGCTGAGAACTGGCAATGGAACATGGCCTCCTCATACCTCGCTACTACCACGTCCTGGGGTGCCAGCACCACCCTGGCAAAGCTTTCATCTGGAGAGGGAAAGATGGGGGAGCATGCAGCCTGGGTGGTGAGGCCCTCCTGTGCTCACCTCATCCCTTCCGCCCCCACCCCAGGCTCACCAGCAATGCTCAAGGTGAAGTTCTGGCTGCTGCAAGCCTGGCCAAAAGCACTGTGGGCGCAGCAGGAATACAGCCCACTATGCTCAGGACCAGCTGGCCGGAGCGTCAGGTTCCGCTCCTTGCTGCTGACTGTGTGGTTGCTCTGACCATCAGAAAGGGGGGTCCCATCTCGGAACCATTGGTAGGTGGGCCTGCAGGGCAGACACAGTCAGCAGTGGTGGGGAGGGGTACTCAGTGGCCAGTGGAGAGGATACAGTATCAGAGGGTCAGGGCTAGACCTTTCAGTTTATACATGGAGAAACGGCCTGAGGAAGGGAAGGGACTTGCAAAAGGGCACACAGTAATTCTGATTCAGGGGCAGAATCAAGTTGATATTAGATCTCCCAGCTCTACACACAATGTGGCTCACTCTTCAGGCCACCAGGGGCCGGCATAGGGCAATATCTGGGGGAGGGCAGGGTGAAGAGCACTGTGGTGGTGGAACGAGTGGTCACAGAATGGAGCGAGGTAACATCCGCATAGAGTCCAAGATTTGGGGAGACATCCCTGTCCGGAATAACCCTCTTCATCCCCACCTCCCTGACTCCTTACCGAGGGTGCCCATCAATGTGGCAACGAAGTGTGACCTGGGTCTGTGGCTGGATCTCAGCTTCCGAGGCTGGATGCTTCAGGACCACAGGACCTGCCTCAATCCCTGTAGCAGAGGCCACGGTTGCAGTGAGGGGCAGAGCAGGGCAAAGGCGGGAAGGCAGAGGGCAAGGAGGACAAGCAGGAAGCCGTGGAACCTCGAGGCTCTGTGCCAACAGACACAAGGAAGCCCTGGAGGCTGAGGCTGGGGCTACAGTTACCAGATACTAAGTGCCTGCCTGGTCCCTGGCAGGTCAAGTCTGACACTTGGCCAAGGGCTCGGCCGCCCTTTCCATTTGCACAAGCATGCAGCAGATAAATGGGTCCCAGACTTGAAGGAAAAAATTTTGGAAAAAATATAACTTTTAATTTCCTCTTATCCACATGAGCAAAAAAAGCTGATGATAAATGCATTCTGCCTGGCCCGTTTAACTGGAAATGGGAGAAGCTGAGGTAAGGGAGGGATCCCCCAGGCCTCAGTCATTGAGGGTCTGACAGGGGGACTGGGCACAGCCCCCCTGGCTCTCACATTTGATGTTGAAGGAGGCGTTGGCACTGCGGGCTTCTTCTCCAGTGACATCATCCCGAGCCACACACTGGAAGGTGCCAGAGTCCTGCAGCCGGTCCACAGCTGCAAAGCTCAGGCTGCTGCCCTGGGCGAAACGCCGCTCCGTGTCCTGGACAGGGGCCCCATCGAGCAGCCAGTACACATGTACCGGGCCCGGAGCCTCAACCTCACAGCGAAGCAGCGCCCGGCGCCCCTGCAGTGCATCCTGGGAGGACGGCTGCTTGATGAAGACAATGGCTGTCTGGGTACCTGTAGATGCAAACAGGGGAGAGGCAGGGTCAGGGGGAGCTGCAGCCTCTGTCCTAACACAGGCCACCTTGTGCACAGGAGGAAAGGGGCTGTGTACACAGGAGGCGTCCAGTAAGTGCAGGTGTGAAGGATCATGATGCCACAATTGCAAGAGTCCCCTGAAAAACTTTTCTTTTTCTTTTTGAGATTTCTTTTTCTTTTTTTGCTCTTGTCACCCAGGTTGGAATGTGGTGGTGTGATCTCAGCTCACTGCAACCTCCACCTCCTGGGTTCAAGTGATTCTTCTGCCTCAGCCTCTCGAGTAGCTGGGATTATAGGCATGAGCCACCACACCCAGCTAATTTTTGTATTTTTAGTAGAGACAGGGTTTCGCCATGTTGGCCAGGCTGGTCTCGAACCCCTGACCTCAGGTGATCTGCCCACCTCGGCCTCCCAAAGTGCTAGGATTACAGGCGTGAGCCACCACGCCCAGCCCCCTGAAGAGCTTTTCAACTGTGCTGAGTGCTCTGTAGGATACAAAGACACAGTAGCCTCTCCTCAAGAGGTCTGAAGACTAGAGGGGCACACAGAACACAGTTACAGTCACATAAATGCCAAATGAATGGGGTGGGCAGGCAGTAGTGACTTGAGCACGAAGGAAGAAGGGACCCCTAAGGGCTGGCTGCACAGGGAGGCTTCCTAGCAAAAGAGAGTCTGGGCCTGCAGGGTGAGATCACAGGAGGTTTTGATGCCAGGCTGAGGAGCCGGGGACACTGCAGGCCACCTTCCCCCAATACAGACTCAGGAGGTTTAGTAAAGTTAAATCATGACCCAAACAGCACCCTGGAAAGATGGCTTCACTCATGCCCCTCGACGGTGCCAGCATCAGAGGTGGCCACAGATGGGACGCTTTGAATCTCATCCGCAAATGCTCTGCAGCCCAACGTTTCCCAGACGCTTCTTTGAAAAAACCCAACCCATCACTGGAGAAGCCAAGATTCTCTAGAAACCTGGGCTACTGCCAAAAACAAGCCAAGGTCATTCCCATGTCCTGTTCTTTTTTTTTTTTGAGACGGAGTCTCGATCTGTCACCCAGGCTGGAGTGCAGTAGCGCGATCTTGGCTCACTGCAAGCTCTGCCTCCTGGGTTCACGCCATTCTCCTGCCTCAGCCTCCCGAGTAGCTGGGACTACAGGTGCCCGCCACCACGCCTGGCTAATTTTTTGTATTTTTAGTAGAGATGGGGTTTGACGGTGTTAGCCAGGATGGTCTCGATCTCCTGACCTCGTGATCCGCCCGCCTCGGCCTCCCAAAGTGCTGGGATTACAGGCGTGAGCCACCGCACCCGGCCCCATGTCCTGTTCTTTATCCCTGAAAATCCATCTGTGGCCAAGGTCAGCTTCTCTGTGTTAAGAGGAGAGCCATGTGGTTCCAGAGTTCCACTTGAAGTCATTCCCCTTCCTGCACCATTATAGTTCAGCTCTGGCCACAGGGTCCCCGCAACCAAAGGTGGAACTGCAGTCAGTGGGAACAAAGGAAAGAGGAAGAAGCCTACACTGTATGGCAGATGGGTTTAGGGAGGCGGAGGGCAGAGCCGGGCAGGTGGGTGGCATGGTTACGGCGGCGGCAGGAGCAACACACTGGACTTTGTTCCTAGCCCGCGTGGGCGACTTGCAGAGGCCTGGAGCCACTGGGCCTTGAACACAGAAGAGGACTCCCTGATCCCCCCGCCCCCGGAAGAAGAAATGGGCCACCTGGAACTGCTACACGAAGCAGCAGGCTCTGCCTTGAGCCAAACTGGCTGGGCAAGGGCAGAAAGGTACTAACGGAGTCTTTTCCATCCCTTCCCAAACCACTGGAAACTAATCTTGGCCTACAGAGCCCCTTCCAAGTCCCTGGAGGTGGGGTTCTGTTCTTTATGGCATGAGAATCAGTCTCCTCATAAAGTCAGTGTCAAGACAATTCCAGGATCCCCCAGGCTGGGTCCAGATGAGGGGCTGCCCCTGGTGTTGGTCCGTCTCCCAACATGCTCATAGGTGCCAGCCCACATCTCCTGACACAAAACCCAGTCATGGAGCTGGAAGCAGCTCCAAGCAGCCCATTACTTCTCAGCGTGGCACTGATGGTTCTCTGGGTGAGCTATTCCACCTGCTGTGCAAGTTAACAAATCTGCCCTCCCGGCATTGTGACAATTCAAACACATCCCTACACATTTCCAAATGATCCACAGGAATAGGGCTCTGTTCCTGCTCAGCACCGTGGTACAGATGGGTAAACCCAGGTCCAGGCACAAGAAGGAATCTGCCCACGATCAAATAGCTCATATGTGGCAGAGCCAGGACTATGACCCAAAGAAACCAACTCTGTGCTCTTCCCATCCCCGCCCAGGGACTCAGAAACAACCCTGGAAGCATCTGATCCTACAATGAGGAGTCACATTCCCGACTGCCAGGTAGTGTGTGGACACACCTCTTGCAGACAATGTCAGGCACACAAAGGCACCCAGCAAGCACTGCCTGAACCAAAGTGACCTCTGAGGAAGCGTGGGGCAAGAACTGGTTCACGGGGTACTTCTGGAGCACCTCTCATGACACAGATGGGCAGAATCAGACTGAGTCCCCAGTGGGCCTCTGCAAATGTGACTCACCAAAATCCTAGGACCTTTCTTTTTTTTTGAGACGGAGTCTTACTTACTCTGCCACCCACGCTGGAGTGCAGTGGTGCAATCTTGGCTCACTGCAACCTCCACCTCTCGGATTTAAGCGATTCTCATGCCTTAGCCTCCCGAGTAGCTGGGATTACAGCTACGCACCACCACACCTGGCTAATTTTTGTATTTTTTGTGGAGACAGGGTTTCACCATGTTGGCCAGGCTAGTCTCGAGCTCCTGACCTCAAGTGATCCACCCACCTCGGCCTCCTAAAGTGCTGGGATTACAGATGTGAGCCATGGCGCCCTGCCCAAAATCCTAGGATCTTTGACCCACAACTCCAGGAGGCTTGTCAAAGACCAAAGAGAGATCACCTGCCTTCGAAGTGTGGACAAGCCCCCACTTCCTCGCTCAGCTTCTGCAGACATGGTGGGGAGCCAGGAGTCTCACCCACACAGAGGAGCAGCTAAGGGGCTGGAATGAGACAGGCTGGGCTCAGATCCTGACCTGTTACACTCAGTGTGTCTGACCTTGGGTAAGTAACACAGACTGTGTCTCAGCTTCCTCTGCCTCTCTCACAAGGCTGTCATGAGTTGTAAACCTGGAAACATACATGAAGTGCCTTGCAAATGGTTCATCTTCAGTAAATGGCAGCTACTGTTAATATTCTCATGATCACCCCTCCTGCTCAAGGACTCAACTTCTAAGAAGATTAGAAGGCTCTCCACTTGCCAAGTGCCAGGACCACTCCCAGACCCTGGCCAGGGAAGGAGCTGCCACAGCAGAGAAGTCTGAAGGCAATAAGCAGGTGGTGGGTGGGATAGAGGGGAAGGGGCCCTGAGCTTGCAGGAACCACAGACCACCTGCCACAGAAACCCAAGCTGGGAGAAGAGACAGCGTGACTCAGAGAGACCCCAGCTCAGCCTCGGCCACCCCCAGCTCAGCCTCCAGCACCCACTCCTGGGGCTGGGACTGGACTGCTCCATAGCTGTGGTGAGAGATGCTGCATTCCCAGACTGCCACTCAGAGCCCCCTGTGCCCCAACGACTGGGCCTGGGAAACATCAAAGCTGGCCCCGAGGGGGCCTCTGTCCTGACGTCAGCTCACAGAAGGTCCTGGTTAGTGCTTGGCTGGGACAGACTTTAGATGTTTCTTTTTTCTTTTTTTTGTTTTTTGAGACAGAGTTTTCGTTCTTGTTGCCCAGGCTGGAATGCAATGGCACAATCTCAGCTCACGGCAACCTCCGCTTCCCGGGATCAAGCGATTCTCCTGTCTCAGCCTCCCAACTAGCTGGAATTACTGGCATGAGCTACCACGCCCAGCTAATTTTGTATTTTTAGTAGAGACTGAGTTTCTCCATGTTGGTCAGGCTGGTCTCGAACTCCCAACCTCAGGTGATCCACCCGCCTCGGCCTCCCAAAGTGCTGGGATTACAGGCGTGAGCCACCCCGCCCAGCAGATGTTTCAAAAGGCAGAGAATGCAGCTCCCAGGTCTGCTCCAAGCCCCCAGCCCCTGCTATACGCACCTCAACCATGAGGCTCTTTATTCAGGTTGGCCCAGTGCTGCGGCACCCATGTTTGCTCAGAAGACAGTCTGTGGTGTGCCCAGCCTGGCCATCTGCCCAGCTTGCAGCGGGGGACGTTGGCCTGTTGTTTGTTGTTGGGCTATTTTTGAGATAGGGTCTCACTCTGTTGCCCAGGCTGGAGTACAGTGGTGCCATCACGGCTCACTGCAGCCTTGACCTCCAGGGCTCAAGTGATCCTCCCACCTCGGCCTCCTAGGTAGCTGGGACCTCAAGCATGTGCCACCATGCCCAGCTAGTTTTTTATAGAGACAGGGTTTTGCCATGTTGCCCAGGCTGGTCTTGAAATCCTTAGCTCAAGCGATCCTCCCACCTCGGCTTCCAAACTGCTGGGATTATAGGCATGAGCCACTGTGCCTGGCTTTGGTCCGCTGTTTTGTTTTGGGGAAGCAGACAAAGGAGACCTGGCAGAAAGGTCAGACTCCAAGAAAGGAGCTGGGAAGTAAGGGACTCTACTTTTGCTTTGTCAGAAGCTTTGCTGATAACAAGAAATGGAGGACAGCAATGACAGAGAAGAAGGCAGGCGGTTCGGGATTGAGGTGGTACCTGCCTCAAGGTGATGTAGTCACCAGCACATTCCTGTCCCCGCCCCCTGACTTGAGTATGCCCCCAGGACTGTGGTCTGGGAAAGGTCCTGGGCTTCCCGAGGCTGCCTCCTCTTTTGCCACCGGGCCATGCCATGCAACCCCCTCCACTGCACACAAGCCCCCATGGAGATGCAGGCCACGTGACCCCGGAGGCAGCCAGCTCCATGTGCAGCTTTGCTGCTGCCAAACAGCCCTGCCTCCGCTGCTCCCTAGTGACGCTACCTTAGTGTGGCCTCTGCACCCTTCTTTGCCGTGAAATGGGGACAGCGGCCACCACCCCACCTGAGTAAGGGCTAACGGGTTCACATTCACAAAGCCCACACACGGCACAAAACGCAGAGGGTGCTGCTTCCCCGGTATGAGCCTGCCGTACCGGGCTCAGCAGGCAAGAAGCCCTCAGCAACAACAGGCAGACAGGGCCATCTGCCCACACCAGGCGCCGACCCCAACAAAGCCGGAGCTGCAAACACCCAATAAGGACATTTTCCAAGCCATTTCCTTGGCTCCCTAACAGCCATCTATATGCAGACACTCACTCTGCCTGCGTCTCCCGTGCCTGCCCTCCACCCCCACCCCCGCCAGCATCTGGTCTGGTGCCCACCCTCCGTGTTGCTCTCTGGGCTCAGGCCCAGCCAGCCCATGTGTGCATATGTGTGCGTGTATACACACACATATGTGTAAACACAATTGTTACAGAGAGCAGGGAGCAGCAGGAAGTTTTTCCTAGGCACTCCCACTCTAAGTAATTTTGGCTGCTTCAATCCAAGGATCCATCTGGGCCACTCAACTACCCATCTCTCAGGAGCTAGAACTCCTGGTTTAGGAAAAACACCCCCAGGACCTATATAGGCCTCAGAATCTGCCACACATCACTGTTTGATTCTATCAATCAACTTCTCTCTCTCATTAAAGAAAATTCCATCCGGCCAGGCGCAGTGACTCACGCCTGTAATCCCAGCACTTTGGGAGGCCAAGGCGGGCGGATCACAAGATCAGGAGTTTGAGACCAGCTTGGCCAACATGGTAAAAGAAAACGCCATCCGTCAGATGTCTCAGGACCAGGCTGAGATAGAAAGACCCTGGCTGAGTGGGGAGCTTGATGCTACCGGCCCAGAAGTCCTCCAGGAGTGTGCTCCACAGAGGCATGGGGATTTTGCATGGTGGAGCATGACTGTGTGAATAATTGCAGGATCTCCCACACCCCAAGTCAATCAGCCACACATATGTGTCTGACACTTCCACACCAGCACCACACTAAAGACTCAGTCCTTTGGCCGGGTGCGGTGGCTCATGCCTGTAATCCCAACACTTTGGGAGTCCAAGGCAGGTAGACCACTCAAGGTCAGGAGTTCGAGACCAGCCTGGCCAACATGATGAAACCCCATATCTACTAAAAATACAAAAATTAGCTGGGCATGGTGGCGCGTGCCTATAATCCCAGCTACTTGGGCGGCCGAGACAGGAGAATCGCTTGAACCAGGGAGACAGAGGTTGCAGTGAGCCGAGATCATGCCACTGCACTCCAGCCTGGGTGACAGAGCAAGATCCATCTCAAAAAAAAAAAAAAAAAAAGATTCAGTCCCCGGCTCCACGGCCTGGGTCCCTGTAGGGAATATCCCGAATGCCAGATGGCCCCTAGAGTCCAGGTCAAGGTGGGTGGCTCCTGTAGGGCATACATAGACCCCCAAGGGAGAGGTTTGCCAGCTTCCCAGTGTAGGGAGACAGCGCCAGGCCACAGGCCAGGAGAAGCAGCCCTCAACCTGAGAAGCATAAATGTTCCAGGGGAGGAGCAGCCCCGGGGCTCCCTGACCCACAGAGGACAAACTTCCTCTCAAGTCCCCACCACTTGGAAACTCTGAAGGCCAAGCCAGAGGGCCCAGGGTGCCTCCCCAACCCCTGAATAGCCTACCTAATCCTCCCCCAGGGCCCAGTGCACTGTACTGCAGACCTCATACCTTAAAGATCTGACTGATAACTCTGGACTGCTCTTGAGCCACCCCAAATGTGTGTGGCCCAGAGACATTTTTTTTCTTTTTGAAATAGGGTCTCATTCTGTCGCCCCACACTGAAGTGCAGTGATGCAAGCACGGCTCACTGCAGCCTCAACCTCCGAGGCCCAAGCAATTCTCCCACCTCAGCCTCCTGAGTAGCTGGGGCCACAGGCACGTGCCTGCATGCCCAGCTAATTTTCAAATTGTTTTTGTAGAATTGGGGTCCCCCTAGGTTGCCCAGGCTGGTACTGAACTTCTGGGCTGAAGTGATCCTCCTGCCTCAGCCTCCCAAAGTGCTAGGATTACAGGCATGAGCCACCATGCCTGGCCACATTTGTAACGTTTTGAAGAACAGTCTCAATCACTACAGGAATAACTCATTTGAGTGAACAGTAAGTCCAGTCATCTCCCTTTTACCCAGGTTGGCAGAAACACAAAATGCTGCAGGGCTATTTGTGACTCTGAGGATTTAGAATGTCTCCCCCGACTACCACCAGTACACTGTATGTGGTTTCAGTGCAAGCAACCCAGACTGTCTGATGGTGAGCCCAGAGCATAAGGGTTCAGAAGTCACTGAAGATGGACAAGCTGACTCCAAGACCCAGTGAGCTGCAGAGCACAAAATTCTGCTCCCCTTCTGTCTTCCCAGGGTCTACAAAAGGTCCCAGGTTCACCAACAGGAGCCCTCCAAAATCCATCCCAGACCTTGCCCTAAGCAGAGCAAGAGGGAGCAGAGCCAGGGACCCTGCTGAGTTTTCCTATCCTGGGACTTAATATCAGTATCTGGAGAGGTTCCCACATCCAGATTAGAGAAACAGAACAGGATCACCAAGGACTGGGGCAGAAACAATTTAGCAGGCCAGCTCTTACATCTCCGGTGAAAACCGAAACTCAGACTTGCCTGTCCCACTCCCAGGAGGCCCTGGAGGGGGCAGATTAACCTCTAATGGCAGGAGTAAGGCCTTGGGTCCGGCATCACATGGTATCCAAGCATGGAGAGACAAGAATGCCAGCCAGCTGAGTCAGGCACAGCGCCTGTAATCCCAGCAACTTGGGAGGATGAGGCAAGAGGATCCCTTGAGGCCAGGAGTTCCGCCTGAGCAACATAGTCAAAAAAAAAAAAAAAAAAAACAGAAACATGGCACATGACGTAAGGTGCTCCCCAGCCAGGGGTCACCATCAGAACCTGGACCCCGCCCATCTTCTTCTGGGGCTGGAAGGGCTATACCCAGTACATGCCTCTTGCCCTTAGTGACCCTTTATTGGCTGTGGAGTCTCTTAGGAAGTAGCAATGAATGAAAAATGCAGCTGGAGTGAGGTGGTGTGATGAGATGGAAGGAACATAAGTTAGGGAAACCTGGGTTCTGGTTTGATACAGTCACTAATGAGGGTGACCCTGGTCAATCGCCACCTCCTCCCAGGCAGTCCTATCTGTAAAATTACAGAAATGACAGCATGCAACTGAACAGTCACCAAGACCTAACATTGGACTGGCTGCAATGAATCACAGAGGTAGTTACAGAAACGGGGGCCCATTCCCCAGAATCTCCCCCACTCACCATCCGCACAGCCAATCCTCAGAGCCCACTTAGTAAATGCAGCACCAGGCCTGGGAGGGATTAAGAGTGACCTAACAAACAGCAGGTGTGTGGGGTCTGAGGCAGCTGGGGGCTGCAAACAGGGATCCAGCATCATTCTGATGAGCTGCTCTGTTCCTCGGCGCAGCCCCGTGCAGCCTCCCCGGGAGACCTGCCTCTGCCATCTCCTGCCTTGGCCACACACTTGCACTGAAATCTCATTGCCTGGGATACCCCATCACTCTTGCCTCTGCTGTGACTGAGAGCTTTATCCCCCAAGCTAGTAAGCTGGAGGGAAGGGCAGACATTTGTGCCCAGTGTGAGACATCTGTGCCCCCCTGGTGCCTGGGACACGCAGTAAATACCCTGAGAGCACGCGTGGGGGAATGAAGTCACTCAAGTGTCCATTTGACCTGAAATATTGTCCTACATCTACATTTATCCATCTTGGCCAACTTAATTTTCCTCTCTGAGTCTCAGTTTTCTCACTTGGAAGATGGTAGCCTTGAAACCAATTTTAGTAACGCTTTATCAGCCTACAGTCCCTCCCTATGATATTTAAATGAAATTCACATTAAGTATAGACACACAAAAGTCTGCCTATTTTTCAGGAAAGTTAAAAACCCCAGAAATTCTAAGGAACCGTGGAACCCAGGACTCAAAAGCTCTCGGACTAAGCAGACCCCTTCCAAAGGTGAATGCAGGAAGGAGGACCTGGAACAGAATTGCCAAGGGGAACCACAAGTTCTCAGCACTCTCCATGTCTGGGAACGGATCTGGCCCCAAATCCATTCTTGGCCCCAAGAGGAGAGGGACAGACAGCAGCCAGCTGTCTCCTGAAGACGCCAGTGAGGAGCCTGCAGAAATAATATACATCCCAGGGAAGGCAACAGGGCTGCTGGAACAGGAGACTGGGAAATATGCCACGAGCTCAGCCTCAGGAAGACCTCTGTGGTGCTCAGCCAGTGCTCCCAGTGATCCAAGAGGACAAGAAGTCCAGCCCCTGATCACCCAGGGAAGATGGGAAGAGATTTGCTGTGGGCTCAACAGCCATTCACTGGAGGGGTTCGGACCCAAAGTGCTTCCAGGTCTCTGACTCCCAGGGGTTCCAATGTGCAGGATCCTTCAGAGTCCACCATGGAGAACAGTGCCAGGGTGGAGCCTGGGAGCCAGCTTCCCATGGTCCTTCCCGCAGAAGCAGGGGGTGAACTAGACAGGCCAGGACCACTACCTTGGACTGGTTGTAGCCTTAGTTTAATGATTAATTTTCTAAACAGGCTCAGAAAACTCTGATAAATTCCAATTTACGAGCCTTTTTCACCCATCTCTGTCTCCCGCCTAGGAGACTAATAATCCAGGCTGAGAAGCACAGCCTGCAGACCTGGTCAGAGTGGCCACAGCAGTTCACCCCAAATTCCTGGTGGTGAGGAGGACGCCCTTTACACCCTGCCTGCACCCAACCCTGCCTCACCCACCCTACCCTTGGGGATAGGTGGCCTCAATCCCATACAATAAGGAAAATCTTCTCTGGCTTCTAAGAAGTTAAAATAGCCTGGTTGTGGTGGCTTATACCTGTAATCTCAACACTTTGGGAAGCCGAGGTAGAAGGATCACTTGAGCCCAGGAGTTTGAGACCAGCCTGGGCAACATAATGAAACCCCATCTCTACAAAAAATAAGCCAAATGTGGTGGCGCCCACCTGTCGTCCCAGCTACTTGGGAGGCTGAAGTGAGAGGATGGCTTGAACCCGGGAGGTGGAGGTTGCAGTGAGCCAAGATCACGTCACTGCAGCCTGGGTGACAGAGCAAGACCCTGTCTCAAAAAAAAAAAAATTATACACACACACACACACACACACACATACACACACATATATACATATATGTATATACGTATATATACAGACATATATACATATATACATATATATATATATATATATATATATATAGAGAGAGAGAGAGAGAGAGAGAGAGAGAGAGAGAGAGAGGTTAAAATATTCCTTAAACCTGCTCTGTCCAATATGACAGCCCTAGCGACATGAGGCTATTTAAATTTATTTATTTATTTATTTCAAGACAGAGTCTCACTCTGTCATCCAGGCTGGAGTGCAGTGGTGCAATCTCAGCTCACTGCAACCCCCGCCTCCTGAGTTCAAGCAATTCTGCCGCCTCAGCCCCCAAGTAGCTGGGATTACAGGTGCCCGCCACCACGCCCAGCTAATTTTTGTATTTTTAGTAGAGACGGGGTTTCACCATGTTGGCCAGACTGGTCTCGAACTCCTGACCTCAGGTGATCCACCCACCTCGGCCTCCCAAAGTACTGGGATTACAGGCATGAGCCAACGCGCCCGGCCTAAATTTAATTTAAATGAAGTAAAATTGAAAATTCATTTCCTCGGTCACACTAGCCACACTTCCAGTGCTCAGGGGCCATAGGTGGCTGGTGACCACTGTATTGAATCACAGAGAGAAACAGTTCCACCCTCAAAAAAAAAAAAAAAAAAAAGGCCCATCTGACCACCTGCTTCTGGCTGCCCTAGTTCCTCTGACTGCCCACTTCTTGCTAGATCCTGTGCACAGACACACTGCCTTTTTCTTCTTCTTCTTTTTTTAATCCATAGGATTCTGCCTGATAGAGGACACATTTCTTTTCTTTTCTTTCGTTTTTTTTTTTGGACAGAGTTTTGCTCTTTTGCCCAGGCTGGAGTGCAATGGCATGATCTCGGCTCACTGCAACCTCCACCTCCCAGGTTCAAGCATCTCTCCTGCCTCAGCCTCCTGAGTAGCTAGGATTACAGGCACCCGTCACCATGCCTGGCTAATTTTTTGTATTTTTAGTAGAGACAGGGTTTCACCATGTTGGCTGGTCTCGAACTCCTGATCTCAGGTGATCTGCCCACCTTGGCCTCCCAAAGTGCTCTGCCTCCTGCCTGGCGGACAGACTGGGACTGGCGTGAACCACCGCGCCCGACCTAGAGGACACATTTCTGATCCAGAGAACTCTCAACACCATCAGCCTCATTTTATAGACAAGGAAATCGGAGTCAAGGATGCCCCAGTAAATGGCAGGCTCAGGAGCTGCCCCTGGATCTGTCTGGCTCCCAAGTCTGCCTTCTTTCTGTGATGCCACACTGGCTGCTTCTCATTTCACTCATTAATTCCCTGTTACCCACATTCCCTCCACAACCAATCTATTGTGTTTCACATGAGTCCTTTTGTTTGCATGTGCTCTTGTAAAATGCAATTGGTGTTCCACGGGCAGGTATTTCTTACTCATGTGAACGGTCCTGCAAGATCTCTCACCTGCTTCCTACTCGTTGTTCATACTCAGCACTATGTTTTGAGGATCCTTCTCTGTGGCCTTCTCCTACATCCTGCTCTTCTCCCCAGTAGATTAATGTATTGGGCTTT
The DNA here is from genome assembly GCF_000001405.40 of Homo sapiens. NCBI lineage: Eukaryota > Metazoa > Chordata > Mammalia > Primates > Hominidae > Homo > Homo sapiens. Next base: position 43,117,197 of record NC_000006.12, on the reverse strand, counting down.
TCTGGGGGAGAAGCAAATGAATGCTCTTTTAAACAGGTGGCGGAACAGAGCTGTCCATAGTTGAAGTCTACGGTGGGCATGGTGGCTCACGCCTGATTGTAATCCCAGCACTTTGGGAGGCCGAAGTGGGCAGATCACCTCAGTTCAGGAGCTTGAGACCAGCCTGGGCAACATGGTGAAACCCCGTCCCTATTAAAAATACAAAAATTAGCCAGGTGTACTGTCGGGCACCTATAATCCCAGCTACTCGGGAGGCTGAAGCACGAGAATCGCTTGAACCCAGGAGATGGAGGTTGCAGTGAGTCGAGGTCGCACCACTGCACTCCAGCCTGGGCGATACAGCGAAACTGAGTCTCAAAAAATAAATAAACAAATACATAAAAATAAAAACATAGTTGAAGTCTACAGCCTCTCCTCTGCATGCCCCAGCACCCAGCCCTAGCCTCTATCACCTACTCACCCTCGTCTGTTTCCACCACTCCTCTGGGTATCCTCAGAACCTGGTCACATGTACATGTATCCATATGCGTGCGTGCGTGCGCGCGCACACACACACACACACACACACACACACACACACACACACACACACAAACCAGCTTTTCCTGGCCTTCTTCCTCCTCCACTCAAGCCCAAAAATTCACTAGAGGCTGGACCTCGGCTGGTTTCAAAGGGATAAGAGAAAGAATCAGTCTCATACTTTTATATTTAGAAGCGTTCTGCAAACCACTTCCCGGAGCAGACAAGAGTGGGGAATGTGAGGAAATCACTTTGCTATGTTGTGATGTGGAAAGCACGAGCCGCCCAGGGCCTGTGGCAGCAGGCTGCGGGGACACGACGCAATGTTAGCACATGTGCAGGAGGCGAACATGCCCCTGGACAGCCTGGCCATCCCTTCTCACGGCTGGCCAGCTGGCCGGGAGCAAAGCCACAGACCCTTTCTCAAAGGCCCCTCTTGCGACCCTTCCTTTGGGGAACACAGTGTCTCCACCTATCTAGGCAGCAGCTGTTTCTGGAAACCAACCCTTCTTTCTGGGGAGGGGTCTTACAAGGGGGTTGCTCCACTCAGGCCTATAAGACTAGACTTTAGGCCCAACCTGGGATACAAACAAAGAGAAGGCTCCAGACTGAGGGAGGGGGCTGGAGGGTGCTTAGAAGAGCTACGAGCTTGGAGGGGCAAGGGTACACTCCTGGACCCAGGCCCATGGGAGAGGGGCATGGGAGCAGGATTTTGCACAGGGCCCACTGCCTTTTTTTTTTTTTTTTTTTTGAGATGGAGTCTTGTTCTGTCACCCAGTTTGGAGTGCAGTGGCGCGATCTTGGCTCACTGCAACCTCCGCCTCCTGGGCTCAAGCAATTCTCCCATCTCAGCCTCCCGAGTAGCTGACACCCGCCACAGTGCCAGGCTAATTTTTGTATTTTTAGTACAAACAGGGTTTTTCCATGTTGGTCATGGCTGGTCTTGAACTTCTGACCTCAAGCAATCTGCCCATCTCGGCCTCCCAAAGTGCTGGGATTATAGGTGTGAGCCACCCCGCCCAGCCCCCACTGCCCCTTTCTGAAGGCAGATCTCCTCCTGCCATCCAAAGCTCTCCTCGCAGCCATCTCTGCGGCTGGGAAAATGCTGAGTAACAATGCACCGGAGACAAGGGGAACAGATCTTGCAGGAGCCATCAACTGCAGCCATGGTTGTTGCTCAAATATTACTCACAGGTACTGGAGCCAGCCCAGTGTTATTAGGTGAGCCCTGGGGGCACAGGGGGATGAGGACAGGCCACCTGCTCGGCTACAGTCAAACCATCAGATCTTCCCAGATACTTCCTAGTCTCCTTACAAACTCCATTTTACTGCTTAAAATATAAACTTCCTAATAAGTTTATATTTTAAATATTAATGTATATTTTAATGCATTAATTTTATTTAATCTCTTAACTACATTACTAATGATTGTTCCTTTATTTTTAAGGAAAATAACCAAAAAAGAGTCATACTTTAAAAAAAATCAGCTGTTTAGAAAAAGCATTCTGGCTAAAGATAGCAAAATAAGTATTTTAATCTTCTAATCAATAACAATAGATGAAAAAAACAAACTGATGAATAAAGGACAGAAACAACTCCTTGTAAAGTTATTTTTTTGTAAAGTTTTTTTTTTTTTGAGACAAAGTCTAGCTCTTGTTGCCCAGGCTGGAGTGCAATGGCAAGATCTCGGCTCACTGCAACCTCCGCCTCCCAGGTTCAAGTGACTCTCCTGCTTCAGCCTCCTAAGTAGCTGGGATTACAGGCACGTGCCACCATGCCCCGCTAATTTTTTTGTATTTTTAGTAGAGACAGGGTTTCACCATGTTGGCCAGGCTGGTCTCGAACTCCTGACCTCAGGCAATCCGCCTGCCTAGACCTCCCAAAGAAGTTATTTTTAAAAGCACCAAAATCTTGCAACTCATCACCAGATGCCAAAAGCCTAAGGACAGCCCACTTCAGAGGGAAACATAAAGCATAAAGCACACGCGGACGGCTGAGAAAAGGGCTCCTAGGGGTGGCTGATGCAATCGCTGAACTGAATAGCCAAAAAAATGACAAAAAACCTCAAGTTTATTTCATGCCTACTCCCTTGATCTTTCAGTCAGGGTCTGGAAGGCACCGAGATCTGGCTTCACTCAAGTCTGGAACTGGCTGTGCCCCCATTCCAGGGGGTACCTCTTACGGACCTCCAAAGTCACACACAGACAGAGACAGACAGGAGAGAGACAGAGGGAGAAACAGAGGGAGACAGGGAGATAAGATAAGGGAACAGAAGAAATTGAGAGAGACAGAGAAGGGGAGACTGACAGAGAGAGAGAGAGAGAGACAGACAGACAGACAATGTGAGACCCAGGCCCTGGCAGACAGATGGAGGTGGTGAGAGATCAACATGCAGAGACACAGACAGAGAGAAACTGAGAGACAGAGATCAAGTAACATAGAATCATAGAGAGACAGAGACAAAGGGACAAGAAACAGCACGCACACGTGACACACGCACATGCATGCACACATGGAGCTCCCCATGCCTGCAGGGCAGGTCCCAGCCCATTTAACCCAGCTGCCCCTGGCAGGTCTGTCCTGTGTTTCTAGCAGGGGGACCCTGCCCACCCCCTCCCACCACCCGCCCCAGCAGCCCTGGGGCCGCAGGGACTCCAGACTGAGTCCCCGGCCACAGGCCCCGGGGCTGCTCAGGGTAACACTAGATTCTGAAGGTTACAGCTTGTCTGTTGGTGGAAGGCCAGAGGGAGTTAAAGAGAGGGGCGGAGGCTCTATATATACACCAGATTCAGACCATTTATAATGGAGAGCCCTCAAATTAGAGGCTCCTGGTAAATAATTCACCAGGAAGAATACAGTACCTTCCCTGGGCTCATCCATTATTCATCAAGATAAATGCGCCGTACTGTTAAACTTCCTGACATCTAAAATGGTCTGAGCCATTAGGCCAGGAGTGAGACAACAGCAGAGCAATTTCCATCCAGCTTTTCCAGAACCCCTGACCCAGCACTCCTGCTACTTTTGGAGCTTAAGTTGCTGCTCCTTAAGCAAGGGCAAAGCACTTGGCTTCCAGAAAGGGCCAGGCCCGGGCTCTGACTGTGAGATCCCAAAGGCAGGCACATACCCCCAGCTCCCAAGAGCCTAGGGCCAGAAGGAAACAACCGTGCCCAGAAAAGTCTTAGGTAAAACCCTTGTGTTCACCAGACCCCAGAAAGAAAAGGGAAAAGGAAAACACTTTTTTTTTTTGAGATGGAGTACCGCTCTGTCACCCAGGCTGGAGTGCAGTGGTGCGATCTTGGCTCACTGCAACCTCTGCCTCCTGGGCTCAAGTGATTCTCCTGCCTCAGGCTCCCTAGTAGCTAGGACTACAGCTACGTGCCACCATACCTGGCTAATTTTTGTATTTTTAGTAGAGACGGGGTTTCACCATCTTGGCTAGGCTCGAACTCAAACTCCTGGCCTCAAACGATCCACTCGCCTCGACCTCCCCAAGTGCTGGGATTACAGGTGTGAGCCACCACACCTGGCATAGGAAAATACCTTGTTTGTATCTGTCTAAGGGCAATACTGTTCTGAAGAGTATCAAAGAAGAGCACTTTGGGAGGCTGAGATGGGAGGAGCTCAGGAATTCAAGACCAGCCTAAGCAGCACAGCAAAACCCTGACTCTAAAAGAAGAAAAAAATTAGCTGTGTGCAGTGGCACGTGCCTATAGTCCCAGTTACCTGGGAGGCTGAGGCGAGAGGATCACATAGGCCCAGGAATTCAAGATTACAGTGAGCTATGATTGTGCCACTGCACTGCAGCCTGGGTGACAGACCATGACCCCATCTCTTAAAAAGAAAAAAAGGCTCAAAGAATTTGACTTTGATGCCAGCCACCAAAGGCAGAAAGACCTACATCCTAGACTTGGCTCTGAGCAAGTCATCTTGTTGTCTAGGCCTTGGTTTTCCCAAATCTAAAATGGGGCCGGGTGCAGTGGCTCACACCTGTAATCCCAGCACTTTGGGAGGCTGAGGTGGGCAGATCACCTGAGGTCAGGAGTTTGAGACCAGCCTGGCCAACATGGTGAAACCCCATCTCTACTAAAAATACAAAAATTAGCCAGGTGTGGTGGTAAGGGAACAGAAGAAATTGAGAGAGGCAGAGAAGGGGAGACTGAAAGACAGAGAGAGAGAGACAGATAGACAATGTGAGACCCGGGCCCTGGCAGACAGATGGAGGAGGTAAGAAATCAACACGCAGAGACACAGACAGAGAGACACTCCCAAGTAGTCCCAGCTACTTGGGATGCTGAGGCAAGAGAATCACTTGAACCTGGGAGGCGGAGGTTGCAGTGAGCCAAGATCACGCCACTGCACCCCAGCCTGGGTGACAGAGGGAGACTACGTCTCTAAATAAATAAATAAATAAATAAATAAATAAATAAATAAATAAAACTGGCTAGCAGCAACACCTGCTCTCTATCCTGCAGAGCCTCTACAAGGATGAAATGCCTCTGGAAAGTTTACAAAACATGTAACTGTAAGGTGCTGGCATACAGTGTAGATGCAGGGTGGAGATGAGGTTAAAAGTTCAGAGACTGGAGTCAGACTACCTGTATTCAAATACACTCCCTCACTTACCAAGAGTATGACCTTGGACAAGCTGTTTATCCTTTCCATGCCTTCATTTTTGTATCTATAAAATGGTGCTAATAGGCCAGGTGCAGTGGCTCACGCCTGTAATCCCAGCACTTTGGGAGGCCAAGGTGGGAGGACTGCTTGAGCTCAGGGGTTCAAGACCAGCCTGGGCAACACAGTAAGACCTCATCTCTACTAAATATTAAAAAAAAAAAAAAAAAGAATTAGCTGGGCATGGTGGTATGCACCTGTGGTCCCAGCTACTCAGGAGACTGAGGTGGGAGGATCACTTGAGACCAGGAGATCAGGTTGAGGCTGCAGTGAGCAATGATCGTGCCACTGCATCCCAGCCTGTGTGACAGAGTGAGACCTGTCTCAAAATAAATAAAATAAAAGATGCAAGTAACAGTACTGGCCTCATAGGCTTGTTGCAAAAAGAAAATTCACATGGTAACAGAGGTAGCAGTGTGAAACAGTGCCTGGCACATAGGAAGTATTATGTGAGTTTGGACTCTTAGCCATTATTTATTGTCATCATTATATTCAGGATTTTTTCATTTTTTAGAACCTGCACTCCATCACAACCATCCCTAAGCCAGCACTGGCCTTTGTCAGCATTCCTCTACACAGACCATTTGGAGATGCTAAGTGCCTGCTTGATTTCCCTCATCCAATCTCTGCTGTAGTGGTTCTCTCTGAACAGACACCCTGAGGTCTGAAGCTCTGTCCCTCAGCTGCCTGATGCTCCACCTGATCACTAAATACAGGTACGTGGGACTCCACAGTTCAAGAGGTGCCACCCTGTGCTGGTGAAGTTCAGAGGGGTAGCTACTGATTGCTGGCAGCTTTGCATTCTGTCTACCTTGGGCACCTCCAGACAATGCTCTGCTTGCATTCCTAATAGGGGTGCAGATTAGCAGTTGCTTATAGTTTCATTTACTTCCCCCAGAAGCTGTTCAAAACAGAAGTACCTTCAGCATGAACCAAAATCAGAGTGAGCCTATCTGGGTGAAAATGGACCCAGTCATCTTGGTATGAAGCAGGCCTCTGGCCTCAAGGAACACAAACAGTTATTAGGTGAAGAGAACACAGTAATGTTCATGCACCAATGAATGCCTAGAGATCACTATTAGACTTCAGCTTTCCGATCCTAGGAGGCCCCGCCAACAGAGGCCTGGAAAGTCTATGCTATCTAAAGGAGAATGCCTGACTACGTAAGATACAAGGTAGAAATGACCGTCAGCAGCAATGACAAGTCAGACAAATGACTTTAAGTAAATGACAGAAGAGGGGTTGCTGGCCTTGATATATGAAAAGTAACAAATCATTCATAAAAACTGTTAAAATTCGGCCAGGCACAGTGGGTCAAACCTGTAATCCCAGCACTTTGGGAGGCCGAGGCGGGTGGATCACCTGAGGACAGGAGCTCAAAACCAGCCTAACATGGTGAAACCCTGTCTCTAATAAAAATACAAAAAAATTAGCCAGGCAAGGTGGCACATGCCTGTAATCCCAGCTACTTGGGAGGCTGAGGCAAGAGAATCGCTTGAACCCAGAGGCGGAGGTTGCAGTGAGCCAAGATTGCGCCACTGTACTCCAGCCTGGGCACTAAGAGCAAAATTCCATCTCAAAAACAAAAACAAAAACAAAACAGCAACAACAACAACAAAAAAAAAACCTGCTAAAATTCTAATAGAAACATGGTCAAGACAATATGAAGAGTTCTCAAAACAAACATAAATGATTAATAAATATAGGAAAATACTCCAGGCCAGGCATGGTGGCTTACACCTGTAATCCCAGCACTTTGGAAAGCTGAGGCAGGCAGATCACGAGGTCAAGAGTTCGAGACCAGCCTGGCCAGCATGTATTTTGTATTCTAAACATACAAAAAATTAGCTGGGCATGGTGTTGCGCGCCTGTAATCCCAGCTACTCAGGAGACTGAGGCAGGAGAATCACTGGAACCTAGGAGACGGAGGTTGCTGTGAGCCAAAATCACGCCACTGCACTCTAGCCTGGGCGATACAGCGAGACTCTGTCTCAAAAAAAAAAAAAAAAAGGCCGGGCATGGTGGCTCACGCCTGTAATCTCAGCACTTTGGGAGGCCGAGGCAGGTGGATCACGAGGTCAGGAAATCGAGATCATCCTGACTAACACGGTGAAACCCCGTCTCTACTAATAATACAAAAAATTAGCCGGGCGTGGTCGTGGGCACCTGTAGTCCCAGCTACTCGGGAGGCTAAGCCAGGAGAATGGTGTGAACCCGGGAGGCAGAGTTTGCAGTGAGCTGAGATCACGCCACTGCACTCCTGCCTGGGTGACAGAGCAAGACTCTGTCTCAAAAAAAAAAAAAAAGAAAATACTCCAATGCACTAGTAATCTAAGAAATGTAAATTAGAACGAGTTCTACCCATCAAATGAAGGCCAAGATTTTAAAAATAACACTCAACGCTGGTAAGCATATGGAGAAAATAGTCCTTCTACTTTGCTGGAGGGAATATAAATTATAATAAATCCCTTCTGGAAAATGTTTGGTAATATTGTACTAATGTTCTAAAAAATTTATGTCCTTTCTCCTTGCAGAATTGGCTGATTCCAGTTCCAGGATAGGAAATGTACAAGAGAAGCCTAGAACTCCATCTTATCATACAAGGAAACAAGCAAAGACTAGCAGGGTCTCATCAAAAGGTCCAGGGGAAAAAAAAGATTCAAGGCCTGCTGGGTATGATGCCATGCTCCTGTAGTCCCAGCTACTTGAGTGGCTCAGGTGGGAGGATTGCTTGAGCCCCGGAGTTCAAGTTCAGCTTGGACAACATAGCAAGACCCTATCTCTTTAAAAAAATAAGATAAATAAAAAGGTTCAGGCTCAGCTTGAAGAGGCTCCCATCAGCCAATGATAGGACCACTTAAGCATTCGTAAGGGTAAGAACCACATGGACTAAAACACATCAAATAGGTTTAAAATCCGTAAGTGTACAGTGATGCTTAACACAAAACACTGAAAGTCTCTCACTGGCCACCTTTGAAGAATGTTAGAAAACCAACTCATTATTTTGAAAATCAGTAAAGAATCAAGCATTTATTTTTCCCTTTCTTGAACAGCTATATCTGTGGGTAACCAAACAGTTAATGAGGGGAGATTGGTGTTTATAGAAGTTTCCAGCTAATAAACAGAATACCATGATTTTACAACCCCCTAATGAAATAATGGATCTAGCAATGATTAGTGATGGCTTCTCATTCCAAACAGACAACCAGATATTGTACCTACTGAGGTACACATAAAGAAAAAACAAAATCAAATCTGAACTTGATGAAGCCTCTACATCTAACTCATTATTGAAAAGTTTAACAAGTCTGGGCACAGTGGCTCATGCCTGGAATCCCAGCACTTTGGGAGGCCGAGGCGGGTGGATCGCTTGAGGCCAGGAGTTCGAGACCAGCCTGGGCAACACGGTAAAACCCCGTCTCTACAAAAATATTACAGAAATTAGCCAGGCATGGTGGTATGCGCCTGTAGTCCCAGCTACTTGGGAGGCTGAGATGGGAGGATCATTTGAACCCAGGAGGTGGAGGCTGCAGTGAGCTGTGCTCGTGCCACTGCACTCCAGCCTGGGCAACAAACTGAGACCCTGTCTTTAAAGGAAAAAAAAAAAAAGGTTGGCCGGGCGCGGTGGCTCATGCCCATAATCCCAGCACTTTGGGAAGCCAAGGCAGGAGGATCACCTGAGGTCAGAAGTTTGTGACCAGCCTGGACAGCATGGGGAAACCCCGTCTCTACTAAAAATACAAAAATTAGCCAGGCATGGTGGCAGGCGCCTGTAGTCCCAGCTACTCAGGAGGCTGAGGCAGGAGAATCGCTTGAACCTGGGAGGCGGAGGTTGCAGTGAGCCAAGATTGCACCATTGCACTCCAGCCTGGGCAACAAGGGCGAGACTGTCTCAAAAAAAAAAAAAAAAAAAGTTAAAGCAGCTTTCTGGAACAAATTTGGAAAACAAGACAGAAGTTAGATAACAATGTGCCACCAACTGAAATAATAATCGTGAACACACATTCTCTTTATCTTCTATTACTCCCGTAAATAACTGTTAAAACCCTAATACCGCTATTTAACATTTCATGTGCTTACAACTCTGTCTTCGCCACTAGATTCTAAGCTTCCTGAGGACAGATGCAGATCTCGCACTTGGTCTCCTCCATGGCAGATGCCTCGCCCGTGAGAGGTGCTCAGGAAATATCGGCCGATTTGTGGTGGTTTTACTGAGCCAGATAATTTGGTCGCATTATCCCAACATGATGTGGAACCAGCAGGGGTCAAAGCCCAATATGGGATCCTGGTAGGCAATTATATTAATTATCATTCTTAATTCAACAATCATTTACTTAGAGCCTACCATGTGCCAAGTACTTCATAAGACACTGGGGACAGAGAGAGAAACACACAATTACTGTCTTTAAGTGTCTCAGTTTAGTAGGAGAGTCAGGCAAGTAAACATATAATTAAAGTAACAGCTACCACTTACTGACCACTTACTGTTCCAAACATTTAACCATATTAACTTGTTATAATGCTAATGCCCATCTGGTAGGGTAGGTACTATGATCCCCATTATGCAGATAAGGAAACGAGACAAAGAAAGGTAAAGCAGTTTGCTAAACATCACACAGCTGATGAGTAACAGATGCCGGCTTCAAATCTCAGGTCTTCTGGCCTGAGGAAAGTCTATCATAACGTGTAGGCTTTGCTGTATTATCACACAGGATGATGGGTGGGTGCAAAGGGCACACAAGAGAAGCATCTAAGTCAGAGTCAGGGGATTAAAAAGTCAGGGAGTCCAGGCGAGGTGGCTCACACCTGTAATCCCAGCACTTTGGGAGGTCGAGGATGGCAGATCACCTTGAGGTCAGGAGTTCGAGACCAGTCTGGCCCACAAGGTGAAAATCCGCCTCTACTAAAAATACAAAAATTAGCCAGGCATGGTGGTGCACACCTATAGTCCCAGCTACTCAGGAGGCTGAGGCAGGAGAATCGCTTTAACCTGGGAGGTGGAGCTTGCAGTGAGCCGAGATGGCGCCACTGCACTCCAGCCTGGGTGACAGAGCAAGACTCTGTCTCAAAAAAAAAAAAAATTCAGGGAAGAGGCTGGGCATGGTGGCTCACACCTGTAATCCCAGCACTTTGGGAGGCCAAGGTGAGGAGAGCACTTTAGGTCAGGAGTTCAAGACAAGCCTGGCCAACATGGTAAAACCCCGTCTGTACTAAAAATACAAAAAATTAGCCGGGTGTCACGCCTGTAATCCCAGTTACTTGGGAGGCCGAGGTTGCCATGAGTCGAGATCACACCACTGCACTCCAGCCTGGGTGACAGAGCAAGACTCTGTCTCAAAAAAAAAAAAAAAAAAAAAGGCAGGGAGGAATCTTGGAAGGATCTTCAACATAAGGTTTTACGAAGGAAAGGGGCGGGTGTGGTGGCTCATGCCTGCTATAATCTCAGCACTTTGAGCATTCTGGGAGGTCGAGGTGGAGAGATCACTTGAGGCCAGGAGTTCGAGACCAGCCTGGGCAACACAGTAAGACCCCATTATCTAGGCATGGTGGTGCAAGCCTGTAGTCCCAGCCACCTGGGAGGCTGCAACAGGAGGATCCCTTGAGTCCAGGAGGTCAAGGCTGCGGTGAGCTGTGATTGTGCCAGGGCACTCCAGCCTAGGTAATCGAGCAAGACCCTGTCTCAAAAAACAAACAAACAAAAACAAAAAAAGGAACGGGACTTGGCAAATAGAACAAGTCAGAAGCACAAAGACCAGGCATGATCAGAGAACTCTGAGTAATTCAGAATGCTCAGGGTTAAAAGGATGAGGAGAAGGAAGCCCACCAAGAGGCCATTAGAACTCCACTTTGGGGCAAGGAGGCAAAGGAGGTGAAATGCAAACCCACCCTGCTCAGGCTGTCCCCCAACAACAAAAAAAAATCACAACCACAATGAGTCCCTGTTTCCAAGGAGGTGGTTGCTAGGGTAGGAAATGGACTGAAGAAGCTCTTTGTCATGGAGAGAATGGCAGGCGCAGTCACAGAAGGCACGGCTACGGGATAATGCCATACCTGCTCTATCAGTTTCCCAGGGCTGCCATAACAAATTACCACAACTGGGTGGCTTAAAATAACAGAAATTTATCCTCTCGCAGCTCTGGAGGCCAGAGTGCAAAATCAAAGTGTTGGTGAGGTTGGATCCTTCTGGAGGGCACAGAGGGAGAGTCTGTTCCACGCCTCTGTCCTTGCTCCTGGTGGCTGTCAGCAATCCCTGGTGCTCCTTGGCTTGTAGCCACATCACTCCAACCTCAGCCTTCGCTATCACAAGCCGTCTTCCTGTGGTGTACTTCTGTCTCTGGGCCTTTTCTCTTCACATGGGGCGCCACCAGTCATACAGGATTCGTCATTCACCTTAATGAATTGATCTTACCTTGATTATATCTACAGAGACCCTAATTCCAAATAAAGTCATATTCACAGGTACTGAGGCTTAGGACTTCAACATGTATTTTGGGAGGACACAATTCACCCTCTAATATCTGCTATTCTGCAAGTTGCTTTTTTTTTTTTTTTTTTTTGCTATACAGTTAACCACAGATGTCTTTCCATGTCTGTTCATATAATTCGACCTCATTCACTTCAACCACTGTGTATTATTTCACTGTATCAATTACCCATAACCTATTTATCCAATACCCTAATAATGGGCATTCAGATGGTTTTCCTTTTTTTTTTTTCTTTTTGTCATTATGAAGAATATTCTTATTCTCTGTACAGGCATCTATGCACACTGATAATGAGAGGGTTTCTGTAGGATGACTTCCAAAGAGAATGGAAACAAAGAGAATATAATTTCAAGCTTTTGATAAATGACATCCAGCATTATCTCCAGAGAAGTTTTTTTAAAAAAAAAAAAAAGGCTGGGCTTGGTGGCTCATGCCTATAATCCCAGCACTTTGGGAGGCTGTGGCGGGTGGATCACAAGGTCAGGCGATCGAGACCATCCTGGCTAACACGGTGAAACACCGTCTCTACTAAAAATACAAAAATTAGCTGAGCATGGTGGCGGGCACCTGTAATCCCAGCTACTCAAGAGGCTGAGACAGGAGAATGGCATGAACCCAGGAGGCGGAGATTGGAGTGAGCGGAGATCACGCCACTGCACTCCAGCCTGGGCGACAGAGTGAGACTCCGTCTCAAAAAAAAAAAAAAAAAAAAAAGTTGTGCTAATTTACGCTTTCTTAACCAACACTGATGCTTAATATCTTTGTCAACCTGAGAGACATAAAATAATACTTTGTGGCTGGGCATGGAGGCTGACACCTGTAATCCCAGCACTCTGGGAGGCTGAGGTGAGCGGATCACTTCAGGTCAGGAGTTCAAGACCAGCCTGGGCCAACATGGTTTTCACCATGTTGTATTTTGTATTTTCTCTACTAAAAATACAAAAATTAGCTAGGCGTGGTGGCATGTGCCTGTAATCCCAGCTTCTCAGGAGGCTGAGGCAGGAGAATTACTCCCTCCCAGGGGGCAGAGGTTACAATGGGCCTAGCTCACACCATTGTACTCCAGCCTGGGCGACAGAGCAAGAATCCATCTCATAAATAAATAAATAATTTTAAAAAAATACTTTGTTTTAATTAGCATTGTTTCTTCTTAAGAAAATAAAGCAATTTTTCATTTTTAACTGGTTAGCTAAATTTCTCCCCCACCCTCAACCAAGATTTCAATTTAAATTGGTACTTGGGGAACAGAGAATATGAGATATTTTATTGCCCTAAATTTCTTATTGTCCATTTTATGTTCAACTTTGTTGCCTTATTTTCCTTACTGTTACCTTATTATTATTTTGTAATTAATAAGATCAGAAATATAAGATCTGATTTTCTGTATTACATGTGGCACTCACCCTCCCTCCTCCAGAATAGTCATTAAATTACTGAATGACTTATATGTGCCAGGCACTGCTCTAAGTACTAAGAATACAGCAGTGAACAAGACAGTGAAGGTTCCTGTTCCTAATCGTTACTTCACCGAAGAAGAAAAAGTGTTTGCACATGATTTGAGAAAACAGATGGGAGTGAGATTTTCACCCCGGGTGCAGACTTGCCTCAAAATTAATTTAAATACTGTCCTATTTTGATCCATTTGAGAGCCTTCTAGGGAAAATCTACTCTGTTCTCCAGGTGTCCTAGAAGGATTCACCAAAGGAACAGTGTGGTTAGTGAAGGTGGAGCAGGAATAGTTGCCAGACAGCTGTGCCCCTTCCCTGGAGGGAAGAGTCATGCCCCCAGGCACCCAGTGCCTTCAAAGGTTAAGGCTGTGAGTTCAGAGAACAAAGGAAGTTTTAAGGAAGAACAACTCCTCCCCACTCCAGGTAAAGGGGGATGTAACTGAAGCATCACTCCCAGCCTCACTCCACCTCCTTCCATCAGCCCCAAGGTGGGGGGATGTCTGATTGGGCATATTTGACTCCGATCCTTCCTCCTTTCACTTGGGAGTGGGGGGTCTGCTCCACCTGCAGGGAGCACACATTTTTTATAGGTGGCTACACACACACACACACACACACCTGTAATACTCCAGCACTGCTATGACAAGGGAGTAAGTCTGCCTAACTCAAGGATGAATAAGACATTTATCCACTTCAGATTAAAGCCTTGTTGCTTGCTCAACCTAGCCTTTAAAACAAATAAAAGTGATACTCTGATCTCCATCATCCAATCCCTGGTCTGTCTGTTTTTCTCCCTCTCTTTCACCCCCTTCGACTGGTTTTAAACTCAGAAGGGAGAAGGGTATTTACTGGTGCTGTCAATACAGTTTCCATTATAATGGTTTATGCCTGAGCATTTTGTTTTTATTTTTATTGATTCTGTGAATGGATAAATGTTCCTGTTGTATTTTCTAAATGGTTACTTGCTGATAAGCAGCAAACCTTCTGGGTTTTGTGTAGGTTTTGTATTTGCCCAAATGACTCAGTTCTCTCACTGATTGTAGTAGTTTTTCAGTTGATAATTGGGTTTCCCATGTAAAAAAGGTACCTCTGCAAAAAACATGAACTTTATTTAGACTTTCAGTCTTTTTTTTTCCTGTAAGTGACAGGGTCTTGCTTAGTTGTCCAAGCTGCAATCCTCCCACCTCAGCCTCCCAACTAGCTGGGACGATGGGTACACGCCACCTGGCTATATTCTTTCTTATAGCATTATTTCAGCTAAAATAATAATAAATAGTAGTGACTTTATTATTTTAATTTAGTAACTTCATTTTAATGCAAATAGCATTGTATTTCATTTTTAAGTATAATGATGGCTATGTTTGTTTTTTTAATCAGAAATGGATGTTAATTTATATCTAGTGTCATTTTTGCCTCTATTGAGAGAATTGTGTGACACCTTTGCGGTTGGTTTGTTTTTTTTTGGTTTTTTTTTGGTGGGGTAGGGGGAACAAAGTCTTGCTCTGTTGCCCAGGCTGGAATGCAGTGGTAGGATCTCAATGCACCGCAACCTCCACTTCCTGGGTTTAAGCAATTCTCCTGCCCCAGTCTCCCAAGTAGCTGGTATTACAGGGACCCGCCAACACAACCGGCTAATTTTTTTTTTTCTTTGAGACAGAGTCTTGCTCTGTTGCCCAAGCTGGAGTGCAGTGGCACGGCCTTGGCTCACTGCAACCTCCATCTCCCGGGTTCAAGCAATTCTCCTGTCTAAGCCTCCCAAGTAGCTGGGACTACAGGCGCCCGCCACCATGCCCAGCTAATTTTTGGGTTTTTAGTAGAGATGGGGTTTCACTGTATTGGTCGGGCTGGTCTCAAACTCCTGACCTCAGGTGATCCGCCCACCTCGGCCTCCCAAAGTGCTGGGATTACAGGCATGAGCCACCTCACCTGGCCAAGAGATGCTCCCAAGAACGGGCTGGAACCACCCACCTCCAGAGTTGGAGGCAAGCACACCAATCAACTGCAAGACACAGAGGGTCAAGTGGCACTCTGTATTTTTTTTAGTAGAAACGGGGTCTCACCATGTTGGCCAGGCTGGTCTCAAACTCCTGACCTCAGATGATCTGCCCGCCTCGGCCTCCCAAAGTGCTGGGATTACAGGCGTGAACCACCACGCCCAGCCACCTCTGACGTCTTATGTTGATGAGTTATAAAGGGTAAGCCACCCATGCATTTTTGGGAATACATCCTTTACTTGTTTATGGCACATTACCGTTTATCATAGTGTTAGATTTAATTTTCAAGTATTCTATATTAGACTTTTACACCAACGTTTCTAAGTAGTGTGGTTTTCTGCACTGTCAGCATTTGAGAACAAAGCTATATCAACTTTGTGACACACACAGGCTGTTGTCCATCTGTTCCTTGGCTCTGTGACAGTCTCTACAAAGCATTTACAGGCTCTACTTCTTCAACATTTTTCAAAATTTTCCCTCAAAACTATTTGATACAACTATCTTTCTTTTTTTTTTTATTTTTTTTTTTGAGACGGAGTCTTGCTCTGTGACCCAGGCTGGAGTGCAGTGGCGCAATCTCAGCACACTGCCAGCTCTGCCTCCCGGGTTCATGCCATTCTCATGCCTCAGCTTCCCGAGTAGCTAGGACTACAGGTGCCCACCACCACGCCCGGCTAATTTTTTGTATTTTTAGTAGAGACAGAGTTTCACCATGTTAGCCAGGATGGTCTCAATCTCCTGACCTTGTGATCCGCCCGCCTCTGCCTCCTAAAGTGCTGGGATTACAGGCGTGAGCCACCGCGCCCAGCCTCTTTCTTTCCACCGCGCCCAGCCTCTTTCTTTCTTTCTTTCTTTTTTTTTTTTTGAGACAGAGCTTCGCTCTTGTTGCCCAGGCTGGAGTGCAATGGTGCGATCTCAGCTCACAGCAACCTCCGCCTCCCGGGTTCAAGCTTCCGGAGTAGCTGGGATTACAGGCATGCGCCACCATGCCCGGCTAATTTTGTATTTTTAGTAGAGACGGGGTTTCTCCATGTTGATCAGGCTGGTCTCGAACTCTGGACCTCAAGTGATCTGCCCGCCTCGGCCTCCCAAAGTGCTGGGATTACAGGCGTGAGCCACCGCACCCAGTGATACAACTATCTTTCAATCGTTTTTAAGAGTTACTGTCTATCCAGTCATTTTAATTTTTTTTTTCACATCTGCTTAGTTTTTCATTTAGTTAAGTATTAAGGACCAGCTAATCAACTCATTAGATTGGTCAAGGCAAGACACTTGAACTACACAGCAGGATTTAAAAAGCAGTTGGTTTTTGGTAGTTCTCTGGTAACCACACAAACACATACACACAAATTTGTAGAGTACTCTGAATATAGGATTTCCCCCGTGATCTTGTATAATGCCCTGTTCACAATCTGCAGTATTTTGGAAATTATATAAATTGGACACGGCCAAATTAAAGATATCTCATAAACTCCTATAAAGTATTTGGGAACTTCAGCTGTATTCCCAAAAAAATCAGTTTTAAACTATAAAGACAAAAATGCATATAAAATCAAAACAGATTTAACAGACATCTTTGAAAAAAATCAAATTACAGTTCAATTTTCTACTTTTTCAAATATGACTAAAAAAAAAGTTACAAGTAGTAATGTCTATCATTTTTTTTTAAAAAAACCCTAATGATTTTTTTTTTTTTTTGAGATGGAGTCTCGCTCTGTCACCCAGGCTGGAGTGCAGTGGTGTGATCTCAGCTCACTGCAGGCTCCGCCTCCTGGGTTCACACCATTCTCCTGCCTCAGCCTCCTGAGTAGCTGGGACTATAGGCACCCGCCACCACGCCCAGCTAATTTTTCATATTTTTAGTAGAGACGGGGTTTCACTGTGTTAACCAGGATGGTCTCCATCTCTTGACCTCGTGATCCGCCCGTCTCAGCCTCCCAAAGTACTGGGATTACAGGCCTGAGACACTATGCCCAGTCATGATTTTTTTTTAAGAGACAGGGTCTCAGGCCAGGTGCAGTGGTTCACAGCTGTAATCCCTAAATCTCTACTAAAAATACAAAAAACTAGCCAAGCGTGGTGGCACATGCCTGTAATCCCAGACACCTGGGAGGCTGAGGCAGGAGAATCGTGCCATTGCATTCCAGCCTGGGCAACAAGAGTGAAACTCCATTTCAGAAAAAAAAAGAGATGGAGTCTCAAAAGCTGGTCTCGAACTCCTGCACTCAAGTGATCTGCCTGCCTCGGCCTCCAAAAGTGCTGGCATTACAAGTGTAAGCCACCACCCCCAGCCAGATTCTTTAATAAATTTCAGTCATTATATTTCCCTGGCACAGATTTATTAGCATAGCACCAAACATGGTAACCCCGATAAATATTAAAATATTTTCCTATCACAATGATCACAAATCTAATTATTAGTATACATTTCCTTAAATGGTAGCCCTCTGTTAAATGGTAAGCTCTCTGGGGACAGTGAATTTTTTCATCCCATTCCCTGCTCTATCTATATCCCTAGTACCTACTGGGTACCTAGAATGTACTCAAGAAATAGCTGTGGGCCAGGCGCAGTGGCTCATGGCTGTAATCCCATCACTTTGGGCAGACTGCTGGAGTTCAGGAGTTTGAGACCAGCCTGGGCAACATGGTGATACCCTGACTCTATAAAAAAATTTTTTTAATTAGCCAGGCATGGTGGTGCTTGCCTGTAGTCCCAGCTACTCAGGAGGCTGAGGTGGGAGGATTGCTTGAGTCTGGGAAGTCGAGGCTGCAATGAGCCATGATTGTGCCACTGCACTCCAGTCTGGGTGACAGAGTGAGACCCTATCTCAAAAAAAAAAAAAAAGGAAAAATAGTTGGGAAGCTATGAATGAAATTAAAGCCTCTTTTTTTTTCTTTGTTTTACCTATTGTCCTTTTATTTTTCTACATTAGAATTGCCAAAGTCACATTTTTTTTCCTTTTTTTTTTAAGTACTGGATCCTAAATGACTTATCTATTTTATATTTTTAATTTCAAATTTATTAATTTCAAAGTTGTATTCAAAAGAAAATTAATAATCGTAAATTATTTCCTAAAAAATGAGACTGAAATAAATGAAAATAAATTAATCTATTGGCCTAAAGTTAGAAAAAAGAATAAAACAAACTTTGCCATTATTTTAGGTTTGTATTATGTAAAGAACATGAAACTTTCTTATTCAATCTAAACTCCATTTCAGTTGGAGACTTATTCCACTGAAATTTATCATCATGACTGATATATCTGTCTTTGCTTTTATCTGTTTCACATTTTAATATTATAATGCTTCCTTTGTTGTAAATATGATTTTATTTAGTTTCTTCACCTCTTATGATCTGCAAAGCATATTTCTTGCTTTTCAATTCTAGTAGCATACCGTTTACTACTTTTAAAAAATCTTGACTTGGCAGGACGCGGTGGCTCACTCCTGTAATCCTAACACTTTGGGAGGCTGAGGCGGGTGGATCACCTGAGGTCAGGAGTTCGAGACCAGCCTAGACAACACGGCAAAACCCCATCTCTACTAAAAATGCAAAAATTAGCCAGGCATGGTGGCAGGCGCCTGTAATCCCAGCTACTTGGGAGGCTGAGGCAGAAGAATTGCTTGAACCCAGGAGGAAGAGGTTGCAGTGAGCTGAAATTGCACCACTACACTCCAGCCTGGGCGACAGAGCGAGGCTGTCTCAAAAAAAAAAAAAAAGTTTGCTTCTTTTTTCCAGCAGCATTCCAAGAGAGAAATGACAGGACGTGAACTAAGCCCAGGACTAGGCAATTAAAGGAGAGGGAATAGATTTGAGAGCAGTGAAGGGCATACTAACCAATGGAGAAGAAGAATAAACAAAGCTAGGCAGCAAGCAGTGCCTTAAGGGCCCCCAAAGTCCATGTTGAGGAGGAGTTGGGGGCTCATGCTGAATGTCTCTCAAGCTCACTTCCCACAACAGCAACCCTTGCAACACACACCTCACTAGACCCTCACCCCCTCACCGTAACCCATGAGGCGGATATTATCATTTCCATTCTACAGATGAATAAACACAGTTCAGAAAAGTTCAACTGAATTCTGGTCTTTGGAATCCAAAAACGTCTTGAGCTACCACTGGGCAGCTGAGGCAGGGTTAGGCTGTGTGGGAAAACCAAGGACAAGACTTTGACCCACTGGATCAACCTTACCATCGAGTTGTAGGCAACAAAAAGAACATACCTGATAAAATGGAAAACAGAAAGCAGCAGCTAATTCAGCGCTAACTGGTGGTGAACAGAGAACACAGTCTCAGAGATCAGGGATAAGATTTCCAGTGGGCACTGGGCTCCCACACTGCCAGTTACCTGAACAACCCTGGGTTATCTGGCCATCTCGGCATATTTAGTAATCATGGAGGTGGGGATGTTTGGATGACAAATTATCTGGTCAACCCAGCAATGCCCCGCATTTGAACTATGTTTACCAATATTTATAGATTATCCTGTGCAAATTTCACAGGCCCACTGCAGAGCAGTGATTCAGAAACTTTTTTGGTCATAGACCTGTTAAGAATCTGATGAAAGCTATAATCTCCCTCTCCACAAAAATAACAAATACAAAATCGTCTATGTAATTTTGACACGTTCATATCCTTTGACAGAGCAACTCCACTTCCAGGAATTTGTCCTACAGATATACAAGCACAAGGACAAAGACAGGTACAAGGATATTTGTGGTGGCATTGTTTAAAATAGGAAACCCTCTGAAACAAACCTGAAGTCCACCAGTAGGGCACTGGTGAAATAAACCAGGGAAGTGGGGGCAGGATGGGGTGAGGGAGTACAGACAGCACCGGCTTCAGGTTTAGCTTCCCTTTAAAAGATGCAGGGGCCTTCCTGCCCCCCACCCAACCTGGTGCCCCCAACTCAGCAAGGTCCCTGGAGAGGAAGAAATGCAAGCAACCGCGCAGGAGGAGGCTAAATAATGAATTGTAAGTGTGTGTTTTCTTTGGCCAGGGCAGTCTGGCCAAGCTCTGGGGGCTGCTGGGCAAACATTTTTCATATTTTAGTAGCTGGCCTATGCCCAAGGCAGTCAAAAGTTAAGCAAGCTTTGAATGAGCTGCTCCCTTGCTCTCCACGGCCCCAAGAATTCTTAATGAGGTTCTAAGGCAGCGGCCTCCAGGCCCCCAGCAAACTGGTCATGTTGCCTTAAATATCACTCACCCTTCACTACTTTTAATGAATGCAAATGATTCAGCAACAAAACACTTAGCCTGAAGTGAAATCCGTCTTTGTGCAGCCGGTTTCACCAGCTTGCTGACAGCCCAGCTCAGGCAGGGCCCTACCGGACAGGCAGGCAGGCTGGCCCAGCACAGCCGCAGGTGCCCAGGCTAGCCCAGGCAGACCCCTGCACACCCAGGGCAGCAGCAAAAGGCAGGAAGTGCAGAGCACAAGGGAAGCTCTCCATCCCACCTACCACCCCAGCGACCAGGTGCAGACCTTCACATCTCCACCTCTTTATGACTCTGGCTCCAGGGCAGAGGAAAGTGTGAGCAGGAAAAACAAAAGGTATTTATTTGATCTAAGGAATGGGGCTTAGTTCCAGGCACCTCAAAGGCTTGTCCGGTCACCACCCACCCCCACCTCCCCTTCACCTGAGGCCAGGTTCCAGAGGAACTCAGAAAGAGAACCCGCAAAGCTCCCTTGGATCCCGGTCCTCCTTCACCAACTGCAAGGAAGTGACAAAAACGGAGACAGTGTGAAGAACCCAATTTACACCGTTTTCGAAGTTCTGTTTTGGCAGCAAAAACTGAAAGCAGTTTTTCAGGAGTCTGAGAGCAACTTTTAACTAATTTCTCTCCAACCTGAGGCTCAGGGGGATTTCTTGCCCTGTCAGCCTGATCAACACCTCTCCCCGAGGCTGAGATAGCAGGCCTGGCCCAGAACAGGCAGCTGTTAATTCAGCTGCCACATCTTCACCCGAGAGGCCAGCCGCTGGCGGGAGACCCACAGAGGTCCATGCAGGCTCTCTCTAGGCTTTCTTGGTTGTGGATACAAATATGGAATCGGAGGGCATTAGACCCAAACTAGGCAACTGGCTGAACTCAGGACTACTGAGAGCTTACACATATCTGTGTAGCTGCATTAGATATAAAAAGGGCTTTGAAGTATTTGTTGACTTGGTTTAAAAGAAACCATGGTCCCTTTCAACCCTCACAGGACAATGAAGACAAGATCAGTCTCCCCAACAGAAAAAAGTTTCTCATTGTATCTTAGAGGGCCTCCAAAAATAAGTTGTATTGCATCAAAAATGCCCTTAGCTGTACATCCATCTTTTAGAAAAAGAGCACTGCAATTTTCTTAAAACAATCAGGAAGAACATTTCAATGCTGTTCTTCCCCATCATTTAAGGCACACCATCTATTATACAATACCTTATTCTTCAAAACACTCTCATAGGAAGCCAACCGAAGCGGAGAAGAGCATTCCTTAATCGAGGGGCTGAGTCTCCTAGCCCCTGGGACTCTTAAGTTCTTGCCTTCCATAAATTGGCCCCTTTCCTTCCTGGGCCTCAGTGACAACGCAGAAAGAATGCTTTCCGAAACCCATATGTGGTAAAGTGCTTAAGCCTACAGAAGTGAACAGGTAGAAGGCTTGACACACGCATCTACACAGCAATCTACTGTGGGTTTTTTTGTTGTTGTTGTTTTGGTTTGTTTGTTTGTTTAAGACAGAGTTTCATTCTTGTTGCCCAGGCTGGAGTGCAATGGCACAATCTTGGCTCACTGCAACCTCCGCCTCCCAGGTTCAAGCGATTCTCCTGCCTTAGCCTCTCAAGTAGCTGGGATTACAGGCATGCGCCACCACACCTGGCTAACTTTTTTTTTTTTTTTTTTTTTTTTAGTAGAGACTGGGTTTCTCCATGTTGGTCAGGCTGGTCTCGAACTCCCTACCTCAGGTGATCCGCCTGCCTCAGCCTCCCAAAGTGCTGGGACTACAGGCGTGAGCCACTGCGCCCGGCCTTTTTATTTATTTATTTATTATTATTATTATTTTGAGACAGAGTCTCGCTCTGTAGCCCAGGCTGGAGCGCAGTGGCATGATTTCAGCTCACTGCAACCTCCGCCTCCCGGTTCAAGCAATTCTCCTATCTCAGCCTCCCAAGTAGCTGGGACTACAGGTGCCCACAACCACG
Source organism: Homo sapiens (assembly GCF_000001405.40). Lineage (NCBI taxonomy): Eukaryota > Metazoa > Chordata > Mammalia > Primates > Hominidae > Homo > Homo sapiens. The sequence continues at coordinate 43,094,904 of NC_000006.12, read as the reverse complement.
CCTGGCTAATTTTTGTATTTTCAGTAGAGACAGGGTTTCACCATGTTGGTCAGGCTGGTCTTGAACTCCTGACCTCAGGTGAGCCACCGTGGCCTGGCCAGCAATCTATTTTAAAAAACAATTTTGTGGCCGGGCGCAGTAGCTCATGCCTGTAATCCCAGCACTTTGGGAGACAGAGACGGGCGGATGACGAGGTCAGGAGATCGAGACCATCCTGGCTAACACGCTGAAACCCCGTCTCTACTAAAAATACAGAAAAATAAAAATAAAAAATTAGCCAGGCATGGTGGCAGGCGTCTATAGTCCCAGCTACTCGGGAGGCTGAGGCAGGAGAATGGCGTGAACTCAGGAGGCGGAGCTTGCAGTGAGCCGAGATCGTGCCACTGCACTCCAGCCTGGGCGACGAGACGGACTCCGTCTCAAAAAAAAAAAAAAAATTTGCTTTTGATATTCATACAAAAGGGACACAACTTTGTCTCTTCACCTACCATATAAACCCCATAACCAAACCACCCCACCATCAAATGAACCAGAAAGCAACCAAAAAAAGAATTCCTTAGCCTTTGGGAAGTTACAACGTGACTGAAGGGGGAAAACTGGTGAGGCAGGAGAACAGGGTCTGCAGGCAGGGAATCTAAGGCTGTTTCACACCGACGTCCTCCAACTAAATTGAAATGAAAGCCCTATCTACTTTCCAGGCCTAAGTAACAAAAAGAGCAGAGGCTACTACTCCCTTTGAACTTTTTTGCCAGGCAGATGGGAAATTGGCTGTCTGCAGCCAATCATACTGAGTGCGAATCCTGTCTTCGTTTGCAACTTTGTAACTTTACTCCAGCCTCTGAATGGTTGCTGTCCACAACCAATCAGACTGACTGCTGGCCCAGTCTTCCTTTGCGTAGAAGTATAACTTTAACTTCACCCTAGCCTCTGACTGGTTGCTTTTTCTAACCAATGAGATGTTTGCACAGGAGCATGACATTTGCATGAAGTGGCCAGTGGGAAACTTTTAGGGGGTATTTGGGTCCAGGAAGATTCTGTATCCCAGCCCTTAAGCCGCTGCTTGGGTCTGCTCCCACACTGTGGAGTGTACTTTCATTTTCAATAAATCCCTGCCTTCGTTCTTCTGTTGCTTCATTCTTTCTTTGCTTTGCTGGGGGTTTTGTCCAATTCTTTGTTCAAAACACAAAGAACCTAGACACTCACAGTCATGACCCTTTACCAGTGACAATGGCATTCAGCAATGCTTGGGTAGCACAAAATAGAATGGATGGCAACCAGCTGTCTCCACAAAGTTAGAATCAGCCCCACACAAGTGTGCTGCTGGGGAAGAAAACGCTAGCATCTCCTGTCCGTCTCCTGCCTGCCTGACCCAGGTCTCCATCCTCTGAGCTCCTGACATTTACTGTGTGCCTCTCTTTGGTCTTCTCTGTATCCTTGTCTTGTTAATCACTCTCTCCAGATTCTGTCTTGATTCACCTACCAGCAATCCATTCCTGGAGTGAACCTCCAGTGTCCCCCAGCTCAGCCTTTCAAAATGGAGACTTTGAATTAGCCGGGCGTGGTCGTGGGCGCCTGTAATCCCAGCTACTCTGGAGACTGAGGCAGGAGAATCGCTTGAACCTGGGAGGTGGAGATTGCAGTGAGCTGAGATTGTGCCGTTGCACTCCAGCCTGGGCAACAAGAGTGAAACTCCGTCTCAAAAAAAAAAAAAAAAAAAAAAAGGAGATCCTATCATTAGAGAGTCACTGTATTCTTTCCATAATAGATAGACTGTCTGCCTTGTTAGGGACACCTACCTCCTCTTGTAAACATCTCTTGCCTTATAAAGACTTAAAGTCACCCCGCCCCCCTGCCATCAGCATGCACACATGCATACAATACTTAGCATGATGCTTTATGCCTTAAGCATCATTTGTTATTTACATGCCAGACTAAAAGGAAAACAGGTTTTATTGAAAGTTACTGGTAGATGGGAAGCAAAACTAGGCCTGTAAATTACAGTTATAACCATCACAGATAAGCATCACAGTCATAGCCATCACAGATAACCATCACAGCTATAACCACCACAGATAACCATCACAATTATAACTACCACAGATAACCATCAGTTATAACCTCCACAGATAACCATCACAGTTATAACCTCCACAGATAACCATCACAGTTATAGCCAACTTTTACTGAGCATTCACAGTATCACAGACTAAGTCCTTCACATATACTGAATTTAGAAGATGCTCCATTATTTATGTGCACCAAGAGGACAAAGTGGTACTAGTTGAACTAAGGCACAATGTTATATACAGTAGTCCCCCCAATCCTGGGGGGGATATGTTCTATGACCCCCCAGTGGATGCCTAAAACCTCAGGTAGTAACAACCCCCAAATGTTATGTTTTATGCCTATATATACATACCTACAATAAAGTTTCATTTATACATTAGGCACTTGACATCTGTAATCCCAGCACTTTGGGAGGCTGAGGTAGTAGGAGGATTGCTTGAGTCTAGGAGTTCAAGATCAGCCTGGGCAACAGAGCAAGAGCCTATCCCTACAAAAATTTAGCTGGGCGTGATGGCACACACCTGTAGTGCCAGCTACTTGGGAGGCTGAGGTGGGAGGATCACTTGAGCCCAGGAGGTCGAGGCTGCAGTGAGCCATGATTGCACCACTGCATTCCAGCCTGGGCAACAGAGCAAGACCATATCTCTAAAAAACAAATAAATAAATTAGGCACAGTAGGCCGGGCACAGAGGCTCACGCCTGTAATCCCAGCACTTTGGGAGGCCGAGGTGGGTGGATCACGAGGTCAGGAGTTCAAGACCAGCCTGACCAACATGGTGAAGCCCCATCGCTACTAAAAATACAAAAATTAGCTGGGCGTAGTGACACGTGCCTGTAATCCCAGCTGCTCAGGGGGCTAAGGCAGGAGAATCACTTGAACCCGGGAGGTGGAGGTTGGAGTGAGCTGAGATCGCGCCACTGCACTCCAGCCTAGGCCACAGAGCAGGACTCCATCTCAAAAATAAAATAAATTAAAAAAAGAGTTACTTGAACCCAAGCATCTGATACCCTGACATTCGATAAACTGGACAAAGGGATGATTCATGTCCTGGGCGGGATGGAGTGGGATATCAAGAGATTTTATCATGCTACTCTGAATGGCATAAAACTTAAAACTTGTAAGTTGTTTATTTCTGTAATTTTCCATTTAATATTTTTTGACCATGGGTAGCTGAAACCACAGAAAATGAAACCACAGATAAGGGGTGACTACCGTAATTAATTATAAGTTACATCCCAATTTCAAAGATGTGCAAATGTGAAAAGAAAAAACATCTAAGAGTTAATGAAATGCAGTACCATCTCACTCAACTCTTGCAAGAACTCTAACGAGACTGGTATTATTATTCCTATCTTACAAAAGAGGAAACCGGCCAGGCGCAGTGGCTCACGCCTGTAATCCCAACACTTCGAGAGGCCGAGGTGGGTGGATCACCTGAGGTCAGGAGTTGGAGACCAGACTGGCCAACATGGTGAAACCCCATTTCTACTAAAACAAAAATATACAAAATTAGCCAGCCATGGTGGTGTGGGCCTGTAGTCCCAGCTAGTTGGGAGGCTGAGCCAGGAGGGTCACTTGAACCCAGGAGACAGAGATTGCAGTGAGCCAAGATCACGTCACTGTACTCCAGCTTGGGCGACAGAGTGAGACCCCATCTCCAAAACAAAAAAAAAAAAAAAAAAGAGGAAACCGAAGCTCAGAGAAGTGAAGTAAACTAAGGTCTCTCAGCCAGTAAGCTGTGGAGCCAGAAGTCAGTTCCTGAACAGATTTCTGAATTTCCCTGGGAAGCGGGGAGCAAGGAGGGGGCAGCCAGGCTTCAGACAGATCCTTCTTGGTTAGGCTGACCCATCAGAGGCAAATAACCCTGACTTGGCTGATCCCTAAAATCAGGGTCTTTCTTCAAGTGCACCTTCACAGGTCCTACTTCCAGAAACAACAACAAAAAAAAAGAAAACAGGTTTCCCTAGCTCCTTCCTTACAAAACTGGCTGGAAGTGAGGGGGGAACCTCTCAGCCAACTTGTTATATATAAAGCACATTTAACGAGCCTTTCAGGTCCTGGGAGTAGAAGAAGGAAGGATTCATTGGAAATCTGATACTTTGGCAACCAAGCGGGAGGGACAAGGCCCTGAGCATCAGAGCCTGAGGATAAACACCATCCCAAACCTTTGTCTGCCAGAAGGAGATACTTCCTGGGGGAGCAGGAGGCAGCAATGCTTTGTATGACAAAGCCCACCTAACAACAACCTCCACTGGAGACCTGGCTAGGGTCTTTGTACAACCCACCTAACCATAAACCCTCTATCTTTTCCCAAACCTGCTGGGGTCCCTCTCTCCACAAATACCTGTGACCATCATAAACGCCCTTAAACAGCCCCAGTTTACTGCTCAGCCTGCCTGCTGCTAAATGAGGGCATTTGTTTCAAATTTGCAAATACCGACAGCAGTGGAAACCTAAGTCCACCCCTAAAATGAAATGTTCTGCATTCCTCCAGGCCTGAAGCACCAGCTTCAAAAGCTGCAAGAGGCCCCGG